>NC_000015.10:31155661-31458692 GCF_000001405.40 Homo sapiens | reverse complement strand
CCTTCCACCATGACTGAAAGCTTCTTGACATCCTCACCAGAAACAGATGCTGGCTCCATGCTTCTTGCACAGCCTGCAGAACCATGAGCCAAATGAACTTTTTTCTTTATAAATTATCCAGCCTCAGGTATTCTTTTATGGCAATGCAAATAGACTAACATGATATACAAATGGGTGAGTACACATACATATGTGTCCTAGCTCTGTCCACTAAGAGAGGCTAGAGCAACAACTCTCCAGTGGCCAGGAGAACACCCAGCGCCCAGGTCTTGGGCTCTATACCATTTTCCAATCAAAGGAAACAGGATCCCTGGAGAAAGGAGAAATCCAGGAAAGAAAGGCAGAGGCTGCAGCATATCTCTGCTTCCCTTCAGCCTGAGTTGGGGGAGACCCCCAGGGTTGCCCCAGGTCTAGCTGGAGCTCATTTTGTCATATGCTTCAACTCAGGTCCATCCCTTCAAAGTCAGTGACACCACTCATCTGTGCTGCCATCAGAGGGACTTTGACAAAATGGGACTAGACCTGCCCTGAGGCCCCTAACCTAGAAAATCTCCGCACTCCCTTCACCCCAGCCTGCAGGGTCCTAAAGCCGGCTAGGCCTGCTCTGCATGGTTCACCAGGCCACCTCGTGGGACGCAGCTTTGCATGAAGAGGCCATTGGTTTTCTTCCTCCGCAGTTGCACCTGGAATCTCTGCCCACAAAAGCTAAGGGGGAGAAAATGGCCAGTCCAGGTGTCGCACAGCTGCAGGCAGAGATCCTGGCGGACCCCTTCTGTAACCAGAAGGCACCCTGTGGGGGGCTCCCTTTTGTCTTGGGGCACCTCCACCTCTACTTACAGCTGCCTGTGCCCCTGCGGCAGGCAGGGCAGGTTGGGAAAAATAGGTCCCAGCTGAGTCACACTCTTAGCTCCAGCCCAGACGGCTTCTTGGGCCAAGGCTGCTTCGGGCTGTGCTGTGCAGTACAAGAGTCTGGGTTTGTCTGGAATCCACAGTAAATAAAAAGGACATTCCCAAATGGCTCATGAAAATAACTTGCAAACACCAGGGAGAAAATAGATCATCTTAAGGAAAAAACAAAACTCCTAATCCACACTTCCTTCCCAGGCTCACTTTTTCCCAAAGAGATGTTTTTATAAAGTCATGAATGGGTTTTAAACACATATAGTAGAAGGACGGTGAAAGCAGGCTTAAAAGGGATGAAATGCTGATTTAGTTAAAAGAGAGTGATGCAGAGAACTGGGGTTTGGACACCCATTCCCGAGGAGCCACAGCCTGCAATGTGCCACGTGTCCCTCCAGACACCCAAGGCCATATGCGCATGCGTGAGGATATTTGTGTGAGTGCTTTGTACATGTGGGAGCATGCTGTGCACATGTCCAAATATCTTGATCACAGAATCCTGCTTTCTGGAAAGACACATGCCATTGTGTGAATGGATGATACTTAAGTCATCCTGTTTGGTGGGCATTGGGTGTTTCCTGACTTTTGTCACAAACACTGCTTCAGTGAACACATTTGTCATTGTCTTTACTCAATCATGAGCACATTTGCAGAATAAAATCCTACAGAAGAAATCACTGAGTCACATGTGTGCAAACACAGTTTGTTTGAGTGATGTTGCTGGAGCCGTGGGGAGTCGAGGTGGGCAGAGCCCAGCGAGGGGTCCACACCAAAACTGGCCAGACACCAGCCACAGGGCCTCTGACCTCGGCCACACTCCCCAGGGGGCACCAGAGGAGCAGCGCCAGCATGCCCCGAAGACAGGACGAATGCCCACAGTCAGCACCACCATAGGGAGGAGGAGCAGAGGAGGGCTGAGGAGACTCAGGCATCTGAATAAGACTGAGATTCCCATTAGGCTTTGCCCATCCAGGACCAGCTGAGAGGACCAGAAGCAGTGCTGAGTCCAATTGCCCTGTAGACCCTCCAGCCTGAGGAGCAAGGTGCAGTGGATGGGGACAACTGTTCCAGAAGTATGAGTGGGAAGCAGCTGCATTCATCTGCATGTAGGAGAAGCAGCCACATTCCCCTGTACCTGGAGTCTCAGCTGGAGGTCCACAGTATCTTCCCAGGAGAGGCAGGTCAGCATTTCTTATCCTGCCTCCAGCTGCCTGAGGTTAAGTTCTAGGTGAGGGTGACGAGAGGTGGGGGCTCCCTGATGTCCAGCCACCACTCGTGACATGAAGGCTCTGCCTTGGGCACAGTGCTGCTGAGAATAGTGAGGCCCCACCAGAAGAGGTAAGCTGAAAAAACCCAAAGCTACTGCCCACCTCCATCCATCAAGTGCCTAGCTCCTGAGGTGGGACTATCACCTGGAGAGAAGTGCACCCTTGTCCCCACCCCCAGCTCAATATCCATTGCTTGGAGATTTTTCCCAGAGAACCTGAGGAGTTCATCTGGAGTCAGAACATATATCAAATTCAGTTCATATCCACAAGGATTGGTTCCAGGACTCCCCAAGGATACCAAAATCCATGAGTGCTCAAGTCTCTTGTATAAAATGGCCTAGTATTTGCATATAAAATACACACATCCTCCCATATACTTTGAATCATTAAATTACTTATGCAAGGTAAATACTAATGCAATATACATGCTAGGTAAATATTTGTTATACTGTATTGCATAGGGAATAATGACAAAGAAAAAAGGCAGTTCAATATGGACACAACCATCTTCTTCTTTAAAAAAAAACAAACTAACAGTATTTTCTATCTGCGGTTGGTTAAATGATGGCTGTGGAACTCAATGATATGGAGGGCCAACAGTACCAACCTCCAGAACCACTCCTTCAAAGGATCCTGTATTTGATTGACTCCGTCTGTAGAGCAATTGAATCTCAAGGGCATTGTTGAGAACAACACCACAATCAGCCAGCAATTACTGGAGCTTAAAGCTGGTGTGGTCAGGGAAAGAGACAGTCAAAGAGGGACTGCCAAAACCACTGCCATCACTGTGACTGTGGAGCCAAAGCTGCCTGAAGAAGCAATAGCAAATGTTCAACACCAGGGGAGTAGGTTTCACTTAAACAATCCAGCCCTTCACTAAAAAATAAACAAGTAAATAGCAAGCCCTCTGGGGGAAATGGGGACAAGCACCCAGAGATGCTACAATATATTATCTGTTATCTAAAATATCCCAGCAAAAAATAATGAAACATGCTAAGAAACAGGAAAGCATCATCTGTACCTCAGAAAAAAACAGCAAGAGAAACTTCCTGTGAGAGTAACTCGATGTCAGATTTTTAAAAATAAATTTTATTTGTCTATATTTGAGGTTTACAACATGATGTTATATGTATACACAGAAAAATGGTTACAATAGTGTAGCAGATGAACATAGCTGTCATCTCCTATAGCTACTTTTTTGTGACAAGAGCAGCTAAATAGGTGTCAGATTTAACAAAGACTTTAAAGTGGCCATTATAATATGTTCAAAGAACTAAAGAAAGCCATGATTCAAGAAGTAAAGCATGATGACAATATCACATCAAATAGGAAATAGCAACAAAGAGAGAGAAATTATTTTTTAAATGAAGATACTGGAATTGGAAAGTACAATAATGGAAATAAAATTCACTAGAGTTTTTAGTGGATTAAACTGGCAGAAGATTAAAACTGGCAGAAGAAAGAATTCATTAACTTGAAGATAGATCATCAGAGAGTATGCAAGCCAAAGAACAGAGAGAAAAATAAATGAAAAGTGAACAGAGCTTCAGAGATATATGAGACACCATCAAGCACACTAGTATACACATCATGAGAATACCAGGAGAGCAGACAGAAGAGAAGGAAAAATATTCAAATAAATAATGACTGTAAAATTTCTAAGTTGATTGAAAAACAATATACATCCAGGAAGCTCAACAAACTCCAAGTAGGATAACCACAGACATCCACAAAGAGTAAAATGTACTATATCTCAAATAGTAAAAGTGCTGGAGGAAAAAAAAGCTGAAAGCCAAAATCAAGTAGACAATTTTGAAAACCTGCAAACAAAAAAACAAAACAAAGCAAAACAAAAACATGTCCCTTACAAAAGAATTCCCATAAGATTCACAGCTGCATTCTCAAAAAAAAAAAAAAAAAAAAAAAGGCCAAAAAGCACTGGAATCACATATTTAAAATGCTCAAACAGGCCAGACATGGTGGCTCACATCTGTAATCCCAGCACTTTGGGAGGCCAAGGCAGGCAGATCACCTGAGGTCGGGAGTTCAAGACCAGCCTGGCCAACATGGTGAAACCCCATCTCTACTAAAAATACAAAAATTAGCCAAGTGTGGTGGCACACACCTGTAATCCCAGCTACTCGGGAGGCTGAGGCAGGAGAATCGCTTGAACCCAGGAGGCAGACGTTGCAGTGAGCTGACATCGTGCCACTGCACTCCAGCCTGGGCAACAGAGTGAGGCTCTGTCTCAAAAAAATAAAAAATAGGTCCCTGCGGCGGGTGTGTTTCGGCCTGGCCTGGGCAGGCGCTTGTGCTGCCAGGGCGCCGGGCCCGGGGAGGCCGGGGTCTCGGGTGGCGGCCGGCCCAGGCGCTGGACTGCAGCAGGATGGGGAAGGCGAAGGTCCCCACCTCCAAGCGCGCCCCGAGCAGCCCCGTGGCTAAGCCGGGTCCTGTCAAGACGCTCACTTGGAAGAAAAACAAGAAGAAAAAAAGGTTTTGGAAAAGCAAGGCGCAGGAAGTAAGCAAGAAGCCAGGAAGCGGCCCTGGTGCTGTGGTGCGACCTCCAAAGGCACCAGAAGACTTTTCTCAAAACTGGAAGGTGCTGCAAGAGTGGCTGCTGAAACAAAAATCTCAGGCCCCAGAAAAGCCTTTTGTCATCTCTCAGATGGGTTCCAAAAAGAAGCCCAAAATTATCCAGCAAAACAAAAAAGAGATCTCGCCTCAAGTGAAGGGAGAGGAAATGCTGGCGGGAAAAGACCAAGAGGCCAGCAGGGGCTCTGTTCCTTCAGGCTCCAAGATGGACAGGAAGGCGCCAGTACCTCGCACCAAGGCCGGCGGAGCAGAGCACAATAAGAAAGGAACCAAGGAAAGGACAAATGGTGATATTGTTCCAGAATGAGGGGACATCAAGCATAAGAAGCAGAAAGCTAAGGAGGCAGACCCTGCCCCACCCACCGAGGAAGACATGTGGTTTGACGACGTGGACCCGGCGGATATCGAAGCTGCCATAGGTCCAGAGGTGGCCAAGATAGCGAGGAAACAGTTGAGTCACAGTGAGGGCAGCGTCAGCCTCAGACTCGTGGAAGAGCCGGCCTTCGGCGGCCTGACAAGAGCCTTAGCCTTGGACTGTGAGATGGTGGGCGTGAGTCCTAAAGGGGAGGAGAGCGTGGCCGCCCGTGTATCCATCATGAACCAGTAGGGGAAGTGCGTTTATGACAAGTAGTCAAACCAACCGAGCCCGTGACGGACTATAGGACAGCGGTCAGTGGGATTCAGCCTGAGAACCTCAAGCAGGGAGAAGAGCTTGAAGTTGTTCAGAAGGAACAACTGTCAGAAGGAACAACGGTACTGTCACCGCTTATCTTCAGTGACACCCTGGGGTGAGGGGCTCAGCACCTTCCTCTCGGGGAGCCACATTTTCCTCCTTTGTCTTAGGGGACATAACAAGCTCTGCTGGGCTTGAGGGACCCAGACCAGGTGTCTGCAGTCAGCTCCTGAGACACGGCTGGCCGGCACAACAGGTGTTACATCAGGGGTTTCCTGTGGCCGTTTGGACTTTGAGCGTTTATCTAAATTAAATTGGCCCAGGGTTGGCTGGTGGGTCACCCAGCAGAGGCTTCTCCCCATAGCACGAGGATGTGTCGTCTGGGCACGGTGACCGCGGTTATTCCTGGAGGTCGGCAGACATGCCGACCTTGGGCTATTTGAGCTGGAGAAGCTATGTGATGCTAGCCAGTAGCTTTCTTGGCTAGGCCCCAGTTTGAGGCTCCCCTGGGAACTAGAGTCAGGAACAGCCAGTGGCACTGACAAGGGGACGGAGTCCAAGGCATTATTGGGCCACCTGACAGCTGGACAGAAAAGGTGCAGTCACACCGAGGATGTGATTTAAAATAAATGCAGAAGTTTACTTTGAAAAAAAATGAATAAAATAAAAATAAAAAATAAAATAAAATGCTCAAAAAGAAAAAAAAAAACTATATCCAGCAAAACTATCTTTCAAACATGAAGATGAGCTGAGCATGGTGACTTATGCCTGTAATCCCAGCACTTGGGAGGCAGAGGTGGAAGTATGGCTTGAGGCCAGGAGTTTGAGACCAGCCTGCACAACTTAGCAAGACCCCATCTCTACAAAAAATAAAACGAAAAATAAATGAAGGTAAAATAAACTCTCAAATAAACAAAAACTGACAGATTTTGTTGCTACCCGACTTCACTTCCCCACTTACAAGAAATACTAAAAGAAGTTCTTCAGGCTAAAACAAAGTGACCCCAGAGGGTAATTAGAATGTACCCTAAAAAAAAACCCAAAAAGTGCTGGTATAGGTAATTACGTAATTACATCGTATAATTGCAAAAGACATATAAAATGCATGTTTTTTTCATTGTTCTCTTAACTGATTTTAAAAGCAATTATATAAAGTTACATATATAGAATGTATAGTTGGACATATAACATATAGAAGTGCAATATACTTGCCAATAACAATAAAAAGGAGGTAGGTGGCAACAAAGCTGTATTCGGCTAAAGAAATGGCTACAGACGGTAACTTGAGTCCACAGGAACAAAAGAGAAGAACTAGAAATAAGGAAGAAGGTTAATATAACAGAAGCTATTAATATATACTCAGTCTTCTTTCTTCTCTAAACTTCTTTAAAAGACATAAAAGTATATAATGTAATAATTATTAAAGAGTCTCTGGGTTTGTAACAATAATGTAATATGTATAACAGTAATATCACCAAAAGTGGGATAAAAGGAACAGAGCTATATAAGAGTAACGTTTCTATGTATCACTAGAACTAAGCTAGTATAAATATGAAACTGATGCTAATAATTTAGGACGTATGTAGTAAGACTTAGAATAGCCACTAAGGAAATAACTAAAAGAATTGTGAAAAAAAATTAATGAAGTTAAAATGGTACATTAGAAAATATTTAACATAAAGGGGAATCGAGGACTGAAAAGACGTAAAACATATAGCACCCAAAAAGTAAAATAGCAGATGCAAATCTAACTATAACATTAAATGTGGATGGATTAAATAATACAATCAAAAGGCAAAGATTATCTGGCTGGATTTAAAAAAACATGATCTAACTATGTATTCTCTACAGGAGATGCACTAGGCCCAAAGACACAGTGGGATGGAAGTAAGTGGATAGAAAAAGGATGCACCATGCATAAAGCAATTGCAAGAAAGTTGGAGTGGCTATACTAACATCAGACATCTGACAAGCTAGACTTTCAAACCAAAAAAAGTTTGTCAAGATAAAGAGATATTTAAAAGTGATAAAGGGATTAATCTATCAGGAAGATAAAGCAATTATTTAAAAATTATGCACCCAGTAATGGAGCACCAACATGGAGGAAGCATAAACTGACAGAAAGGAAGGGAGAAACAGACAATTCAGCAATGAGAGTTACAGATTTCAATACCACATTTTCAATAATAGAGAAAAGGTTTCCAATAAGTAGTCTAAGTTTCTACCTCAAGAAACCGGGGAAGGGGCAAAATTAAACCAAAAGCAAGGAAGAAGGAAATAAGAAGTAGAGGAATATAAATCCATTAAATTGACTACAGACCAGTATCTCCCATGAATATAAATGCAAAAATCATCAATAAAATACTAGCAGAACTAATCCAGTAACTACAAAAAGGATTAGGCACCATGACTGTGATGGTTAACTTGGCTCAGGGGCCAGTTGCTTGGTCAAACATCAGTCCAGATGTTGCTGTGAAGTTATTTTTTTAATTCAAATTAATAATTTAATCAATACACTGAGTAAAATCAAATTACCTGCCATCATGTGGGTGGACCTCATCCAATCAGTTGAAGGCCTTAAGGGAAACGACTGAGGTCTCCAGAAAAATATATTCTGCCTCCAGATTGCTGTTGGACTCAAGACTACAACACTGACTTGTGCCGGGATTTCCAGCCTTCCAGCCAGCCCTGCGTACTTCAAACTTGCCAGTCCCCAAAACAGTGCAAGCCAATTTCTTAAAATCTCTCTCTCCCTACCTCCTACCCTCCCACTCCTTTTTCCTCTTCCCTTCCACCTCTCCCTCCCCTTCCCCGTCTTCCTTCCCTTTCCCTTCTCCCTCCCCTTCCCCCTTAAGCCTCTCTCTCTCTCTCTCTCTCTCGTTCTTTTTGCTTAGAAGTAGAAATGGCCAGACATGTGATTATGTACCAATTATGGACTATGACCAATGGTCTGAATGGATGGTCAGGGACTTGGAGGGAATATAACTGGAAAATTGGCGACAAGGAGGTCATGTGTATAGATCTCTGATATTATGTGTCAAGGTAGGTATGTGTATAGATCTCTCTGAATGGGCACAAAAAGTGAAGATATTTGTGTCCCATGTGACAGCTCACCAAACAGTGACCTCAGAAAAGGAGGAGCTTAATAATCAAGTGGAGGCGGGGCACAGTGGCTCACGCCTGTAATCCCAGCACTTTGGGAGGCCGAGGCAGGCAGATCACAAGGTCAGGAGTTCAAGACCACCCTGGCCAACATAGTGAAACCCCGTCTCTACTAAAAATACAAAAAATTACCCGGGCGTGGTGGTGGGCACCTATAATCCCAGCTACTCGGGAGGCTGAGGCAGGAGACTCACTTGAACCCAGGAGGCGGAGGTTGCAGTGATCGGAGATCACGCCACTGCACTCCAGCCTGGGCGACAGTGCGAGACTCCATCTCAAAAATAATAATAATAACAATAATCAAGTGGATAGGATGACACCAGTCAGCCTCTTTGTCCAGCCACCCTTGTCATCATCCATGGGCTCCTGAGCAAAAAGTGGCCATGGTGGCAGGGATGGAAGCTATGCACAGGCTCAGCAACACAGAATTGCCACTCACGAAGGCTGACCCAGCAATTGCTCCCACTGTGTGTCCAATCTACCCTCAAGAGAGACAATATACCCAATCTACTGTGTGCCCAATCTACCCTCAGCAGAGACAACACTGAGCCCTCAACATGGTGCCATTTTCCAAAGTGTTCAGCCAAATACATGGTGGCAGGTTGATTACGTTGGACAGTTTCCATCACAAAAGGGACAGAGTTTTGTTCTTACTGGAATAGACATTCTAGATATTGATTTCCTTTCCCTGCACACAATGCTTCTGCCAAAACTACCATCTGTGGACTTCCAGAATGCCTTATCCACCATCACGGTATTCCACACAGTATTGCTGATCAAGGAATTTACTTCACAGCCCATGAAGTGTGGCCCTGGCTCATCCTCGTGGAATCTACTGATCTTATTATGTTTTTGACTATCCTGAAGCAGCTGGCTTCATAGAATGGTGGAATGGCCTTTTGAAAATGCAGTTACAGCACCTACTAGGTGGCAACACCTTGTGGGGCTGGGGCAAGGTTCTCCAGCAGGCTGTGCATTCTCTGAATCTGTGTCCCATATAGGGTGCTGTTTCTCTGATAGTCAGGATTTCTTCAATAGTCCAGGAATCTAGGATGGAAATGGGAGTGGCACCATTCACTATTACGCGTAGTAACCACTAGGACATTGTTTGCTTCCTGTCTCTGCAACTTTGTGCTGTGCTCTGCTCATCTAGAGGTTTTAGTTCCAAAGCAAGGAATGCTTCCACCAAGAGACACAATACTGATTCCATTGAACTGGAAGTTAAGACTGCCATCCGGCCACTTTGAGCTCCTTGTGCAAATGAACTAACAGGCAAAGAAGAGAGTTACTGTACTGGCTGGGGAAACTGATCTGGAGTACAAACAGGAAACCGGACCGCTACTGCACACAGAAGATAAGGAAGAACACGTGTGGAATAGAAGAGCTCCCTTAGAGCATCTCTTAATACTACCATGCCCTGTGATTAAAGTCCATAAAAAAAAACAAAAACAGAGCACAACGCAGGCAGAACTACTAATGGCCCAAACCTTTTAATAATGAAGTTCAGGTCACTTCATCAGGTGCTCACTGAAGGCAAAGGGAATACAGAATGCACAGAAGACAAGGGTAACTGGAAATACCAGCTATGACCACGTGACAGAAACAAGGACTGTAACTGTTATAAGTGCTTCTTCCTTATTTTGTTACAAATATGTTTGTGTGTATGTGTTTGAAAAAACATTTGTTTTCTTCCATCTCTTATTGCCTTATCATATAAGATGTATTAGTTTTATATCTTAGTGTTTAAGTTATAGGATATCAAAGAAAAGTAAATGTCCTTCAAGGACTTTCTGTCTTTTTCTGGGGTAAGGGTTAGTGCATTTTTGGTTGTAGGCAGAATAGTTGTATCATGCTAGGTGGAAGTATGACCTTGTTATTTAATGCCTCTGTTTGGAGATGAAGTACAGTTTAAAGGAAATGCGTCTGGTGACAAGGGGTGAACTATGATGACTGAGTCTGTGTGTCGACGTGGCTAGGCTATAGTGCCAAGTTGCCTGGCCACAACATCAGTGTAGACGTGCTGTGAAGGTAGGGACGTGGATGAAGCTGGAAACCACCATTCTCAGCAAACTATCGCAAGCACAAAAAAACCAGACACCGCATGTTCTCACTCATAGTGGGAATTGAACAATGAGAACACTTGGACACAGGAAGGGGGACATCACACCCCAGGGCCTGTTGTGGGGTGGGGGGAGGGGGGAGGGATAGCATTAGGAGATAGACCCAATGTAAATGCCAAGTTAATGGGTGCAGCACACCAACAAGTCACATGTATACAAATGTAACAAACCAGCACCTCGTGCACATGTACCCTAGAACTTAAAGTATAATAAAAAAAAAAAAAGAAGGTCAATATCACTAACCATCAGGAAAATTCAAATTCAACCACAGTGGGATATGGGATACCACTTCACAACCACTATGATGGCTACGATTAAAAAACCAGATGGGCCGGGCGCAGTGGCTCACACCTGTAATCCCAGCACTTTGGGATGCCGAGGCGGGTGGATCACGAGGTCAGGAGATCGAGACTATCCTGGCTAACACGGTGAAACCCCATCTCTACTAAAAAATATAAAAAATTAGCTGGGCGTGGTGGCGGGCACCTGTAGTCCCAGCTACTCAGGAGGCTGAGGCAGGAGAATGGTGTGAACCTTGGAGGTGGAGCTTGCAATGAACCGAGATCGCGCCACTGCACTCCAGCCTGGGCGACAGAGCGAGACTCCAACTCAAAAAAAAAAAAAAAAGTCAGATGACAAGTGTCAGCAAAGATGTGGAGAAATCAAACCCTTATATCAATACACTGTTGCAGGAATGTAAAATGATACCACTAGTTTGGAGAAGAGTCTGGCAGTTCTTTAAATGGTTAATCAGAGAGTTCCTGTGTGGCACAGTAATTCTGCTTCTCGGTATATCCCCAGGAGAAATGAAAACATATGCCTCCACAAAAACCTGTACACTAATGTTCATAACAGCATTATTCGTATCAGCCCCCCAAATGGAAACAAACTAAATATGCATTGATTGATGAATGGGTAAACGAAATGTGGTATAGCCATACAATGGAATAATATACAAAATAGAAAGGAAGTGCTGACACGTGCTACAACATGATGAACCTTGAAAACATGCTAAGTGGAAGAAGCAGGGGCAAAGAGCCAATACTGTATTACTCCATTTATATGAGGCATCCAGCATAGACAAATCTAAAGAGACAGGTGGTTGTCTCAGGGCTGTGAGGGATGGGAAGAATGGGCGTGACTGCTAATTGACATGCGTTTCGAACTCAAATAAGATTTTTGTTTGGTTGTTTTTGAGACAAGGTCTGGCTTTGTCGCCCAACCTGGAGTGCAGTGGTGCAACAGTGGGGTCTCCCTGTGTTGCCCAGGTTGGTCTCGAACTCCTCAGCTCAAGGGATCCTCCTGCCTCTGCCTCCAAAAGTACTGGGAATATAGGCATGAGCCACCTCGCCCAGCCTGATATGGTGTTTCTTTATGGGGTGATGAAAATATTCTAAAATTATGGTGATGGCTTAAGCGGATCTGTTAAAACTATGGAACAGCACACTTTAAATGGGTGACTTGTAAGGCATACAAATTATATATTAAAACAGTTGTTATACTGAAAACCCAATGAAATTAAAATCAATGAAGTAAAATGCTGGTTAATCAAAACAATAAAATTGATAAACCTCTAGCATGCTTACTTTAATTTTTTTTAAAAAAACCTGCCATCCTGGTTTCCAGAGTGGCCATAATGTTTTACATCCTCACTTTTAGCATCCTTCCAATATCTAAGCAGAAAGCAAAAATAAAAGTTTCTTTATAAAGAAAAAAAATTAAGGTGGGAATCGGACTTCTCCACAATGCTAAATATCAGAAGGCAGTAAAGTTCTTTCTAAGAAACTTACAAAAAGGAGTGCCTGTGACCCAAGAATTATATAGTTAACTAAATTGTATCTCATCTTATGTGAAAAAGCCAAAAGACTATATGCAAAAGCTTGCTCAGAAATTATATCACCAAAAATTCTTGAAAACATAACCCCAATTGAATAACATATGAAATTATTTAAAGGTTCAAAAAACGAGAGTGATATGATGTCAAAGATGGATGGTGAGCAGATAAATCACTTGAAAGAAGAGATCAATCTATACTGGTGCTGTGAATACAGTTCCACAACTGAATGTGAATGCTTAGAATTATTCTTAAGGCTGAAAGTACATAACATCATAGCACTAGTCCCATGCCAGTGGTCTAGATGTCAATGCCAGTTTATTTTGTTAAGAACCAAGAAGCGAGTGGATAAGAGACCAGGTGAAGAGGAATCTTTTCTAAACTTATTATTTTTAATATAGGCAATAATCTAAAAGAGCTCTACTAATAGAAAAGAAGCAGAGACGATGCCTTATAAAATACAGAATAATATAACAACCAAAGATGACAAAATCCAGACAGTGAAAGACAGAAAACAAAGGAAAGAGTAAGTAAGCATAAATATTAGAAAGCAACTGGGCATGGTGGCTCACTCCTGTAATTCCAGCACTTTGGGAGGCCGAGGCAGGTGGATCACCTGAGGTCAGGAGTTCGAGACCAGCCTGGCCAACATGGCGAAACCCTGTCGCTACTAAAAATACAAAAATTAGTCGGGCGTGGTTGTGCAGGCCTGTAGTCCCAGCTACTTGGGAGGCTGAGGTGGGAGGATCACTTGAGCCTGGGAGGTGGAGTTTGCAGTGAACTGAGATTGTGCCACTGCACTCCAGCCTGGGTGACAGAGTGAAACCCGGTCTCAAAAAAAAAAAAAAAAATCAGAAAGCATGAAACAGCATAACAAAAATAATACCGAAAGTATTAGTTATAGTGACAAATGTGGGTAGTTCAAATACCTCTATACTAAGACATAATTGGTTGACTAAACTCAAAAAATAATATCCAACTATATGCTGGCTATAAGAGACACAGTTAAAATAGAGTGAGGCATGGAATGTGATTCACGAAGGTAGGAACCATGTCTCTATGACACTCTGCAAAGCCCAGTTCTGAGACACCACGTGGCATACATATAGGAGATGCTCACTGTGGATTTGCTAATGAAAGCAAAGGAACAAACGAAAATGTTCTAGGTCTACTGCAAACAAGTAAGTGAAAAGAACAGATGTTACATTTAAAAAAAAATCACAGAAAATAGAATCTAAAACAACAACTATGAAAATAAGGCAAAGGTGGTCATTTTATTTTTCTAAATCATGAAATGACAACTTCCACAATCCTTCTTACATGGGAAATATTATTCCACTAAAATGTATTAAATGAAAACTTTAAAAAATACAAAGGGAAATTGACAAAAATGCAATTGCACGGGGAGGTTTTACTGTATCACTCGCACTTTTTTTTTTTTTTTGAGAGGGAGTCTCACTCTGTTGCCCAGTCTGGAGTGCAGTGGCGTGATCTCGGCTCACTGCAAGCTCCGCCTCCTAGGTTCAGGTCATTGTCCTGCCTCAGCCTCCGGAGTAGCTGAGACTACAGGCGCCTGCCACCATGCCCGGCTAATTTTTTGTATTTTTTGTGGAGATGGGGTTTCACTGTGTTAGCCAGGATGATCTCGAGCTCCTGACCTCGTGACCCGCCCTCTTCGGCCTCCCAAAGTGCTGGAATTACAGGCCTGAGCCACTGCGCCCAGCCTCACTCACACCTTTTTGATGGAGGCAGTATATTAAAAATCCACAGGCATATGAAGGCCTTGAATAATGTAATCAATATCGCTGATTGAATAGACACTGCTAATGAAGTCAACCCCCACCCCCCGACCCCCCGACACACACCTACACACACACACACACACACACACGTTTGTTCAGAGACATCAGTTGTCATGTGAACTCTTTCTTTTTTTAAGGGAAACAGTCTTTCTTGAGGACCACATGCAGGCTGGTGGGTGGGTGAGGTTGAAGAAACACCATGGCAAAGGTTCTCTCTTGGGGCTTTTGGGCTCTGTTTGAGCTCCTGGGATTGAGATCGGTTTGAGGGCCCAAAACCAAGATTTTCTTGAGCAATCTGGTAAATTTCTAGGCCATGAGGTCATAGTCTGAGGTCATCTAACTGTTGAAGAGGAAGTCTTAGAGCCCAGATTAGGGAACAAAGGAAGCCTTACTTGGTCTAGGTGAGAAAGTCTAGCTTCGAGCTGGGTTTGTACCTTTGATCTTTCCACTGCTGTAGGGACATAAGCCATATTCCATGGAGGACTGTGCCCTTGGCAATGGGACGGGAGGGAGGGAGGGTGGGAGTCTCAACAGGCCTTCATAATCTGGGTGTAACATGAGTGTGCATATGACTTTGTGGTTATAGGCTATGACATATGAGTCATATCTATGTTAAATTTTATATAAAAATAGAGAACTGGCCAGGCATGGTGGCTCACGCCTGTAATCCCAGCACTTTGGAAGGCCAAGTGGGGGCAGATCACTTGAGGTCAGGAGTTCAAGAGTAGCCTTGCCAACATGGTGAAACCCCGTCTCTACTAAAAATACAAAAATTAGCCAGGCATGGTGGCAGGCACCTGTAATCCCAGCTACTGGGGAGGCTAAGGCACGAGAATTACTTGAATCTGGGAGGCAGAGGTTGCAGTGAGCCAAGATTGTGCCACTGCACTCCAGCCTGAGCAACAGAGCGAGACTCTGTCTCAAAAAAAAAAAAAAAAAAAAAAAAACCCACCAAAGACAGAGAACTTTCCTTTCCAGAATTCAAGCAATATTTATACACATCGATGAAATATTGGGCCACAGAGAAACCTCAATAAATACCAAAAGGCAAAAAAGGTAATAAGGTTAAAAACCTCAATGTAATAAATCTTCAAGTCAATAACTAAAAGTTTAATTTTTAAAATGCCATGTATGTAAATCACACCCCAATTTTAAACATCTAACCCCTTGAAACTTAGAAATAAAACCACTGTCCTAAAGAAATGTCAGCTCACCGAGAAAAACAAAACTGCATTTACATAAGACGGGAATGATGAGAAAATTGCCCAGCAAAACTTATGGGACATGGCCACAGCCTGTTTTTATTACTAAGCAAGAAGAAATGAATAGACATGTGATGAGTAGTCAACAGATGAAGTCAGAAAAACAGAAATAAGATGCGAGGAATGTGCTTTAAAAGACACACACGTCAGGACAAAAACAAAAGTTGTAAGTGAATTACATGAGAAAAAAATGTCTAGTCTTGATAAATAACACTAAGGGCTGCTCTGAGAAGAGACTGGTCCCCCTGCAGGCACAGGGTGGGGAGACTAGGATCCCAGCCCAGCTGCTGACAGCTAAGCCTCTCTGAGCTCCCTGTCTCCCTCCATCTGCTGGATGACTGTAAATCAGACCGTCATAGAGAAGCCTATGGTACCAATTTGTACCCAAGTCTCCCCTCTTCCTACCTAATGTAACTGCTTTGTAATTTTGCATGACTTGGATCGGGTCATTTATTATTTGCGGGGCTCAGGCTCCTGATCGGCGCCCCCTCCAGCATTAGGGTGCAGAATTATCAAACACGATGTGGCTCTCTGGGTCCTGGCAGTCAGTTTCCTCCAAGCCTCGGTGGCCCCAGACAGAGACTGGTTTTTGTCATGGAAAAACACTCCTCAGAGCAGGGTCTTTAAAACCGTTCCGCCAGCCAACCCCACCCAATTTGCAGAGATTCAAGAGTAAAAGAAATGTTATCATTGTCAAGCCACTAAGTTTCCAGGTGGGTTGGCACACAGCCATAGTGACTGCAAAAGGGCATCAAGGAAGAAATTAAGGAAAAGCAAGTGTGACGTCAAAGGCCGAGAGATTGTGCCTTAGACTGATATGTGTTATACAGCAATGTAAAATGTTGTTGTTAGGATAAGAATCGATATACCCTCGCGGGGCTGTAGTCAGGATAGAGACCCTGTATGCAAACCGCTCAGCAAAGTCTCTGGACACACTAGGCGCTCAAGATAGAAACAGTGGCTACCATCATCACCCTCACCACCGCCGGCAGCAGCCCTTCTCCCAATACTGGCAAGGACGTATTTAGCCAGTGGCATTCATGTGAACTAGCTATCCTGTCCCTGTAGCCATGTAAACATATCATCAACAGGGGCCGGGCGCCCTGGCTCACACCTGTAATCCCACCACTTTGGGAGGTGAGGCAGGAGGATGGCTTGAGCCCAGGAGTTCAAGGCCAACCTGGGCAACATAGTGAGACACCTCTCTACAAAAACAAACAACCTGTGTGGTGGTGCGTGCCTGTGGTCCCAGCTACTCAGGAGACTGAGGAAGGAGGCTTGCTTGAGCTCAGGAGTTCTGAGGCTGCAGGGAGCCGAGATCGCCACACTGCACTCCTCCAGAGCAAGACACTGCCTCAAAAGAATAATAAAAATAAAGGGCCGGGCACGGTGACTCACGCCTGTAATCCCAACACTTTGGGAGGCCGAGGCAGGTGTTACACGAGGTCAGGAGTGGCCTGGCCAAGATGGTGAAACCCCGTCTCTACTAAAAATACAAAAATTAGCCGGACTTGGTGGCGGGAGGCTGAGGCAGAGAATTGCTTGCACCCGGGAGGCAGAGGTTGCAGTGAGCCAAGATCGCACCACTGCACTTCCAGCCTGGGAGACAGAGCAAGACTCCGTCAAAAAAAAAAAAAAAAAAGACATTAAGGGCTTTCTGGGACCAACTCGCCCACCCTAATGTCCCTCGCTTTTCCTTTCATTCATGTGCTTCTTTTTTAATTAAAGGACTTTCTTTGCATCCTGGTGTCCAGCCAGTTTCCCGATTTAAATCTAGGTTCTGGAGAAGCTGACGCCGGGTGGGTTGCGGGGGGAGGTGCGGCGCAGCGCGGAGGCCGCGTGGACAGGGTCCCGGGCGCGGGCACCGGGCGTCTCTGGAGCGGGTCTGCAGGCGCCGCCCACGCTCGCGGGTCACCCTGACCTCGAAACCGCGCGACTCTGACTCGCGCTTTCCGCTGGCTCCGCTGGGGCGGTGCCCGGACAGCGAAGGGCCCGCGGGTCAGCGCGGACCACTCTCTCCTGCTGCCCGCCCGGCAGCCACATCGGCCACAGGAGCGGGGACTGCGCAGAGGCCCCCGGTACTCCGGCCCTTCCCCCACCCTCCCACCCCCAGCCAAAGACTGGGGCGGGGCATCCTAGTCCGCGTGACTCGGATGGGTGGCCTGAAGCTTCCACAGTTCCGCCAACGCGGGACCCGAGCGCAGATGAGAATCCACAGGCGTGGGGGGTGGGGCTGGACCCCTGACCTGCCCTCCAGGAGCCCTCAGTCCACAACCAGGCCGGCAAGCGCGAAGCGATTCCAAGAGACCTGCAAGAAAGGAGCCAGCTGCCAGAGCCCAGGCTTGGGGTCTGGACGCTGGGAAAGTCCACGAGGAATTTGATCCTGCCTTGAAGGATGGCCGTAGTGCACCTGTGCACCCGGGAGCAAGGCCCACGCAGGGAGCAGGACAGCGCAGGCCCAGGAGAGGACCCCGGAGGAAGCTCAAGGGGCTAGGTTAAGCCTAAAGGAAGGTTTGGTGGGAAATAAGGCTAACCAATAGCATAACACGATTAACCCACATCAGCCATTAAGAACTTAGCTGGTAGGGGGAGCGGGGAAGGGGTTCCAGATGTTGGTCAAAGGATACGAAATTTCGGCCGGGCGCGGTGGCTAACGCCTGTTATCCCAACACTTTGGGAGGCCAAGACGGGCGGATCACCTGAGATCGGGAGTTCGAGACCAGCCTGACCAACATGGAGAAACCCCGTCTCTACTAAAACTACAAAATTAGCCGGGCATGGTGGTGCATGCCTGTAATCCCAGCTACTCGGAAGGCTGAGGCAGGAGAATCGCTTGGACCGGGAGGCGGAGGTTGCCGTGAGCCGAGATCATGCCATTGCACTCCAGCCTGGGCAATAAGAGCGAAACTCCGTCTCAAAAAAAGAAAAGAAAAAAAAAAGATACAAAATTTCAGTTAAAGAGGAGGAATAAATTCAGGAAGTCTATTGTACAGTATGGCGACTATAGTTAATAACAACGTATTATAGACTTGAAAATTGCTGAGAGTACATTTTAAGTGTTCTTACACCAAAATGTAGGTGAGGTAATGGATATGTTAATTAGCTTGATTTAGACACCCACAATGTATACATACTGTATATCGCACATCATGTTGTATACCATACATATATACAATTTCATCAATTTAAATTAAAAAAAGATATTAGCTCATATTAGTATTTCAATCAGCCAGCCCAGGAATATTTGATAGAGGAGGGAGGCATGGTGCAGATCCCAAGAGACTGAGAGAAGGAGCAGAGGAGCTATCATGGGGGCGGTGGGGCCTCAGATTGCCCAGGGATAGCTGAGGTGTCAGGGGAGGCCAACACGTGCTGCAGCACCAAACAGCACCTAACCTCAAGGCTGAGCACAGCGAAGGTGCGTTTCCCCTCACATAAAGTGCACTTCAGACATGGGCAACTCTTGAAGGAGCAGTCGCCCTGGTGGCAGGTCTCCACCCGAGGCCTCCTCCATGGTCACTGTGGGTGGGAAGAATGAGAGGACCTGGAGAGTCAGATTGGCGGGTAAATGCCTCCCCCTGGAGGTGACATAGCCTTCATCCATGACATGACCTCGCTCCCTGTGAGGGATTCAGGAGTGTCATCTCCCAGGGGTCTGGAAGGAGAGGAGAGTCAGATGGGGTCGGCGCTGAAAGTCTCCATCAGCAAAGGGCCGGAGCCTGTGGACTGATTCTACCTACACCCTGCTTTCACAGGAGGCTGGCTTGCTGCCTGGGGCTGCACTCTGTCACCTGTCAGCTGCATAGAGGTGCTCCTGGACTTACTATGAGGTCACATCCCAATAAACCCATTGTAGGTTGAAGATTTCATAAGGTGAAATTGCATGTAATACACCTAACCTACTGAGCATCATATCCCAGCCTACCTTACACATGCTCAGAACACTCATTTAGCCTACAGCTGGGCAAATTGTCTGGCCGCACAGTCCCCTATAAGGTCGTTTACCATCGTGATCACGTGGCTGGTGTCCGGCATCGAGAGAGTATCTTACCGCTTCCTACTGAATACATATTGCTTTCTCACCATTATAAAATCAGGAAAATTATAAGTGGAACCATCATAAGTTGGAAACTGTCTGTAATTACATGGCCATCTGATTGGCTTGTTAGAAGTCTCAACAATGGGTGCTCGCAGAGTGCTATGGAGAAGAGGTCTCTTGTGAAGTACTTAAGATCAGCTGAAGCCGCACTCAGCCTCACTTAGGAACACATGCACTCGGGAGGCAGGCAGAGAATTCAGCATGGGTGTGGCCTGCAGAGGTCACTCCCATTCCCCATTGGTACATGGACCTCCTACCTGTACAAGAGTGAAGATGTGACTGGGCTGAGTGAAGAACTGGGCTGGTCCCAGTTCTGCCTCTCCAGCCAAGGGGCTGGGCACATGACCCAAGGGAGAGGAGTCAGAAAGACCATGGGGACTTTCTTGAGCTCTCCGCTCTGGAAGCTCTAGCTTCTCTGACCTTGGAGTTATTGATGATCAGCTTGCTGCTGGGAGAGCTGGTCTGAGGAAGAAGCCTAAAAAGGGGGGAAACAGAATAGAATTGTGGAGAGAGAGAAAGAGAGAGAGAATACAGATCCAACTTGAGCTTCTAGAACCAACTGTGCCTGAAGCTATGACCCATTACACAGCCGATACGTGTCCTCTCTCTGTTTAAGCTAGCTTGAGCCATATCCTCAGTTATAAATGAAAAATTCCAATTACTAATTGGTCTTTGGTGCAAAGCCCAACACAGAATTCTCCTAAGCTAGGCTGACCCACTAGTAGCACTCCTTTGGTGAGGTCCCCTTTTCCCCTAAGGCCAACCTGTTAGTAAAAAAAGCAAGTTACCCGGCCTCTGTGTGGGAGCAGGAAGACACAGGCCCTTCTGCTGGGGGTGTGTCTATCCTGGCCCTTCCCTCTCATGCCCAGTCTTCCCATTTCCCTTCAAGCTCATGTCCTGTGGGCCCAGGGGTGGGGATGTGACAGAAATGAGGTGCTCCTAGGACCACTAGAGAGCCCCATCTCCTCTGACGTGGGGTGGCACAGGGGTCACTGAGTGAGCCTCCTCTGCCCCTCATGGGAGAGCTCCTCGTGACTCACTGCAGGGTTGGGTGCAATGGGGGACAGGGTTTGGGAAACAGAGACCTTCTCAAGTGAGCTCAGGCAGAGGGGGATTTCCTAGCAGGCCACAGGAGACCACGGCCCACCCACATGAGTGCTCTCGGGTCCTTGGGAGCGTGTGCAGCTTCTCTCTCCTGCACCTGCAGGGCCTGTTTCCTCTGGCCCCTTCTCCTCACATCCATTCTCTGCATGTGGGTTCTGCAGCCTGGTGGCCTGCCCTGGCTCGCCCTGGCCAGCAGCCTCAGCCCCCAGCCCGTGCAGATGTCATGTCCAAAGACCCGACCACAGAGCCCAAGGTCTAGCAGGTACAGCTGCCAGATAAAATGCAGAACATCCATGCAACATTTGGGATGTGCTTATACTAAACTCTTACTCAAATTTTTATTTGAAATTCAAATATAACTGGGTATCCTGTATTTTTATTTGCTAAGACCTGACAACACTCATGGGAGGAAGCCCCCGAGTGGGAAGAAAGGTTAAGGTAGAAAGGGAGATCCCAGGATTGCTTTCTGGGGTGCACGCCTCCCTGCACCCCACCCCACAGATATTTAGACTTTGAGGCAGGCCTTGGGCTGGCAGTGCCCCATCATCAATGGGGGAGCTGTAAGTGGCTGCGAGGGGAACCAGAGCAAACCCCAACATAAGGCATGGCAGAGAAGAGGCACCCTGCTGCTCCTCCACATTCCCAGTCACCTGTGAGGGCCTCCAGTGACCAGCATTCCAAGATCCTCTCCCCAGCCAGCAGCCACTACTGGCAGTGACTATGTGGAAGCTCCCAGTGCCCTTGGTGGGTATGAAACTGCTGGGGTCCATCTCTAACCTGGCCCAGTCTTTGCAGGGAAGGATGATAAATGGCCACTTGTCGCGCCCGTGCCCACACTTCATGAAAGTGTCCAGGGGATGGTCAGTCCACCTCAGATCGCCCTGGCAGTCAGGGCTGGCATTCCACACGTCTGGGGGGCAGCCTGAACTTTGAACACCCCACCCTCAGGGGTTACCTAGCTGACCCTGCAGCAGGGATCTAAGCCTGTGAGGATGGCAGCGAGTCCCTGAAGCCTGGTGACCTGAGCTCCGGAGCTCCGAGAGGATGGCTGGCTAGATATTTAGTTCTCTCTCCTATCTGTGGTAATGACTAGCAAAAGGGGGCTGGTCGGGTTCTTTCCAGGAAGGTAACATTGTCACACAGCATAGAGTAAAGGGACCCCACAACCTGCTGGGCAGTGCAGTAGCCCCAGGCCACACCTCTGTGAATGGAGCTTCCTGGTCTGGGACCCCAACTGGGGCGAGCGAGGGGTGAAGTGAGCAGTGCACAGCACATGGCATTCCCACATCCTGCACCCTCCCACCCACCCTTGCCTCACTCATGCCGGGCCCTGGGGGTGGGATGAACTGAGAGCCAGAAGTCCCACGTGAATGCAAAGCACTTCCACCCTGCTCACCTCCTACCACACCAAGTGCTGTGGTAAACACGCTCTCCCAGAGATGGGCCGAGCCACGGGCTGGGCATGGATTCTCACCATCATCTGCATTTAGAGGATACCAGGACACAGAGGGGCTGAGGGGCCCGGCTGCCACATGCACTCACATCCTCGGAGGCGTCACCCTGAGTTCCTCCTACTGGGACCCCAGAAACAAGTCATCCCCTAAGAAACCCCAGAGTCCCAGAGTGGTGCCTAGCTGCCTGGCCCTGTTCAGCTCTCACAGGTCCTGCCTACGATGGTGGAGGTGCTCCCTCCTTCCCTCCCTCCCTCCCTCCCTCCCTTTTTCCCCCGCCCTCCTTTCCTTCCTTATGGGCCAAGTGCATGTGCCTGCTCCACTGGGTGGAGCAGAGTGATCAGGACCCAAATTAAGGGACTCCTGGGGCCCTGCAGACATGACTCCTCCCGGCTCAGTGTTTGCCAAACTTAGACTATGATCCACTAAGGTTTGGACATAAGCTCAGTGGGCGGCGATTCCTAGAAAATAGGAGTGTATCACACGTAGGGTGAGTGTTTCATGAAAATGGCATAAGTTATACACATACATGAATAAATGTACATACATCTGTACATGCATGAATACAGCAACTATGAATGTATACTTTAATTTTCTGTAGAGATGGGGGATGAGTGTAGGGTGAATGTGTCTCGCATAAGGGTGAGTGTTTTTGTGAAATTGGTGCCAGTTTTAGATATCTGTACACGCCTGTGCATACACATGCATGTGGGGGTGCCGTGGAGATTGCATCATCTCCTGTGGGTCACAGCCAAAGACGTCTGAGCAACTCTCTTTTATTCTGTTTACTTCAAGAGAAAGAAAAAGTAACAAGCCAAAAGCCCCTGGGCTTCTCAGGAAACAGGCTGAGGGACACTTTCAGCACAGGATCGGAAGGTCTGGGGGTGGAGACACATCCTTTGCCCGCCACAGACACTGGAGGGCGTGTCGACATTGCCTGCAGATGTCCAGGAAAGAGCTTGGACCCTAGGGGGCGGAAAACCGTGGGTCTGTGACCTTGACAAGCTCTCCAGCCTCCCGGATCACCTTCCTTGTCTTCCTTGTCTTCTTTGTCACCTGTAAAAGATCGAGAGCCTCTTGAGGCCGTTTTGAGATTAAACACACCACCTGCGAAGGGTCCTAAGCATGACCCTAGCGAGACCCTTCTCCTAGTCATTCTCACAACCAAAGGTTTTCAGCTTGAAGAGAAAGCCCGAGCTGTCCCCAGTGTCCCTTACTGTGACAAAGGCCCCTCGGAACAGCCCCGCCCCCACAGCCTACAACACATTGAAAGGACAAAACATAGACAAAACTTAAAAGAAGTAAAAACACACACGTTGCACCCGCCCCGTCCCTTAGCGTGCATAAGATATACACAGGAAGGAAGTGGCCAGGGTGATTCAAGGAGGCTGAGCTGCGACGGCTCAAGGAAAGGAATATTTCTGACAAGTCCGCCTTGACTGTGGTTTTGAACATGATTTCAGCCCTAGTTTTGGCCAGTCCCCCGGCCCCCGCCAGCACTTGTGTCTGCAGTCTAGACACAGCAGCAAAGGGGGACACCCATGCAGGAAGGCGCCCAGTGGGCTGCCCCATGGCCTTGGGGTTGGAACCAGGGCAGGATGAGCAAAAGCTGCTGCGCGCCGGCATTGACGGGGGGCTGTGGCTGGGGCAGGGAGGCGTGGGCTGCTGCCCAATCCACAGGGCTGAGGATGAAGGGGAGCTCCAAGAAGCCTGCTTCCCAGTATTTTCCCAGCTACTGACTCACAAACAAACCTGTTTTTGATTTCTGCTCTTAACCCGCTTCAGGCCCTAGCAGGTCCAGCCCCGTGGAACCAGGGAGCTCCAGACACGTCATTCTCAAACTCAAAAGTCCCTTCCACGCCCCTGAGATAGCAAAGACCCAGTTCCAAGCCTCTCCCACCTCCATCCACAGCCTCTCCTGCTTTCCAAGCCTTTCCACACCCCAACTCTGGCTCAACTGGGGGCAAGCACCTGATTCGAACCTCCCTTGGGGGGTACTGTTGGTTCCCGGCCCTTCTTCCCAGTCCTCTATAAAAGGCCTGCCCATCCCCAGAGCCAGCTCAATGCCACCTCCTCTGTGCACCTTCCTGGCTCTCCAACTGGCAAGTCTCTCTCCTGCTGCCACTGATCCTGCATTTTACTGTGTGGGCAGCTGTATGTCCAGCTGTGTGCAGCTGTGTGAACCTGAGCAAGTCACTTACCTCTCTGAGCCTCATTTCCCCATCCGTAGAATGGGGATATTGAGAGTTGTCTGCTGAGATGAAGTAACGGACGCGAAGCAACGAGCCTGGCACACAGTCTTGGCACCAGCATTGTACCACCAGTGGCAATGATGGCAGGCCTCTTACCCTCCACTAGGTGGGAATCTCTCTGGGGTAGGACTTGGCTGTTCTCTCTCCATCTTCTCTTAGTTCTAAAAAGATTTCCTACATCTGGCAGGTGCTCAAAAAAGAAATGTGAGGGGTGGTGTCTCCTGGTGGTCTGGGGCCAGAAGATTCTTCACATGGCGAGGGCAGATAAGACCCTGAGCTAGGCAAACCACACCTTTTGCAGGAGGGGCAAGAGCGGCTGTGGGGCAGCTGTGGCCTCGGCTGCCAGGGACTGGCGTGGGACTGATGTCCCTTGCATGGAGCCTGAGTGGCCAGTCAGTGTCAGCCCACACAGGGGCACCACTGCTTCCAGACCAAGGGCTCAGGGAGACCTCACAGGGCTGGGCTCTCAGGGCAGAGGTATCTTTGAGATGACATTCCCTGGGGCCCACAAAGGTGCCATAGTCTGAGCCCACAGGCTGGACGGGCATCCTAGCCCATAGCCTTCAGTAGAACGGGAGGTGGGAAACAGGTGAGTTCTTCAACAGTCCTGGCTCACTGCCCTGATCGCATGTACAGGGTGCAGAGCACACAGGGACTGGGGAAGGGGGGGACCCTGGTGGAAGAGAGTGGACTCCCTGAGAGAAGGGAACACAGCTGACAGCCCAGGGAGACCAAGGTGGCTAGGGTTTTTAGGACAGAGGACCTAAACAGAGAGAGCTGGCAAAACACAGCCCTGGACATCTGCAAAGGGACTCCTCGGTTATTCACCTCATGTGTGTGGAGAAACTGCCTGGGGCCAGGGAAAAGCCACCGCATGGAAGTAAAGAACAGCAGCTGGAGCTCCCAGGGGGCTCCCACCAGCCAGAACGCATAACTCCTGATTCACTGGCCATTGGGCACAGTACTCAGTGGGTAGCCTAAACTCAGCCCTGGACTAAGCACTGCTCCACGCCCACCTAACAAATCATAAAAGCAAGACCCAACAAGATCAAACAGTTTCTCAGTAGCTTCATTGTATCTCAGAAAAAAAGCTCAAGATTATTTATGTGTTTATTTTTCTGCTTTGTTTTGAGGCAGAGTCTCGCTCTGTCGCCCAGGCTGGAGTGCAGTGGGCGCTGGAATCAGGCATGTGCCACCATTCCAGCTAATTTTTGTATTTTTAGTAGAGATGGGGTTTCACCATGTTGGCCAGGCTGGTCTTGAACTCCTGGCCTCAAGTTATCCGCCTGCCTCGGCCTCCCAAAGTGTTGGGATTACAGGCATGAGCTACCGCACCCAGCCTAAGATTATTTATAATAATACAAAAATATCCAGCATCCAGCATGGTAAAATTCACAATATCCAGCTTCAAATGGAAATGACCAGGCCAGGTGCAGTGGCTCATGCCTGTAATGCCAGCACTTTGGGAAGTTAAGGCAAGAGGATCGCTTGAGTCCAGGAGTTCAAGACTAGCCTGGGCAACAAAGCAAGGCCCCATCTCTACAAAAAAAATTAAAAGTTAGCTGGGTGTGGTGGTGCATGCCTATAGTCCCAGCTACTCAGGAAGCTGAGGCAGGGGGATATCTTGAGCCCAGGAGACTGAGGCTCCAGTGAGCGGTGATCACACCACTGCACTCCAGCCTGGGCAACGGAGTAAGACCTTATTTTAAAAAAAAAAAAAAGGAAAGAAAGAGAGAACAAGAAAGAAAGCAAGAAAAGGGAGGAATCAAGAAAAGGGAGGGAGGGAGGGAGGGAAGGAGACAGAGAAAGAAAATGACCAGGTATAGGAGAAGGTGTGGCCCGGTTGGCTGGTATGGAACCTTCTACGGAGGGCAGAGGCCATGTCTAGATAGGAAAACAGGGAGCAGAGAGAGGCGGTCAGGAAGGAGCCCCCTTTCCAGTGCAAGAGCTCCAGGAAAAAAAATTCTCAACTTCACTTCCCCTTCCAGCAACCTTCCTTTTTCAGCAAAACGACCTGAAAGTTTTGTAAGTGCTCTGATTTCTCTCCTCCTTTCTCTCTAGTCTTCCTCCTTATTGTGAAATATAACATACATCCAGAAAAATGTTTAAAATGCAAATGTTCAACTTAGCAAGTTGTTGTAAAGCAAACACCTGTGTAGCCACCACTTGCATCCATCTGTATCCCACCTCCTCCATCCCCGTGCCCTTCCCCAGATCTCTGCCACCTGGCATTCCCAGTCAACACTTCCTTCCTTCCGTTGCTTTAGAGTTGACCACATAAGCAAGCGTCCCTAAATGATAAGGTCGCATCCGCAAGTCTTCGCAGGGTATAGAAATTGAATCGTGCAGTGTTTGCATGGTTTGAGATCTGGCTTCTTTCTCTCAAGATTATGCTTTTAAGATTTGGCCAGGCTGGGCGCGGTGGCTCACGCCTGTAATCCCAGCACTTTGGGAGGCCGAGGCGGGAGGATCACAAGGTCAGGAGATAGCGACCATCCTGGCTAACACGGTGAAAACCCATCTCTACTAAAAATACAAAAAATTAGCCGGACATGATGACGGGTGCCTGTAGTCCCAGCTACTCAGGAAGCTGATGCAGGAGAATCGCTTGAACCTGGGAGGCGGAGGTTGCAGTGAGCCGAGAGCACGCCACTGCACTCCATCCTGGGCGACAGAGGGAGACTCTGTCTAAAAAAAAAAATTTAACCATGTTGCTGTAGGCATTTGCAATTCATTTTTGCTGCAGCATAAAATCCATTATATGAATATACATTTTTTAGTCCATCCTACTGTTGGTGGACATTTCTGTTGTTTCCATTTGAGAGCTGTCTTAGTCAGTGTGGGCTGAGATAATAAAAAATAATAATACCACACACTGGATGGCTTAAACAACAAGCACTTATTTTTCACAGTTCTGGAGGCTGTAAGTCTGAGATCAAGGTGCCAGGATAGTTGGGTTCTCGGTGAGGGCTCGCTTCCAGGTTGTAGACTGCCATCTTCTCATTGTGTCCACACATGGTGGAGTGAGAGAAAGAGGCAGCAAGCTCTTTTGTGTCTCTTTTTTTAAGGTCACTAACTCCACCTGAGAGGTCCACCCGTATGACCTAATCATCTGCTGCATGCCCCATCTCCAAATACCATCACCTTGGGGGTTAGAATTTCAACGTATGAATTGGGGTGGTGCATATATACTCAGTCCGTAGCAGGGGCTATGATGAATTGGAGGCTCATGAGTGTACTTGTCTTCAGCTTTAGTGGATACTGTTACATCCTCCTCCAAAGAATGGAGATTCTACCACCAGCAGTGTTCTGAGTGCCTATGACTTCAAGGTCTCACCAATACTTGGCACTGTCAGACTTTCAGAATATGGAATGATCTCATTGTGATTTGAATTTACATGATTAAGGAACATTTACATGTTTATTGGCCATTTAGATATCTTCTCTTTCAACTTGTTGAAACATTTTGTCCATTGCTAACCTTTGAATGTGTCCCCTAGAAAGTATATGTTGGAAATTTAATCCCCAAAGCAACAGTGTTGAGAGGTGGGGCCTTAAGGAGAGGTGGTTAGGCCACGAGGGCAGAGTGAATGAATTTGTGCCATTATCATGGAAGTGGGTTTGTTTTCAAGGGTATTTTACTCTCTACCTCACCCTCTCTTTGCCCTTCCACCATGTGATGCCTTCCAACATGTCGTGATGCAGCAAGAAGACCCTTGCCAGATGCCGGCCCTTTAATCTTGACTTACCAGCCTCCAGAACTGTAGGAAAATTAATTTCTGTTCTTTATAAATTACCCAATCCTTGGTGTACTGTGATAGCAGCATGACACAGACTAAGACACCCATTTTTTCCCCTTTTACTCATTGTTCTCTCTCTTATTGATTTTTAGGTGTACTTTATATATCTAGATATGACCTCTTTGCTGGGTGTATGTACTGCAAATATCTTCTTTCACTTTGTGACTTAGCTTTTCACTCTCTTAATAGTGTCCTTTGATGAAGAAAAGTTTCTTAATTCTAATGAATCAAAATTATCAAATGTCTCCTTTATCATTAGTGCTGTTTGGACCTTGTTTAACAATCTTCCCCTTCCAACCAAGGCAACAGAGCATGATCTTTAATTTAAAATAAAAGAATCAGGCCAGGCACGGTGGCTCATATCTGTAATCCCAGCACTTTGGGAGGCCAAGGCGGGCGGTCACAAGGTCAGGAGATCGAGACCATCCTGGCTAACATGATGAAACCCTGTCACTACTAAAAATAACAAAAAATTAACCAGGCATAGTGGCGGGTGCCTGCAGTCCCAGCTACTCGGGAGGCTGAGGCCGGAGAATGGTGTGAACCTGGGAGGCGGAGCTTGCAGTGAGCCGAGATTGCGCCACTGCACTCCAGCCTGGATGACAGAGTGAGTCTCCATCTCAAAATAAATAAATAAATAAATAAATAAATAAATAAATAAATAAATAAATAAATAAAAGAATCTTTCTCTGTGCTAAGATCATAAAGTTAGTCTCCTGTATTTTCTTCTACAGATACATTGTTTTGCTTTTCATCTTTATTTAATTCTGGTAAAATATACATAACATTTACCATTTTAACTATTTTTAAGTGTACAAGTCAGTGGCTTTAAGTTCACTCATATTATTGTGCAGCCTTTACCACTATCCATCTCCACAACACTTTCAGTTTCCCAAAGACAAATTCTGTACCTATTAAATAATAACTCACTATTCCCCCCTCTTCCAGCCCCTGGCATCTGCTATTCTGCTTTCCATCTCTATGAATCTCACCATTCTTGGTATCATATGTAAGCGGAATCGGGCATTATTTGCCCTTTTGTATCTGGCTTATTTCATTAGCATAGTGTCTTCAACGTTCATCTGTGTAGTACCAAGTGTCAGAATTCCCTTCCTTTTTAGGGACTTCTCATGGTTTTAAGTCTATCATTTTTTTCCACCTGAAAACGCTGCACTGAAAACGCTGTCCTTTCCCTGCTGCTCTGCACTGTCACTTTTTGTCATCAATTAAATGAACATACAGAATGCAGCACTGTACAGCGCCCCATCCTTAGAAGACTCCTGTACTTGACTTAATGCGTTAGGGGTGCTGTCCCAAAATTCTTAATAGTTTGTGAGCAAGGAGCCTTGCATTTTCATTTTGTATGAGTCCTGCAAATTATGTAGATCATCTTGCCAACTACACATTGTCTGAATAATGATAGTTTCATAGTAAATTAGTT
Source organism: Homo sapiens (assembly GCF_000001405.40). Taxonomy (NCBI): domain Eukaryota; kingdom Metazoa; phylum Chordata; class Mammalia; order Primates; family Hominidae; genus Homo; species Homo sapiens. Next base: position 31,428,932 of record NC_000015.10, on the reverse strand, counting down.
TTATGGTAAATTTGAACTCTGGTAGAGCAAATCTTGCTACTTTCTTCCACTATATCTTCAAGAATGTCCTGGTTATATTTGGTCTGTGGCATTTCTTTTTCTTTTTCTTTTTTTTTTTTTTTTTTTTTTTGAGATAGAGTCTCACTCTTTCGCCCAGGCCAGACTGCAGTGGCGCGATCTCGGCTCACTGCAAGCCTCCTGGGTTCATGCCATTCTCCTGCCTCAGCCTCCCGAGTAGCTGGGACTACAGGCGCCCGCCACCACGCCTGGCTAATTTTTCTGTATTTTTTAGTAGAGACGGGGTTTCACCGTGTTAGCCAGGATGGTCTTGATCTCCTGACCTTGTGATCTGCCCGCCTCGGACTCCCAAAGTGCTGGGATGACAGGCGTGAGCCACCGCCCGCGGCCGGTCCTTGGCATTTCTATATAAAATTTAGAATAAGCTTCTGAAGTTCTACCAAAAAACCTGTTGAAATTTTGACTGAGGTTACATTAAATCTAAAGATGAATTTATGATAAATTGACCTTTAGGATACTGAGCCTTGCAATCCATAAACATGGTTAATTCCTCCTAATATTGAAGTTTCTTAACATTACAAAATATTTTGTACTTTTATCCCTACACATGTTGTGCGAGAGACATGATTTTTCTTAATTGTGGTAAGAAAAATCTTGCAAACTGCAGCTCTATACCCACTGAACAACAATGATCCTTTTCCTCTCTCTTCCCAGGTCCTGGCAACCACCATTCTACTTTCTAAGAGTTTAACTACTTTAGATACCCCTATATAAGTAGAATCATGCAAGACTTGCCTTTTTGTGACTAGCTTATTTTGCTTAGCATAATGTCTTCAAGGTTCATGGATGTTGTAGTATAAGACAACATGTCTTTTTTTAAAAGAATGGATAATATTCCATTTGATATGGTTTGGGTCTGTGTCCCCACCCAAATTTCACGTTGAATTCTAATTCCCAGTATTGGAGGCAGTGCCTGGTAGGAGGTGATTGGATCATGGGGACAGATTTCTTCCTTGGTGTTGGTCTCATGATAGTGAGTGAGTACTTGGAAGATCTGGTTGTTTAAAAGTGTAGCACTTCCCCTCTCTCTCTTGCTCCTGCCTGGGCCCTGTAAGACATACCTGCTCCCAATTTGCCTTCCACCATGATTGTAAGTTTCCTTGAGGCCCCCTTGGAAGCAGAAGCCACCATGTTTCCTGCACAGCCTGCAGAACTGTGAGGCAATTAAACTTTTCTTCTTTATAAATTACCCAATCTTGGGTATTTCTTTATAACAGTGTGAGAAATGACTCATACACCATTGTATGTGTATACCACACTTGCTTATCCATTCATCTGTCCATAGACATTTAAGTTGTTTCCACATCTTGGCTATTGTGAATTTTGCTGCAATAAGCATGGGTGTGCAAACATCACTTTGAAAGCCTGTTTTCAATTTTGAATCTATACTCAGAAGTCAGGTTGCTGGATCATATGATACTTCTATTTTTAATTTCTCGAGGAATCGCCGTACTGGTTCCAATTTTTCTACATTCTTGCCAACACTTGTTATTTTCTGTTTTTTGTTTTGTTTTTTGTTTTTTGTTTTTTTACAGTGGTCCTCCTAAGGGGTGTGAAGCAGTATTTCACTGTGGTTTTCATTTGCATTTTTCTGATGACTAGTGATGCTGTGCATCTTTTCATATACTTAGAGAGGTAAAACCAGTGAGAGATGGATGGATAATAGATAGATGGGGGATTTATTAGGGGAACTCGCTTACATGATTATGGAGAGTGAGAAGTCCCACAATAGGCTGTCTGCAAGCTGGAGACTCCTGAAAGCCAATAGGGTTGCTCAGTCCAAGTCCAAAAGCCTCAGAATTTAGGAAGCTGATGATGTAAATCTCAGTTCGAGGCTGAAGGCCTGAGAATCCAGGGGACCACTAGCATAAGTCCTGGACTCCAAAGGCTGGAGAGACTGGAGTTCTGATGTCCAAGAGCAAGAGAAGAAGGGTGCCCCAGCTCTAGGAGAGAAAAAGAGATACTTGCCTCTTTACTGCCTTTTTTGTTCTTTCCAGACCCCAGCTGCCTGGGGTGCCTGCCCACAGTGAGGGTGGATCTTCCCTATATGGTCCACTGACTTGCACACCAATCTCCTCTGGAAACACCCTCACAAACACACCTACAAATATTGCTTTATTAGTTCTCTAGACAATCCTTACTCTAGTCAAGGTGACACATAAAATTAACCATCACATATATTTTATTTGGAGAAATGTCTGCTCAAGTCATTTGTCCATTTTTTAATCAGGTTATGCGTTTTTATTGTTGTTGAGCTGTAAATGTTCTTTATATATTCTAGATATTAAGTCCTTAACAATCAAATGGTTTGCAAATATTTCTTCCATTCTGTAGGTTGCGTTTTACTTTCTTGATTGTTTTATTTGATGCACAGGGTTTAAGTTTGATATAGTCCCATTTGTCTATTTTTGCTTTTATTACCTGTGTTTTTTGTATCATATCCAGGAAAGTATTGCCAAGTCCAATGTCAGGAGGCTTTCCCTCTGTGTTTTCTTCTAGGAGTTTTAAAGTTTCAGGTCTTATATTCAGGTCTATTATCTTTTTTAAGTTAATTTTTATAAATGATATAAGAATCAAATTTCATTATTTTACACTTTTCCTTTGGAACTAGGTAACAGGCAGTGGTTGGAACAGTTTGAAGGGCTCAGAAAAAGATAGAAAAATGTGGGAGAGTGTGGAACTTCCCACAGACTTGTTGAATGGCTTTGCCCAAAGTGCTGATAATGATATGCACAATAAAGTCCAGGCTGAGGTGGTTTCAGATGGAGATGAGGAACTTGGGAACTGGAGTAAAGGTGACTCTTGTTATGTTTTAGCAAAGAGACTGGAGGCATTTTGCTCCTGCCCCTAGAGATTTGTGGAACTTTGAACTTGAGAAAAATAATTTAGGGTATCTTGTGGAAGAAATTTCTAAGCAGGAAAGCATTCAAGAGGTGACTTGGGTGCTGTTAAAGGCATTTAGATTTTTTTTCTTTTTGAGACGGAGTTTCACTCTTGTTGGCCAGGCTGGAGTGCAGTGGCGCGATCTCAGCTCACTGCAACCTCCGCCTCCTGGATTCAAGCAATTCTCCTGCCTCAGCCTCCCAAGTAGCTGGGATTACAGGCATGTGCTAACACGCCCGACTAATTTTTGTGTTTTTAGTAGAGACGGGGTTTTACCATGTTGGCCAGGCTGCTCTCAAACTTCTGACCTCAGGTGATCTGCCCGCCTCAGCCTCCCAAACTCCTAGGATTACAGGTGTGAGCCACTGCACCCAGCCACTGAAATCTTTATATTCATCAATAAGGCCCACAGATCTTCCACACTGGCATTGGTACTATTCCAGAAAGCAGGCTTTGGTTATGGTCTTGCCTTCCTCAAACATCATTTGACCACATATGTGAAAATTTATTTCTGGGATCTCTCTTATATTCTATTGGTCTATAGGTCTTTATGCCAGTATCATACTATTCTGATCACTGTCAGAGTAGTATTTTGAATTGGGAAGTGTGAGATTTTCAGTTTTGTTTTCTTTTACAGAATTATTTGGGCTATTCCTTAGGATTCTTTAGGATTCCATATACATTTTAGAAAATTTTTTCTATTTCTTCAAAGATGTCATTGGATTTTGATAAGTATTGCAGTGGATCTGCAAATTTCTTTGGGTAGTATGAACATTTAACAGCATTGAGTCTTCTAATCTATAAATGTGAAATATCTTTACATGCATTTATATCTTCTTTAATTTCTTTCAGCAATGTTTTGTAGTTTTCAGTATATAAGTCTTTCACCTCCTTGATTAAGCTTATTCCTGAGTATATTATTTTTTTCAATGCTCTTGTAAATGGGATGTTTTCCTAATTTTCTTTTTAAATTGTTCATTGTTAGATATAGAAATAAAACTAATTTCATGTGTTGATTTTTGTACCCTGCAACTTTGCTAAATTTGTTCTTTAGTTCTAAGAGCTTTGTGTGTGTGTGTGTGTGTGTGTGTGTGTGAAATCTCTAGAATTTTCTACATATAATATTATAAACAGAAGTATTTTTACTTCTTCTATTCAGATTTAGATGCCTTTAGTTTCTTTCTTCTTGTCTAATTCCTCTAGCTGAACTTCCATTACTATGTTGAATAGAAGTGGCAAGAATGGGCATCTTTGCCTTGTCCCTAACCTTAGAGATAAAGCTTTCAGTTTTTCACCACTGAGTTTGATGTTGGCTGTGGGCTTTTTGTATACACTTTAATATGGTCAGATAATATCTTTCTATTGATAGTTTGTCAGGTGTTTTTATCATGAAAGGGTGTAGAATTTTTTTCTAAGGCTTTTTCTGCATCAATTGAAATGATCATGTGGTTTTTGTCCTTCATTCTTTTTTCTTTTTTTACTTACATATATATAGAACAGTTGGAACATAGTGTCCTCCATTCTTTTAATGTGATATTACATTGTTGATTTTCATATGTTAAACCATCCTTGTATTCCAGGAATAAATCCCACTTGGTCATGGTGTATAAACCTTTTAATGTGTCATCGAATTTGGTTTGCTAGTATTTTGTTGAGGATTTTTGCATCAATATTAATCAGGGAAGTTTGTAGTTTTCTTTACCTGTAGTATCTTTGTCTAATTTTGGAATCAGAGTAATGTTGGTCTCATCAAATTCCTTTTTCTTCAATTTTTTAAAAAGTTTGCAAATAATTTATATTAATTCTTTTTTAAGTGTTTGGTAGAATTCTCCAGTGAAGCCACCTGGTCCTGGGCTTTTCTAGGTGGGAAAGTTTTTGGTTAGTGATTTAATCTCTCTACTAGCTTTAAATCTGTTCAGATTTTTTATTTCTTCACGATTCAATATTGGTAGGTTGTATGTTTCTAGAGATTTCTCTATTTCTTCTAGGCTATCAAATTTGTTGGCATTTGTCTCAAAACACTTCCCAATTTCTCTCGTGATTTCTTCATTGATCTATTAGTTGTTCAAGAGTGTATTGTTTAATTTCCCCATATTTGTGATCTACCCGTTTTCCTTTTGCTATTGATTTCTAGTTTTATTCCAACAAAATCAGAAAAGACAGTTGGTATGATTTCAATTTTCTTAAATTTAAGATTTGTTTTGTGGCCTAACATGTGATCTATCCTGAAGAATGTTCCATGTGAGTTTGAGAGAACATTTATTCTGTAGTTCTTAGAGTATTCTGTATATGTCTGTAGGTCCAACTGGTCTATAATGTTGTTCAAGTTCCTTTTTTTTGAGATGGAATCTCACTCTTGTCACCCAGGCTGGAGTGCAATGGCACAATCTTGGCTCACTGCAACCTCCGCTTCCTGGGTTCAAGCCATTCTCCTGCCTCAGCCTCCTGAGTAGCTGGGATTACAGGCACCCACCACCACACCCGGCTAATTTTTGTATTTTTAGTAGAGACGGGGTTTCACCATATTGGCCAGCCTGGTCTCGAACTCCTGACCTCACGTGATCCACCCACCTCAGCCTCCCAAAGCGCTGGGATTACAGACGTGAGCCACAGCACCCGGCCCAAGTTATCTGTTTCTTTATTAATCTTCTGTCTGGTTATTCTATGCATTATTGAAAGCAAGGTATTAAAATCTCCTTCTATTACTGTGTTACTGCCTATTTGTCCCTTCAATTCTTTCAACATTTGCTTCATATATTTGAGTGAGCTACTGATATATATATATACGTATATATGTATATATATACATATATATACGTATATATACGTATACGTATACGTATATATACGTATATATACGTATACGTATACGTATATATACGTATATATATGTAATTGTTATATGACTGGAAAATTGATTCTTGCTTTTTTTTATTTGAGAAGGAGTCTCACTCTCACCCAGGCTGGAGTGCAGTGGCGTGATCTCAGCTCACTGCAACCTCTGTCTCCCAGGTTCAAGTGATTCTCCTGCCTCAGCCCCCTGAGTAGCTGGGACTACAGGTGTCCACCACCAAGCCCAGCTAATTTTTTTTGTATTTTTGTAGAGACAGGGTTTTGCCATGTTGGCCAGGCTGGTCTCAAACTCCTGTCCACAGGTGATCAGCCCACCTCAGCCTCCCAAAATGCTGAGATTATAGGCCTGAGCCACTGCGCCCAGCTGAAAATTGATTCTTTTATTGTTATATGTTCATTTTTGTCTCTTGTGACAGTTTTTGTCTTAGAGTCTATTTTGTCTGATATAAATTGGCCAGCACTGCTCTCTTTTGGTTGCAATTTGCATGTAATACCTTTTTCCATTCTTTCACTTGCAGCCTGATATGGTTTGGCTCTGTGTCCCCATCCAGATCTCACCTTGAATTGTAATAATCCCCACATGTCAAGGGCAGGGTAGGTGGAGGTAATTTGATCATGGGGATGGTTTCCCCCATATTCTCATGGTAATGAGTGAGTCTTAGGAGATCTGATGGTTTTATAAGCATCTACCGTTTCCCCTGCTTGCATTCACTCTGTCCTGCTACCCTGAAAAGAAGGTGCCTGCTTCTCCTTTGCCTTTCACCGTGATTGTAAGTTTCCCGAGGTCTCTCCAGCTATGAAGAACTATGAGTCAATTAAACCTCTTTCCTTTATAAATTACCCAGTCTTGGGTATTTCTTCATAACACTGTGAGAATGGACTAATACACAGCCTATATGTATCTTTGTATCTAAGGTGAGTGGGTCTTGAGGTTCTGAAAAATCTATTGAACCACTCTATTTCTTTTTTCTTTTTTTTTTTTTTTTGTTTGTTTGTTTGTTTTTGAGATGGAGTCTTGCTCTGTCACCCAGATTGGAGTGCAGTGGCATGGTCTCAGCTCACTGCAACCTCCGCCTCCCAGGTTCAAGCTATTCTCCTGCCTCAGCCTCCTGAGTAGCTGGGATTACAGGTGCACGCCACCATGCCCTGCTAATTTTTTATATTTTTGGTAGAGATGGGGTTTCATCATGTTGGCCAGGCTGGTCTCGAACTCCTGACCTCAGGTGATCTGCCCGTCCTGGCCTCCCAAAATGCTGGCAATACATGTGTGAGCCACCGCGCTCGGCCAGCCCTCTATTTCTTTTTATTTACACATATAAAAATTACTGACAGGAAAGGACATACTTTGCCATTTTGTTGATTGTTTTTTGTATACTTTGCAGTTATTTTGTCCCTTTTCCTTTCTTGCTGCCTTTCATTAGGTTTTGTTAATTTTTTTTTAGTGACAAGTTTGATTCCTTTCTCATTTTCTTCTGTATATCTTCTACAGATATTTCCTTTGTGATTACCATGGGGATTAAGTATAATACCTTATCATTATAGCCATTTATTTTAAGCTGACAAAAACTTAATATCAATTACATAAAAAATTTTACATCTCCCCTACTTTATGTTATTTATTTCACAAATTGCATATTTTTATATTTTATGTTCATTAACAAAGTTTGATAATTATAGTTCTATTTATACTTTTTCAAATTTTATACCAGGATTAAATGTGATTTATGTACCACCATTAGAATATTATACAATTCTGTACTTTTCCATATACCTCCCTTTACTGAGTGCTTTATATTTTTTACGCCGTTGTGTTGCTGTCAAGTGTCCTTTTGTTTCAACTTGAAGAACTCCCTTTAGCATTTTTTTGTAAGGTAGATTTAGTGTGGATAAACACCTTCAGCTTTTATTTTTCTGGGAAGGTCTTTATTTCACCTTCATTTTTTTTTAATAACCAAAATGTATTTATTTAATATACATCACAATGGCTCAACCGAGGCTTAATTTAAAAGACAAAAACAAAACAAAAATAATACCACAGCTGAAGATACAGAGTCCTATACAGAAATCACAGACAGGACAGACCATCAAAGGAAAACTTAAAAAGGCAACACAAAGATAGGCAGGGAAGCCAGGCATGGTGGCTCATGCCTGTAATCCCAACACTTTGGGAGGCCAAGGCGGGCAGATCACCTGAGGTCAGGAGTTTGTGACCAGCCTGACCAACATGGTGAAACCTTGTCTCTACTAAAAATATCAAAATTAGCCGGGCATGGTGGCAGGTGCTTGTAATCCCAGCTACTCGGGAGGCTGAGGCACGAGAATCGTTTGAACCTGGGAGGTGGAGGTTGCAGTGAGCTGAGATCTCACCACTGCACTCCAGCCTGGGCAACAGAGCAAGACTCCATCTCAAAAAAAAAAAAAAAGAAAGAAAAAAAAAGGACAGTCTGGGCAGCCTGGGTCAGGGGTCCTGGCTGGTAACCTGCTTTGAATAGGTTTCTTGAAGGTAAAAGCTGTAGGGTTTTTCCAGAACTCAACAGCATGCATGTTCAAAGGGCTATCAATGTTGGGTTCTCCTAGCAGGCTCTGGATGGAGACCAGAATGGTCCTGATGCCATACAGTACAGACGACTTGTCTTTCCAGATATCCAGGCATATGTTACCCTGGGTGTCTATGTTGGGGTGGTAGCAGGATGTGAGGAACTTCACTGTGGGCTCATTGTAAGGGTAGCCACTGGGGAACTCTAGCAAGAGCTTATACCTCAGGTCTTCATACACTGTGCCAGCTGCTCCATGGATGGTCCCTACCCATTTGAAAAGGTTGTCTGATTCAAGGAAAGCAGAAATCCCTTTGTCACCAGATATCATGAGGGTCATCAGCTCCTGCTGTAGTCTTTTGCCCACAGGATTCTGGGCAGCACCCCCACTCAGCTCGGCTCTTTTATGGGTGGCGACGACACTAGTGGCTGCTGGGTTATGGTCTTGGGAGACCACTTGGCTGCCTTCTCCTTCATTTTTGAAGAACAGTTTTGTTGGTTATAATATTCTTGGTTGACAAAAGGTTTTTTTCTTCCAGCACTTTGAATATAACATCTCACTCCTTTCCAGCCTATAATGTTTCTGCTGAGAAATCAGCTGATAATCTTACAGTAGCTCCCTTGTACATACAAGTGGCTTTTCTCTTGCTATTTTCAAGACTCTCTCTTTATCCTTGACTTCTGATACATCAAACTGTCCTTGATAGTTTGATTACAATATGTCTCAGTGTGGGCATCTTTGGGTTCTTCTTTGTCAGCATCCTTCGAGCTTCTAGAATTTGGATGTCCATTTTCTTCCTTAGATTTGGAAGTTTGGGCCATTATTTCTTCAAATAAGCTCTCTGCCCTTTGCTCTCTTTCTTCTTTTTAACTCCTATAACATGTATATTGATAGGCTTGATGATTTTTCATAAGTCCCTTATGCTTTCTTCACTTTTACTAATCCTTTATTCTTTTTGTTCCTGTGACTTGATCATTTCAAATTATCTGTCTTCAACTTCACTGATTCTTTGTTCTGCTTGATCAAGTTGTCTATTGAACCCTTCTAGCGAATTTTATAATTCAGTTATTGCAATCTTCGGCTCTGGAATTTCTATTTGTTTTTTCTTCCTTAGTTTTTGTCTCTTTGATCATATTGTCACTTTGTTAATGCATTGTTTTCTGGATTTGTTTTTAGTTGTCTATCTGTGTACTCTTGTATCACATTGAAGTTCTTTAAGACAATTATTTTGAATTCTTTTTCAGGTCATTAATTGATCTCTTTGTTTAAGGTCAGTTCCTGGATATTTATTTTGTTCCTTTGGGCCATTTTTCCCTATTTCTTCACATGCCTTATTATTTTTTACTGGGATTTGTGCTTTTGAAAAACAGGCAACTCTTCAGTCTTTGTGGCCTGGCTTTATACAAGGAATGATCTTCACTAGTCACCCAGCTAGGGATTCTGGGGGCCTCTCAAGCCTTTTCTGGGGGGATGCACCATGAAATACACCAGCTCCTCATTTGCCTTCCACCATGATTGTATGCATCTTGAGGCCCTCACCAGAAGCAGATGCCAGCACCAAGCTTCCTGTACAGCTGCAGAACTGTGAGCCAATTAGATCTCCTTTCTTATTTATGTTTGTATATATGTATGTATTTTTAGAGACAGGGTCTCTCTATGTTGCCCAGGCTGGTCTCAGACTCCTGAGCACAAGGGATCTTCTAGCCTTGGTCTCCCAAAGTGCTAGGATCACAGATGTGAGCCACCACACCAAACCTAAATATTTTTTCATTATAAATTACTCATTCTTGAGTATTTCTTTATAGCAACACAAAAATGGACTGATACATAAATCCTGCTAGGAAAGCCATGGTAGCTTTGTATAAAAATTTTTGTAGAAAAAATTTTCTTACTGATTAAATTTATTTAGTACTATTTCTACTGTGTTTGTTTCTGTAATTAGCATTTTTTCAGTTAACTATCTTTCACAGTTTTGTGGTGTTGAGTTGTTCAGTATGTCCTCTACTTTTCATATTATTATTTGTGGGATTGATAGTGATAGTCCTCTTTCATTCTTGATAGTGTTATTTGTGCACTCTTTGTTTTTGTCCTTGAACACTGTTACTAAAGTATATCATCTCATTAATTTTTGCAAAGAAGCAACTTTTGGTTTGGTCAATTCCTTTTATTTATGTTTGTTTTCTATGTCATTAATTTCTGTTCTTGTCATCCCTGTGTCTTTCACTCTACTTTCTTTAGATTTAATATACTTTTTCTCTGATTTCTTCAAATGGATATTTTGTTTTCCTAATTTCTTCAAATAGATAATCGCTCTTTCAGCCTTTATTCTCTCTTTTTATGTTTGAAGGCTAAAAAAAATCCTCTAAAGTACAACTTTAGCTGCTTCCAACAAGATTTGATATACAGTATATGGAGAGCTTTTATGTAATTAAGTGTAAATTTTTAATTACAGTTCTTCTTTAAACCTTGAGTTACTTAGAAGTAAAGCTCTGTCATAGGCTCTATTTTGTCTTTTTATATATAGAGGTGGGTTTTGGTTAGTGTTTGCACAGTAAATCTTTTTTAGTTCTCTTATTCACAAGCTCCCTGTATCCTTGTGTGTTGAATGTGCACTTTGTCATTTAAAAAAAAGGTAAAGTTTGTTAGGTTTTTAATACACTTTAACAAACTTTTTACTTTAATTGGATCATTTAATATTGTCTTAGTCCATTTTGTGCTGCTGTAACAGAATACCAGAAAGCCGGGCGCAGTGGCTCATGCCTGTAATCCCAGCATTTTGGGAGGCTGAGGCAGGCAGATCACCTAAGGTCAGGAGTTCCAGACCAGCCGGACCATATAATATGATGAAACCCTGTCTCTACTAAAAATACAAAAATTAGCAAAGCATGGTGGTATGCGCCTGTAATCCCAGCTACTCGGGAGGCTGAGACAGGAGAATCCCTTGAACCTGGGAGATGGAGGTTGCAGTGAGCCGAGATCGCACCATTGCACTCCAGCCTGGGCAACAAAACCAAAACTCTGTTTTAAAAAAAAGGAAAAAAAAGACAGAATACCAGAGACTAGATAATTTATTTTATTTTATTTTATTTGAGACAGAGTCTCACTCTGTCACCCAGGCTCAAGTGCAGTGGCATGATCTCAGCTCACTGCAACCTCTGCCTCCCGGGTTCAAGCAATTCTCATGCCTCAGCCTTCTGAGTAGCTGGGATTACAGGCGCACACCATGATGCCTGGCTAATTTTTGTATTTTTAGTAGAGATGGGGTTTCACCATGTTGGCCAGGCTGTTCTTGAACTCCTGACCTCAAGTGATCCTCCCATCTCGGCCTCCCAAAGTGCTGGGGATTACAGCCATGAGCCACTGTGCCCGGCCTAGATAATTTATTTTAAAAAGAAATTTATTTCTCATAGTTCTGGAGGCTTGGAAGTCCAAGATCAAGGGGTCAGCATCTTGTGATTGCCTTTTTGCTGCTTCATAATGTGGTAGAAGGCATCACATGGATGAGAGAGGGAGAAGGGGGCAAACCAAACTCATCCTTTTGTAAGGAACCCACTTTCATGATAACTAATCACGATAATTACTCATAACATTGCCATTAATTCATGTATTAGGGCAGAGCACTCCATAACCTAATCACCTCTTAAAGGCTCCACCTCTCAATGCTTTACATTGGGGAGTAAGTTTCCAACACATGAACTTTGAGGGACACATTCGAACTCTAGGAAACATATTAACAGTTCATGACAAAGCAAACATGCAACACACAAGTTAATGAAATTTCTAATATATCTCAATTTAAAGCTACCATCTCAATGATGCTATTTGTCTCATTTGTTCTATGTTAATTTTTCTCTCTTTTCTTGATTCCTTTGAGAGTATTTTGGTCCATTTTTCCTTTCACTATTAAGTATGATATTTGATATGGGTGTTTTATAAATGCCTTTATCTAATTAAAGAAGTTTCCTTGTTTTTAGTTTGGTAAGTGTTTTTCTCAAGAAAAGGTGTTGGAGTTTTTCAAATGATTTTTGAGATGTTCATGTAATTTTTGGTTTTTAATCTATTGTGTGATGTATTACATTAATTATTTTTAAAATGTTAAGTCAACCTTACATCTCTGCTGTAAATATCACTTGGTCATGGTGTATAATTCTTTTTATATATTGCTGAATTTGGTTTGCTATTATTTTGTTTAGAATTTTTTATATCTGTATTCATAACAGATATTGCTCTGTAGTTTTCTTGTAATGTCTTCTGTGGTATTTGTATAAGGATAATAATGGCTTCATAATGAGTTGGAGAGTGTTCCCACCCCTTTTTTAATGTGAGATATTAGCATTAATTCTCCTTTAAATGCTTGGTAGAATTCAGTGATGAAGTATTCTGGGCCTAAGATTTTCTTAGTGGGTAGTTTTTTATTACTTTGCTTCTTATAGGTATATTCGGATTGTTTATTTCTTGTGTAATCAGTTTTGGTAGTTTGTATCTTTCTAGAAATTTGTCAGTTTTATCTAATTTGTTGTTACGTAACTTGTTGGCATACAATTGTTCATAGCATTTCTTTAAAATCCCTTTTACTTCTGTAAAGTCGGTAGTAATGTCTCCTCTTTTATTCCTGATTCTAGTAATTTGAGCCCTCTTTTTTTTTCTTGTTCAACCTAGAAGCTGAAAATTTCAACCTAAAAATTAAATATTTATCAATTTTGTAGATGTTTATAAAGAACCAGCTTTTGGTTTTATCAATTTTTTCTATTATTTTTATTGTCCATCTATTGTTTTTTATTCTCTATTTCATTGATTTCTATTCTAATCTTTATTATTTTCTTCCTTTGGCTTGCTTTGGGTTTAGTTTCCAGTCTCTTAAGGTGAAAGGTTAGAGTATTGATTTAAGATCTTTTTTCTTTTTTAACATAGGTATTTACAGCTATAAATTTCCCTCTAAGCACTGCTTTACTCGCATTCCTTTACTTTGGGGATGTCGTATCTTCGTTTTCACTCACATCAATCTATTTTCTGACTTCCCTTTTTATTTTTTCTTTGTCCTATTGGTTATTCAGGAGTGTTTTGTAAAATTTCCACATATCTCTGAGTTTACCAAATTATTTTCCTGCTATAAATTTCTAATTTCATTCCATTGTGGTCAGAGAACATATTTTGTATTATTTCAATTCTGTTAAATTTATTGAGGTATGCTTTATGGTTTAGCATATGGTCTGGAGAATGTTTTATGTACACTTGAGAAGAGTATGCATTTTGTCATAATTCAGTGGAATGTTCTGTCTTAGTTCATTTGTGTTGCTATAAAGGAATACCTTAGGCTGGATGATTTATAAAGAAAGGAGTTTTATTTAGCTCATGGTTCTGCAGGCTTTACAAGAAACATGGTACCAACATCTACTTCTGGTGAGAGCTATAGGCTGCTTTCACTCATGGACTCACGGCAGAAGGCAAAGGGGAGCGGACGTGTACAGAGATCACATGGCAAGAGAATGGAAGCAACAGAGAGGGGAGGAAGGGAAGTGCCAGATTATTTTAAACAACTAGCTCCCATGGGAACTCATAGAATAAGAACTCAGTCATTAATATGAGGATAGCACCAAGACATTCATGAAGGATATACCTCCATGACCCAAATGCCTCCAATTTAGTCCCTACTTCCAACATTGTGGATCAAATTTCAACATGAGATTTGGAGGGGCCAAATATCCAAACCATAGCATGTTCTATAGTTGTCTGTTAGGTGTAGTTGGTTTATAGTGTCATTCAAGTCTTCTTCTACTTCTTTATTGATCTTCTGTCTAATCATTCTATCATTGAGAGAGGATATTGAAATGTCTATTTATTTCTTCATTTCTGTCAGTTTTTTCCATGTATTGGTGCTCTGTTATTAGCTGAATATATATTTATAATTGGTATATTTTCCTGATGGGTTAATCCTTTTACTGTTATAAAGTATTCCCACTGATGTCCAGCAACATATTTTGTTTTAAAGTATATTTTGTCTATTACTGTAGGCTCTCCAGCTTTCCTATGGTTGCTGTTTTCATGACATATCTTTTTCCATCTTTTTACTGTCAATCTATTTGTATCTTTGAATTAAAAGTGTCTTTCTTGCAGACAACATATAGTAAGTAGAAGCATGTTTTTTGTAATTCAGTATGACAATTTTTGCCTTTTGAGAAATGTTTAATTCGCTCTCGCATTTGATATTATTGATATAATTAGATTTATGTCTATTTTATTTTTGTCTTACATATGTCCTGTGTTTTTTCTGTTCTTCCATTGCTGCTTTACTGCTTTTTCTGCATTAAGTAAATATTTTCTAATGTAGCATTTTAATTTCATTAGGATTTTTCCCACTATATTTTTATGTCATTTTTTAGTGGTTGCTCTAGGGCCTACCATATATATTTAACTGATCATAATCACCTTGAGACTTAAACTAGTTTAATTCCAGTGATCTATTAAGAACACTATTCCTATACAGCCCTGTTCCATGTCCCCCATTTCTGTGGTATTATTTTTATATGCATTACATCTATTAATTTTACAAACTCAATGATACATTGTTATAATCATTTTCTTAGCCCATTACATGTTTACTCCCACTTACCACCTTTGTGACGTTATTGGCAAATATATTTCACATATATGTTATAGGCTCAACAATGCATGATATACATATTATTCTGTATAATTGCTTTTAAAATAAGTATGAGACAAAAGAGAAAATATGCATTTATAGTGTCTTTTTAAAAGACAGTAACTTTCACTGATACTCTTTGTTTCTGTGGAACAAATTCTGTGGATTCAAATTACCATTTAAGGTAACTTGTTTTCAACCTGAAGAATTTTTTTTAGTATTTCTTGAAGGCAGGCCTAATAGCAAGAAATTCTCTGGGTTTTTGTTTTGTTTTGTTTTTTAACCTAAGCATTTCTTTATTTTGCCTTCATTTTTCAAATATAGCTGTGATGTATATAGGATTCTTCCTTGATGATTTTTTTCTTTGAACACTTCAAATATGTTATTTCACTGCCTTCTGACCTGTGTTTTGTTATGAAAAGTCAGCTGCTAATGTATTTGGGGTTCTCTTTTAAGGGATATGTCATTTTTCTCTTGCTGCCTTTAAGATTTTTGCTTGTCTTTGGTTTTCACCATGATGTTTTTGTTCGTAAATCTTTTCTAATTTATCCTGTTTGGAGTTGATTGACCTTTCTGAATGAGTAGGTTGTTGTTTTCAATAAATTTGAGAAGTTTTCTGCCATTATTTCTTTGAATACTTTTTTCTCCTTTCTCTCCTCTCCTTCTGGTACATGGTTATATATATGTTGTTATGTTTAATGGTGTCCCGCATATCTCTGAGGCTGGTTTTTTTGTTTTTTGTTTTTTTTTTTTTTTGTCTATTCATTTTCTCTCTGTTCTTCAACTTGAATAATGAGCTGACTGTGGTATTGTTAGCACTCTCTTTCTGTCTCTGGCCACATCCAGATGTGAAACCACTAATTGCTCAATGATTGTTCTTTTGTTTTCAAGAGTGCCCTGGGGCATTGATGCCTCTGCAAAGACATCCGATCAAATTGTGATTCCTTTGAAGGAACCGTTTCTGAGGTCTAAGCTTCATATTTTTCCCCAGGAACTCAGAAGTGCTCCTCCCAACTGTCTTGTTCCTCAGTTCTGTCCTGAAAACTATCCAGCCTGGTTTAGGCTTTCTCTTCATAAATTCATGAATCTCCTTTCAGATGCCTTTCACTACAACTTGCACTGTTCTCTAGAGGCCCTTGGGTTTAAACTTCTCCACATTCTGTTGCACAAGAAGTCAATTCCAATGAGAAGAGATTGGAAGCTATCTGTTTTATGGCCTTCGTCTCCAATCGGGCAAAATTTTTAAGAAATCACGAGCTGGAGGTGTGGAACATGATAAGTTTTTCTTTCAGTGACACCTAAACATGTAGAAGTTCCTCCTCCTCTTTGCTTTTTAAAGTGGTGATTTTAAAATTTTTAATTGCAGTTGTGCATGACTAGTAGCAAATCAATTAATTTTTGTTTATTAAACTTGTATCCTTGTATCCTAGCTAAACTCTTTTATTAATTCTAGAAGTGTTTTTTTTTCATAGTGGTTTTTTTTTGGACTTTTCCGCATGTACAATCATGTCATCTGTTACTAGAGGCAAATTATTCCTTTACAAACTACGATATTTTATGTCTTGTCTTGCCATGTTACACTGGTGTTTTAGCCCATTCAGGCTGCAGTAACAAATTACCATAGACCAGATAACTTACAAACAACACAAAATTATTGCTCACAGTTCTGGTAATTAGAAAGTCTAAGATCAAGGTGCTAGCACATTTGGTGTCTGGCAAAAGCTCCTTTTTTTCAAAGATGGCAGCTTCTAGCTGTGTTCTCACATGGTGAAAGAAGCAAACAAGCTCCCTTGAGCCTTTTTTATAAGGGCGCTAATCCCACTGAGGAGAGGAGAAAGCTTCATGACCTAATCCCCTCCCAAAGGCCCACCTCTTAACATAATTACATTGGGGAATTCAGTTTCAATATATAACTTCCTGGGAGACACTAACATTTAGACCATAGCAGCTAGCTATGATTTCCAGCACAATGTTGAATAGGAGTAGTAAAAGAGGACATCCTTGACTTGTGTCTGATCCTTGGGTAGACATATTGAGTCTTTCACAACCAAATATGATGCTAGCTTTGGTTTTTTGTACCTACCTGTTTTCATATAAAGAAATGTCCTATTTATTTCAAATAGATTGACAGATTGGATTGAGAGTTTATTTTTTCATCATAAATAGATTGTGAATACTGTAAAGTACTCTTTATACTTCTATAATCATATGGTTTTCTTTTTTAAAAAATTTTTGTTTGGGCCAGGCACAGTGGTTCATGCTTGTAATCGTAGCACTTTGGGAGGCCAAGGTGAGTGGATCACAAGATCAGGACATGGAGACCATCCTGGCTAACACGGTGAAACCCCGTCTCTACTAAAAATACAAAAAAAAAAAAAAAATTAGCCAGGTGTGGTGGCAGGCGCCTGTAGTCCCAGCTACTCAGGAGGCTGAGGCAGGAGAATGGTGTGAACCTGAGAGGCAGAGCTTGCAGTGAGCCAAGATCGCGCCACTGCATTCCAGCCTGGGCGACAGAGCGAGACTCCATCTCAAAAAAAAAAAAAGAAAAAAAAAATGTGTTGGTATGGTAAGTTACATTGATTGAATTTCGAATGTTGATTGAGCCTTGCATTCATGGGATACACACACTAGATTGTAATATATTGTTGACTTTATAGCAGCATCAACTGAAACAGAAAAAAAAGATTTATATATTGCTGGATTCAATATGTTAATTTATATTGATGATTGTTGCATCTATAATTGTGAAGGATAACAGCTTGTAGTTTTCTTCATCTCATTGGAATACTGGACTGATAAGATGAGTTCTATTTTCTGGAAGAGATTGTGTAAAATTGGTATTATTTCTGCCTTAAATGTTTTTAGAACTAACCTGCAAACACTTCTGGGCATGGCATTCTCTATATAGAAAGCTTTTAACCATAAAATCAATTTCTAATTTCTTTATAGATAGAAGACTGGTTTTTTTCTTCAGTGAGTTTTGATCATATCTTTTAAGGAATTGATCCATTTTACTCTGCTTATTTGAAGCATTTTCACATTATCTTTTCAGTGTCTATAGGGGTCTGTAATGATGTCCACTTTTTTATTCCTGATACTGGTCAGTATGGCCGGAGATCTACAGCCTAATTGTGTATTTGTTCATTTTTCCCTTCAGTTCGATTCACTTTTAGTTTATGTATTTCGAACTCTGTTGTTAGGCATATACATGTTTAGGATTGTTGTGGCTTTTTGGAAAACTGACTCATTATTACATTATGTCCTCCTTTATCTCTGATGATATTTCTCATTCTGAATTTTACTTTGATGTTATAGGGGTGTGTGTGTGTGTGTGTGTGTGTGTGTGTGTGTGTGTGTGTGTTGGTTGGTGTTTACTGTCTGCATGGTATATCTTTTTCCATCTTTTTAGTTTAACTCATTTATATCTTTATATTTAAAGCAAGTTTCTTGTTGACAACATACAATTTGGATTGCCTTTTTATTCTGCCACTTGGTCTCTGTTTTTTAATTGATGCGTTTAGTCCCTCTCAATTTAAATTGATTATTGATAGATTTTGATTAAAATCTTTCATCTTGCTACCTGTTTTCTTTTTGGTCCCTCTGTACTTTTTTATCTTTCCTTTTTTTAATGCAGTCTTTTGGGTTGCTGAAGACTTTTTATTGTTCAATTTGATCCCCATTATTGCCTTATTATTTATAACTCTTCTTTATACTTTTGGTGGTTTTCCTGGGTTTTATAATATACATATTTTTATTAATCAGAGTCTACCTCCCAATATTATTCCATTTCACATGTAGTATAAGGAGCTTATTGTTATATTCTCAATTATTTCCTCCATCCTTTCTGCTATTGTCACACATTTTACTTTTCCATATGCTATAAACACATGATACACTGATCTTATAGTTTGCTTGAGACCGTTGTCTTTTAGAGCAATTAAAATTAAGAAAATTTTTAAATAGACTTTATTTTATGTACATTTGCTTCATTTCCAGAATGCTTTATGTTTTTCTGTAAATTCAAGATTCTGTTGGTATCGTATTTTTTTCTGCCAGAAGAAATTCCTTTAACATTTCTTATATTGCAGGGCTGCTAGTAGAAAATTTTCTCAGTTTTTATTTATCTGAGAAAGTATGTCTTCTTCATTTTTTAAAGATATTTTGCTGAATATAGAATGCTGGGATGACAGTTTTGTCTTTCTGTAGTTTAAACATGTCACTTTATTGTAATCTGGCTTGCATGGCTTCTGAGGTGAAGTGCACTGCAATTCTCATCTTTGTTTCTCTGTATGTAACGTGTCCTTTTTCTCTGGCTGTCTTCAGGGTCTTTTCTTTGTTTTTTGTTTTTGGAAACTTGAATATGACATACGTAAGTGTGGTTTCTCTCTTCCTTCTTTCCTTCTTCCTCCCTTTTCTTCCTCCTTTCTCTCTCTTTCTTTCCTGCTTGGTGTTATCTAAGCTTCTTGAATCTATGGCTTGGTGTCTGTCATTATTTTTGGAAAAATTCCCAGCCAACATTTCTCAAATATTTCTTCCCCTTATTCTCTTTCTCTTCTCCTCTTGGGATTTGTATAATGCATATATTGCATCATTTGGTATTGTCCCACAGCTCTTAGATGAACTGGTTTGTTTTGTTTGTTTGTTTTTTGGGGTTTTTTTGAGTTAGAGTCCTGCTCTGTTGCCCAGGCTGGAGTGCAATGGCACAATTTTGACTCACTGTGAACTCCGCCTCCTGGGTTCAAGAAATTCTCCCACCTCAGCCTCCCGAGTAGCTGAGATTACAGGCATGCACCATCACCCCTGGCAAATTTTTGTATTTTTAGTAGAGACAGGTTTTCGCCACATTGGCCAGGCTGGTCTGGAACTCCTGACCTCAGGTGATCCACACACCTCAGGCTCCCAAAGTGCTGGGATTACAAGCATGAGCCACCATGCCTGCCTGGTTTGTTTTTTTAAAACTGTTTGTTGTTCTTTGTTTTTCTATTGACTTATGTTCAACTTCATGTTGATTCTTATCTTCACTGTGTCTAGTCTACTGATGAGCCAGTCAAAGGCATTCTTCATCTCTCTCACTGTGTTTTTCATTTCTAGTATCACCAGTTGATTCTTTCATACAGTTTCCACCTCTCTGCTGAATTATCCACCTGATCTTGTATGTTACCGGCTTTTCCTTTAGAGCCTTTAACACACTAATCATTACAATTTTAAGTTCCCTGTCCGATAGTTCCAACATCTCTTGCTTTCTCATATGGCTCAGAGTTTTTGTTTAAAAACAAACATTTAACAGTAGTGACAGAGGTAAATAATTTTCATACTTGGAAATGAGCACAACTTTCCTTCTAGGTCTTTAATGTGGGGGTTCTATTAATCTAGTCAGGAGTTGAGTTTGATTTGAGATTTAACATTGCAATGGTTATTCTCATTATATAACAGACTTCAAATTCTAGTGTTACCTTGTGTTTAGAATGGGGGCTATTTTGCGAGAATTTTAACTTCCCTTTCTCATAAGGATGACACTGTTGGCACTCCTCCATCCCCACATTTTAAGTTTTTTCCCATGGATGGTGAGGGACAAGGGAGGGATAGGGGAGAAGTGACCTATACCACCAGGAACAGGAAGCTTTCTCAAGAGTCTCCTCGGTCTTCTCTGTGACTACCTGGTGAGAAACAATTCATCTTTTAACTTCATATGTGAAATTTATATATTATATGCAACATATGAAATCTATTAATTGCTCTATTAATTTTATAACCTGCTGTCTTGCAGAATTCTTTTATTTTTTGTGGTGGTTTTACCAACTATTTTACAATTTTGCTCTCTAGGGTTTTCCAGATGTACCATTTTGTCATCTGCAAACAGAGATAGTTCTTCTTTTTCAGGTTTTATGCCTCCAGTTCTTTCCTCTTACATGATTGCATTGGTTAATATATTAAGTAATAATAGAGCTAAGAAAATGTTTGCCTTGTTCCTAACCTTAGTAGGAATGTCTCTAGTGTTTCCTCATTAAATAAATCAGTGATTTTAGTATGAGGTATATACATGGTTTATCATGATAAGGATATATCCATTCATTTTTTCAAGACTGTAAGTACAAATGGGTGCAAAATGTTTCCAAAGGCTTTACTGGTCTCTGTAGAAAGAGTCAAATAATTTTTTCTCCTTCAACTTATTAATGTGGTTCATTTTATAGTATATTTCTTATTATTGAATCATCTTTGAGTTCCTGGTATGGATTTGCTTTTCACTGCAATATTGATTTAGTTCTGTAGTTTGGGGAAGTCTTTATTTTTCTTTTTCTTGATTTTTACTTTCTCGTGACCAGAGTATTTCTCAAGTGTATGTATTTCCCCAGAATGAGTTCATGGGTGGTTAACTTTTAAAATCTTTTCTTATACATAAAACATTATTTTTGCTTTCATGATTAATAGTTCAGCTTACTGTATCATTTTTGAGACAAGACAGTTTTCCCTCCAGCCTTGAAGGAAGCCTTCTATTTCTCCTTAGCACATCCTGCTGCTGAGCTTGTTTCTCTGCCCATGACCTGTGCCACCCCCTCCCCTTATCTTTCTCGTAGTTCATGGCAAAATGCCCAGGTATTGATCCTTTCTCTTCTTTTTACTTCTTTTTTATAGAGAAGAGGTCTCCCTGTGTTGCCCAGGCTGGTCTTGAACTCCTTGGTTCAAGCGATCCTCCTATCTCAGCCTCTCAAAATAATGGGATTACAGGTGTGAGCTACCACACCCAGCTATCTTTTCTCAATCATCCTATCAAATAACTTGAGAAAGTTTTAATTTAAAAACTGTTCCTCCTTGTTTAGCTCTGGGAAATTATTCCCCCAACATTTCTTTATTTCCCCATGTAGTAGACAAAATAATGGTGCACCAAAGATGTCACATCCTAATCCCTGGAACCTACGAATATGTTATCTCACATGGAAAAAGGGACTTTGCAGATGTCATTTAAAATCTTGAAATGGGGAGATTTTTCTGTATTATCCCAGGGAGCCCAATGTAATCACAAGAGTCCTCATAAGAGGGAGGCGAGAGGGCCAAAGTCAGAGAAGATGATGTGACAGCAGAAGCAGAGGAGATGGTGGTGCAATGAGGGAGGCAGGAGTCAGAGTCAGAGGGAGAGATCTAAAGAGGATACACTGACGGCCTTGAAAATATATAGGTCTACAAACCAAAGAATGCAGGCAGCCTCTAGAAGCTGGGAAAGACAAGGAAACAGATTGTCCCTTAGAGCCTCCAGAAGGAATGCAGTCCTGCTGACACCTTGATTTTAGGACTTCTGACCATTATAGCTGTAAGAGAATAAATTTATATTGTTGCAAGCCATTAAGTGTGTGGTTATTGGTTACCAACTGGTTATTGGTTATTGGTTACACTGCACTTCCCTCCATTCTTTCTTTTTTTCTGTTCATTCCTTCTGAACTCCTAGCAGACACATTTTACGTCTCACTCTGTCACCTAGGCTGAAGCACAGTGGTGTAATCTTGCCAGGGTTGGTTATAAACAACAGAAAGGCAGTTTCTGCCTCCCGGGTTCAAGCGATTCTCCTGCCTCAGCCTCCCAAGTAGCTGGGATTACAGGTGCCTGCTGCCTCACCTGGTTAATTTTTGTATTTTTAGTAGAGATGGGGTTTCGCCATGTTGGCCCGGCTGGTCTCAAACTCCTGACCTCAGGTGATCCGCCTGCCTTGGCCTCCCAAAGTGCTATTATAGGTGTAAGCCACTGTGCCGGGCCTATCAGACACATTTTGACACCCTGGATTGATGCTATGCATCTCTCACCTGCCCTGTCAGACTCTTCAGCTTTTTGTCTTCTTGCCCTACAGTCTGGGAAGTTTAACTTTACTTTCCTATCCTCCTCCTGATTTGTTTTTAATTTTTATCATCACATTTTTAATGTCTCTAAACTTTTTTGATTCCCTGATTTGTCCTTTCTCTAGTTTCCTGTTCTTGTTTTGTGGATGCAACATCTCCTCAAACATCTCTTGAGATGTTAATTATGACTCTTATTCTATTCATTGCCTTTAGTATCTATTTCTTCCAGGGACAACTGTTACTTTTGTTCCTCTTCGTCCTTCTGTCTTGTGACTGTTTTCCTTGTTTGCCTATCATGTACACAGATGAAAGATAAGACTTATGCATACAGATAGCTGCCAAGGGTCCCCTTTGTGGTTCCGGGGTCTGTTTACTCAGCAGGCCTCTCCCCTTCCTGGGAAGGCTGGCTTGACTTCTGCTTAGTCGGGTGAGTCACACCTGGCAGCCCTCACCAGAGGGTACCCAGCTTCCTCATCTTTACAAAAAGACCAAACTACCGAAGGCTTTACTCCAGCATATACTAACCCTCCTCCTAAGTTCACTTCTATTTCCTAGCAAGATGTTTTCATCAGTTCAGGTTGTTACAATAGAATCACACAGCCAGGGTTGGTTATAAACAGCAGAAATTCATTTCTCACAGTTCCAGAAACTGGAAAGTCTAAAATTAAGGCGCCAGCATATTTGGTGACTGGTGAAGGCCTCTTCCTGGTTCGTAGACCGCAGTCTTCTTGCTGTGGCCTCACCTGGCAGAAGAGGAGAGGGGGTTCTCCAAGCTCTTTTCTTTTTTTTTCCTTCTGTTTTTTTGAGACGGAGTCTCGTTTTGTTGGCCAGACTGGAGTGCAGTGGTGCGATCTCGGCTCACTGCAATCGCTGCCTCCCGGCTTCATGCAATTCTCCTGCCTCAGCCTCCAGAGTAGCTGGAATTACAGGCGCACACCACTACGCAGGCTCTTGTTTTCTAAGGCACTAACCTCATTCATGAGAGCTCTGCTCGCATGACCTAGTCACCTCCCAAAGTTTCCTCCTCCTAATACCATCACAGTGGGGTGAAACTCAACATATGAGTTTCAGGGGCACATGGTTCCATCTACAGCATAAGCATATCATTGGTTTTATCCTACTACAAAACAGTACTCGTAGCCTCTTTGAGGCAGGGTGGAGCCTGGGATTAGAGCAAAGAGCTCCCCCCACTGTTCTCTCCATCCATACCCCTGAGTGAAGACCCTAGGCTCCACTCTTCCCAAACTGTGGACCCTAACCTTGCAGCCTTTCCGTGTCGGGAGTTGGTTCTTTCCAGTGGGTTCGTGGTCTCGCTGACCGCAAGAATGAAGTCCTGGACCTTCACAGTGAGTGTTACAGCTCTTAAAGGTGGCACGGACCCAAAGAGTGAGCAGCAGCAAGATTTATTGCCAAGAGCAAAATAACAAATACACCACAACAGGGATGGGGACCCAGTGGGTTGCCTGCTGCTGACTGGAGGGTGGCCAGCTTTTATTCCCTTATTTGTCCCCACCCATGTCCTGCTGATTGGTCCATTTTACAGAGTGCTGATTGGTCTGATTGGTCCATTTTACAGAGCACTAATTGGTCCATTTTACAGTGTTCTGATTGGTCCACTTTACAAAGCACTGATTGGTCCATTTTAGAAACCTCTAGCTAGCCACAGAGAGCTGATTGGTGCGTTTTACAATCCTATCTACAGAGTGCTGATTTGTGCATTTTACAATCCCTTTGTAAGACAGAAAAGTTCTCCAAGTCCCCGCCCCACCCAGAAGTCCAGCTGACTTCACCACTCATTTCCAGCTGGTAGAGGTAGCCTTCTACCCAACCTCCTCCCTTCTACCCTTCTCCCTGCCACATACATTCACTCCTGCACACTTACGGGGCTCCAGTGCCCTCTGCTTTGGTTTATAAACCAACACCATCATGCCTGTTTTTTATTTTCTGGAAGTCCATGATAGCCGCGGGCCCACTGGTAACTTGCCTGTGCCCCACTCTCCTTCTCACCTCTGCTTGGCTTATGCTACTTGGCCATGTCCAGGGAGTTCGGAGAGGAGAGGGAAGCAAACGGGGTGTTCAGTCTGCTCTGTGGGCACCTATGCCGACCTGCTTAGTTACCACTGTACTTGTGGTAACATGCCAGTGTGTAGGAGGGGTCCTCTCCCTGACAAGGACAGAGCCATCCCACAGACGAACTGCCTTAGTGCAGCTGGCGCTCCAGTCCGGGATCACTTACAACCACTGGCTAACCTTTTTCATGAGAAACATAATTGGCTGTAAACTCTCTGAGGGTGGTGAATCAGTTAGGACTATCTCTGACTATGGGTTGAAAAAATCCTAACATAATAGTGGCTTAAGCAAGAGAGCAGTTTACTCAATGTGGGAGGCAGGAAGTCTAGATCTGTTACAGGGGCTACACTGTGATGGGGACTCGGGCTCCATCTATCCAGTGCTCATTATCCTTGTGTGGCTTTAAATACCCTTGTGTGACTTCCATTCCCACGATGACCCATGGTCCAATGTGACTGCTGCAGCTCCTGCCATCATGTCCACACTTCAGCCAGCAGGAAGAGAAAGAAGGAGAATTGGCTCATCCACTCATTTACAAGTTACTTCCTGGGATAGAAGTAGTTCATGACACTACTGCACACCCCATCAGACAGAATTGGTCCAGGTAGCCACACGCTGAGCTAAAAATCAAGGGTTTCATTATTAAAGATGGGAACATGTATGGTGGGGCCTCTAAAGCATCCCCAGCCGACAGCATATCTCGTTTGTGATTTTACTCCCCCATCTAGAGACAAGAATTCTGGAGTCATGATTCATCGATTATTTGCCAGTCACCCAGTTTCACTGTAGCCTTTGACTTGGAGTATATTGCCCAGAGTTATCCGGACCAGAGCAAAAGATCTTGCCCCAAAACTGCTTCACAGCAGAAAAGACACTAAAAGAATGAGGGGAATCAGCAGACGTATCTATACTCAAACATTTTGGGGATCAAGATAGACTGACAGTTGGAACTGGCAATCGAGCCGTAGAGAGAGAGCAAATGGGAAGCAGCTTGTGTTCCCCAGGCCTGGACTAGCATGCCCTTCCTGGCATCCATTTTTCCTGCTGGGCCCCAAGGGACCTGGCCCTGTGCGTCAGTTCTGTGGCTGCAAGGGATAGCGAGGCTGCTTACGAAAGAAGAAAACAGTTCACGAGTCCCATTGCCCATCCCTCCAAGGCAAACACTTAAAAGTTGTTTTTTTTTTCCCCACATTTTAGTATTTCATATTCCGATAAGACCCATATACTGCTGTTGGCTGAGCCAGAACAGCCTACACATCCCAGGGGAAAGAGGACCTTCTCTGACAGAAACAAGTCTAGACTAATGAGCCGCAGAACTGAGTGTCTGGTGATAAGCTGAGAACACTGAGCCTGCCTCCCCAGGCTCCACCTGGGGCTCTGTGCAGCAGCTGCTGCTGGAGACAGCTCCTCCGCTCCTGGCGGTGGGATGGCGGGGCAGCCCTGGGTCCCAGTGCCGCTGACAGCCAGGTCGGACCTGAGCACGAGACCCTGCACCAGAGCGGGGACATTCAGGCTCTGTGGACTTCCTGAGTGTCTTCTCCACATTGAGCCATCACATGTTTCCTGAATGGAACTGTTTCTCTGGGCCTTTGTCACTGGGACCACTTGGGAACCCTCTGACTGAGTCTCAGCCCAGCCTCATCTCCACGGCATCTGAGGTGCCCCAAGCACACTGCTTTCATCTCCCACCCCTAGAGGTGCCCCTGTGGGGCAGGGTCCCCAGCCAAGAGCTCCTTCCAACCTCCCCTCCTCATCTAAACCTCATCTTCCTTTCAGAGGCTGGCGGGGGCACATCTTCTCCCAGAGGGCTCTCCATCCATGTAGGCAAGGGAGCAGCAGAGCCTGGAGCTGAACCCGCATCTGTGGCTCCCATGCCCGGCCCCCACAGCCCTTCTTTGGGCCCCCTGACAGCCTCGATCAGAGGTTGTGTCCTGGACATGCAGTGTCTCCCCTACTGGAGTGGACATTGGTGCTGCTCACCCAGACCCCACTTCTCCTCGGGCACGCTCTGCATTCTGCGAAGTGGATGGCAGCAGGATCTGCCTCCAAACGTGCTCTTCTGACATGGAGATTCTGGCAATTCTGCTGAGAGTTGGGGTTTCCTTTCTTCCTCTTGACTCTAGGCAGGCTTGCGTGCCACTCCAGGTAAGTGATGCTATGTGGCTTCTGAGGCTGGGTCACAAATGGTGAGACAGTGTCTGCTGGTTCTCTTGGGACTGCCCTTGGAGACTCAGCCCTCATGCTGAAGTGGGCCATGCAGCCAGAGGACAGCTAGAGACCTTGGAGCTGCACTGCTGCGTTCAGGTCCCTGCACCAGTGTGGCCTTGGGCAAGTACCGCATCTCTGAACCTCAGTTTCCCCATTTGTAAAATGGGCACAATATAGTCTTTCCCGCTGAGTGTTATTAAGAGGATCAAATTCCCACATGAAGGGACCAGCCCAGCCCCACACACCAGGTGGCCCCCACTCAATGCTGGTTCCTGCTCCACAGCACAGGCTCTCACCCCAAGCACAGGCCCTGTGCCCAGAGGGCGGGATGCAAGCCTTAGGCACACCCTTGACCCCTGCTCCCCTCAAAGCAGGCAGCCCACTACCCACTTCACCCCTACCCGTGCCTTGCCCTGACTCAAGCCAGCTGGGATGTTACACCCCACCCGGGGGACAAAAAGCAGGCCCAAGGGACCCTGGGCAGGTGGGCAAGGACTTCGTGAAAAGAGCGTAACTTTGCAGTCTAGAAGATTTTGTCTCGGCCGGGTGCAGTGGCTCACACCTGTAGGCCCAGCACTTTGGGAGGCTGAGGTGGGTGGATCACCTGAGGTCAGGAGTTCGAGACCAGCCTGGGCAACATGGTGAAACCCGGTCTCTACTAAAAATATAAAGTTAGCTGGGCGTGGTGGCGCATGCCTGTAATCCCAGCTACTTGGTAGGCTGAGGCAGAATAGCTTGCTCCCGGGAGGCAGAGGTTGCAGTGAGCCAAGATTGTGCCATTGCACTCCAGCCTGGGCAACAAAGCAAAACCCCATCTCAAAAAAAAAAAAATTGTTTATTTATCTATCGACGGGACACATTGCAGCACCTGCCTCAGAAGGTCACCTGGTGACATCAAAAAGATGATAGCGATGCGACGCTTCCAGGTGCTCAAACCCAAATCTCGGGGTCAGCTTATCTTGCCCCTCTCTCCCACATGTCACAGCCATCGCATCCAGCCAGCCAGACCCTCACAGGCAGTCAACCAGCACAACTGACTCTGGTCCGAGGCATTGTCCCTTCTCTCTTGGATCTGCCCTCTGCCTGGTCTCTCGGCTTCCACCCCCTCCCTCGACCCTCCTCCACCCTCCTCCACCTTCCACACAGCAGAGTGATCTGAGTAAAATCCAAAACCCAAGTTGGGGCCTGCCACCCCTCTGCTAGAAGCCCCAAGGCTCCCCATTTCCCTGCAGGGCACCTCACCCCCAGCTCTGACCTCCCTGTTCTGCTCCAGCCCCCTGCCTTGCCGCTGTCCCAGCTCTGGGACCAGCCACCTTCAGCTCTGGACCTGGGATTTGAGTTCTCCCTGCCTGTGGCACACTTCGTAAGGCTGGCTGACTCACTTTTTAAGGCCTTTATTTAAATGTCATCCACTCATGGAGACCTCTCTGAGCAACCTAATTAAACTGCACGCCACCCCCTCCATGTGGGGTCCCCTTCTGTCCTTCACTGTTTTCTATTTAGTGGTTGCCATCTGACACAATGCTGAGGATGGTTTCTTGCCTCTCCCCAGTTAAAATACAAGCATGAACATGAAGGCAGGGCTTTCCTGTCATCAGTTTCACCGCTCTCGCTCCGTGGATTCCCTGCAGAAAATGGATTTGGGAATACCTTTTCCCCATTGAGGAAGGCCAGGTGGAGGGAGAGCAGAGTGGGGGTGGAACAGGAGTAGGACTCGTCTCCTGGCAGGCTGTCAAGAACCCCATGGGGAGGCTCCAGTCTGGCTTGGCCTGAGACTATGTGCTGTGGCCTCTGTGGGTCCAAGCAGTGCTGACGGCAGCCTGAGGGTTTGAGTCACCCTCCCTAGTGGGAAGCCCCTGGGTGAAGAGCAGAAGTCAAGTTCAAAGGGGGCAGCTAAAGCTTTGAAGAGCCACTGAGCAAAGGGGCCTAGGAAAGCAAAAGGCACCAAGGTGTGGGCCCAGCATGGCAGAAGCCCCGGAGCCCAGAGTCAGGCTCTCAGCCCCTCCCTGTGGCCTGCCCTGGCAGATCGGGCAAGACAGGTGTGCACATGCACAAAAAAGCCCTAAGCCAGAAGACCCTCCCTCCCAGTGGCTGGTGCCCCTCTGCCCCACAGCGACCCCACCCTGGCACATCCACCCAAGCTGAGCCAGCTCTGACTCTGAGACCACACCCCTTGTCCCGCACCCAGCCACGAGGCGGAGGTTAGTGCAGGTTTCAGCACCCTTGGACCTCATCTAGGAGTAGAGGGGGCAGGCCTAGGCCTGGACCTGGAGCAGTGGGTGTCAAGGAATCCCCTGTGTGGGCAGGATGGCTCTGGGAAACCAAGGGCAGTGTGTGGTGGTTTGGCACAGCTGACTGCAAAAAACTCAGAGATAGGCTGGGCACGGTGGCTCACACCTATAATCCCAGCACTTTGGGAGGCCGAGGTGGGTGGATCACCTGAGGTCAGGAGTTTGAGACCAGCCTGCCCAACATGATGAAACCCCGTCTCTACTAAAAATACAAAAATTAGCTGGGCTAATCCCAGCTACTCAGGAGGCTGAGGCAGGAGAATCGCTTGATCCTGGGAGGCAGAGGTTGCAGTGAGCCAAGATTGCGCCATTGCACTCCAGCCGCAGGGGGAAAACTCAGGGATGCAATTCCCTGCCATGTGGGTTGCCCCCACATTTGTGGGGCTAAGGGGCCCCTTGTTTTCAGAGGGAGCTCAGCTCCTCTCAGAGGGTGATTGCAACTTTGCCCAGTGGAGTCTGCTCTGCTTCTCCATCTGGTGCTGACATCCTCTAGGGCAGCCAGCACCGTCCTCTTCACTGAGGCAGGATAAGGGGCTCGCACTCTGCCAGGGACACACAGGATGCTTGGGGCTGTGTGACACTGAGCTTCCCTGGGCACAGGCTCCAGGGAAAACCCAGTAGATGACACAGCCCCGCCCAGTGGGGCAGATCAAAGGGAGCTGTGTAGGCGAGCACTAGGCGACTGTAGGGCTTGCCCACGGCTTCTTGGCCTGGCTGCAGGCTCTTCCCACCCACAGAGTCCTATAGCTGCCCTGGGGGAGAGGGAGGAGGGCACCGTGCATGGTTGACTCTTCCTGCTTCTCAGCTCCAACAGCCTTGGCCTCCTGCTTGATCTTTCCAAGGCCTGGGGGCCTGCTCCAAAGTCAGACACTCCTGATGTGGTACTGTGCCTGGGGACAAAGGTGGCTGGGAGGGCTCGGAGCCCTGAGCTTGAGCCCTGGGATGGAAGGGGTCGCTGCTTCTCCACTGGGGTCCAGGAGCCAGTGGGCTCTTGCTCTGGGAGTACCCTGGGGGCCAGGCAGCAGCACCGAGCATGCCCCTGAAATAGGCGCTGGCCAGAGCCTGGGTGTAGGCTGCGGGGTTGGCCCCAGGGCCAAGTTGGCTCCCTCATTGCCCACCACGCTCTGCTCCCAGCCACTACACACGAAATGCCAGCAGCTGTTTTGGTTTGGCAGCTTCTGCTGCCACCCCCATACGCCTTCTAAACTCGTCAGTGCTGCCGTGTCTGGTCTGTTGTGTCCTGGTGCAGCCCTGTCCCCTAACACCTGGGCTGTTTCCTTGCTGTGATGGCCATGGTTGTGCCTCTGAGGCCTGGGCTCCTTTCAACTAGGGTTGGAGAATCTCTGAAAACACCACCAATTAAGGCCCCGCCCGAGCAGGAGCATCCTGTGCTTTGTGGTGGGAACCTGTCCAGGCAAAGGCCTTATCCGAGAGATCAGGTAAATTACTGGGTAACTATCGGAGCCTGAGCAGAGACGCAGGCCTAGCAGGCTCCTTATTAGGCTAATTACTGGCCCCGGACTGCGTAAAACCCAAGATAAACTCAGGGTCGACCCGGAGAGCAGCTGGGAGGTGGTGTTTTCCTGGAGAGGCACTTGCCAGAGGCCCTCAGGCTGAGGCACAGGAGAGAAAGACTGAAGAATTCCCCAGGGAGAGTGGATCACCACCCCCCCCGCCGCCACCCCCAAAGACCAGAGAAGTCTGCAGACCCCACATCCAGCTCCTAACTCTGACCCCCTCCACGTCCTCATCTGTGTAGTTCATCCCTCTGACATTTATGATGTGCCAGGAGCTGCTGGCCACTGGGTATGGTTGAAAATAACATAATAATAATAATGTTACAAAATCAGCCTCACACTGTACAAAGAGTAGCTCATTTAGTCCTCAACAAATCCATCTTCATTTTATAGATGGGGAAACTGAGGCTCAGGGATGTTAAAGGACTTGCTAGCAGCTGCTAGAGCTGGAAGCAAGAGGCAGCCCTGACCCCAAAGGGGAAACAGGCCCAGGAACTTCCCAGCGCCCCTCCCTTGAGGACAGACAACGTTGGCAGGCCACGGCCCCTCCCACTCCGAGGCGTCTGGACCTCTTGGCCTGCAGCCTTTGCAAGTGCGCGTCACTGAGGAGGAGAGGGCGCCACCGCCCCAGGCCTGAGAATGGTCGGCAATGGGCGGGGTCGGCGGCTCTCTGGGCTCGTAATTATTCTCCCGGTAATTATGCTGGCGCTGGGCGTGGCCTGAGCGGAGCGCCGGGAAGCCTGCCCACCCTGCCACGTGCACCCCTGCCCTGCCCTGCCCTGCCCGCCCCACCCCACCCCACCCCGCCCCACCCTGAACCTGGACACCCTCTTGGCCTCAGGGCCTCAGGCTTGTTCCCAACCCCCCTTTGCCCATTTCCGCCTGGGAAATGACCCCTGGCAAATGTTCCTGTGGCAAAGTCAAACGAAAAACCTGGACTGGAGGACGGAAAGTGTCCTCTGGGCTCAGGGTAGGGACAGGCACCAGCCCCTGAGCCACTGTTGAAACCACCACTGCAAAATTATAACCCAGACAGTGAACGAGATCTGACTTAACTAACTCCATCTTGCTTCTAACCTCCAAGCTGTCCTTGTTCATTCCTAGGTGTAAGCTGAACTAACTTTGGGAGAAAACTTGGTTTATAGTTTATAGTTTAAAACAAAGACTGTAACATCCCTTTCCCAAAGCAGACCTCCTTCCTGCCTAGGGACTAGACTGCCTTTGTAGCTAGGACTAATAAATTAGCCAAAAAATTAGAAATTATGGTTTAGGAGTCACGCAGCTGGAGGCTACAAGATTCTGACTTTCCCAAGTTGCTTCTGGGGATAACATCACTATTGTAAAGCCTAAGATCCCTAAAATCAGTGCTTGAGATATTTTGCAGACCCTGTACTCCATGGATCAGCTGGCACCACCCAGGTCAATAAACTGGCTCATCTGATCTTGTGGCCCCAAACCAGGAACTGACTCAATGCAAGAAGACAGCTTCGACTCCCTAAGATTTCATCACTGACCAATCAGCACTCCCAACTCACTGGCTGCCCCCCAACCACCAAATTATCCTTAAAAACCCTAGGCCGGGCGCGGTGGCTCAAGCCTGTAATCCCAGCACTTTGGGAGGCCGAGGCAGGCAGATCACAAGGTCAAGAGATCAAGACCATCCTGGCCAACATGGTGAAACCCTGTCTCTACTAAAAATGCAAAAATTAGGCCGGGCACGGTGGCTCATGCCTGTAATCCCAGCACTTTGGGAGGCCGAAGTGGGCAGATCACCTGAAGTCGGGAGTTTGAGAGCAACCTGACCAACACAGAGAAACCCCGTCTACTAAAAATACAAAATTAGCCGGGCGTGGTAGCGCATGCCTGTAATCCCAGCTACTCAAGAGGCTGAGGCAGGAGAATCTCTTGAACCCAGGAGACGGAGGTTGCATTGAGCCAAGATCGCGCCATTGCACTCCAGCATGGGAAACAAGAGCGAAACTCCGTCTCAAAAAAAAGAAAGAAAGAAAGAAAAACAAAAAAACCAACCCTCCCAGGGCACGTGTATCACAGGCCCTGAGGGGACAACAGCCAGAAAAGCTGGTGAATGTCCAGTAGGCAGAGGATGGAGGATCAGGGACTCTGAGGCAGACTTCTTGGGCCGGAATCTCAGCTCCACCACCAAGCAGCAGCATGACTTGGGAAACTCAATTCCACATACTTTGGGGGTTTCCCTCCCCCATTTTTATTTTATCAAATTAATTTTGATGTGATATTATTAAGTGAAATTAAATGTCAAAACTGTAGATGAAATGTTGCCATCGGGGAAATGCAAATCAAAACCACAATAAGGTACCACTTCACATCCGTGACGATGGCTATGAACAAAAAGGAGGACAGTAACAAGTGTTGGGGCATGTGGAGAAGCTGGACCTCTCATGGATTGCCAGTGGGAATGTAAAATAGTGCAGATGGAAACAGTCTGGCAGTTCCTCAAAACTAAACATAATGTTGCTACATGACCCAGTAATCCCACTCCTAGGTGTATACCCGAGAGAAATGAAAACTTATGTCCAAAAATAAATAAATAAATAAATAAGGAAAAAAGAAAACTTATGTCTACACAGAAGCTTGTACACACATGTTCATAGCAGCAGCATTCATAGCAGCTAAGGAGTAGAAATAACCCAAACATCCATCAGTGGATGAATGGACTTTAAAAAAATAGTATATCCATACGACAGAGTATTATCAAGCCATAATAGTGAGTAGGGGCCGGGCACAGTGGCTCACGCCTGTAATCTCAGCACTTTGGGAGGCAGAAGTGGGCAAATCACTTGAGGTCAGGAGTTCGAGACCAGACTGGCCAACGTGGTGAAACGCCATCTCTACTAAAAATACAAAAATTAGCCGGGCGTGGTGGCGGGCATCTGCAATCCCAGCTACTCAGGAGGCTGAGACAGGAGAATCGCTTGAATCCAGGAGGTGGAGGTTGCAGTGAGCCGAGATTGCCTCACTGCACTCCAGCCTGGGCAACAGAGGGAGACTCCCTCTAAAACAAAACAAAACAAAACAAAGGGAGTGGAGTACTAACACATGATACAACATGGATGAAACTTAAAAATTTATGCTAAGTGAAATGAGACAGACACAAAAAAGCCACATATTGTTTGATTACATTTATATGAGATATTCAGAAGAGGCAAGTAGATGAGTGGCTCCTAGGGCCAGGGAAAATGGGGGAATATCGGGGTGATAGCTAAAGGGTACAGGGTTTTATTTTGAGGCAATATTCTATAATTAACTGTGGTAATGGTTGCACGTCTGTGAATATACTAAAGGCCAATGGATTACATACAGTAAATGGGTGAATTATATATGTGAATTATATCTCAAAAAAGTTATAGAAAAAATGCACCTAGAGAAGTCTCACTTCCACCTCCATCCTCTCTGCCCATATCCACAGGACTTCTTTTTGAAAAAATAAGCAAAATCTATATAAAATACACACCCACACTCTTTAAAATACTCCCTACTTTCTTTCTTTTCTTTTTTTTTTTTTTCTTGAGACGGAGTCTCGCTCTGTCACCCAGGCTGGAGGGCAGTGGCCCAATCTGGGCTCACTGCAAGCTCCGCCTCCCGGGTTCAGGCCATTCTGTCGCCTCAGCCTCCCGAGTAGCTGGGACTACAGGTGCCCGCCACCACGCCAGGCTAATTTTTTGTTTTTGTATTTTTTTTTTAGTAGAGACGGGGTTTCACCGTGTTAGCCAGGATGGTCTCGATCTCCTGACCTCGTGATCCGCCTGCCTCAGCCTCCCAAAGTGTTAGGATTTCAGGCGTGAGCCACCGCGCCCGGCCAAAATACTCCCTACATTCTTACTCAGGTAGGATTGTCTTCCATGTACTGCTTGGCACCTTCCTTTTTTTTCCTTTAACTTAACATTGCACCCCAGCGCTGTCAGCATCTCTCTTTGGCCAGTGCACAGCGCTTCTCTGTGGAGATGTTAGCCTCATGGACCGCGCCCCCAGGAACAACCTTGCCTGCAAGTTGCTTCCTGTCTGTCCAGGTGATCCCTGTGGGAGCCCCCTGAGATGCAAGGGCAAAGGCAGTCCAGGCTTGGCAGATGCCGCTGCCTGTCCCCCCACCTCTCCACCCACCACCCTCGCAGACAGAAGCCCGACCCGGTGCCCTCCAGCCAGGCAGCATGTCCTTGACTCTCCATAGAGGCCTCTGTTTGCTCTGTGAACAGGGCTGTGGTAGTAATGAGACGGGAGGATGGATACAGGTCCAGCACTCAGAACGATGCCTGGGCCATAATGAACATGATCTCAGTGGGAACTCTCATCATCACCCACCTCACCTTCAAGGCCAAAGCAGCGATGCCTGGCTGGGAAAGCTCTGTCTTTGCTTCCTCTCTGGTCTTGGAGCACCGAAGCGGCTGCAGCTGCGACCGCAGAGCACAGCGGGGGTTGAGCCCTGCGGAGTGGCGTGTAGGGAGTACTAGACGAGTAGTGGGAGGACCGAGGGACAAGGGTGCTGGGATGGGGCTGGATGGCCGGCACCCTGCCCTGGCTCTGAAACCCCCTGGCGGGTGGGTGCATCCTAGGTCTGAGGGGGACGGGGGGGGGACGGGCCGGGGGTGACGGGGTAGGTACTCTTTAGCCGGGTTTAGGGAAGGCCTCTCATGGGGGAGCAGTGGAGGAGAGGCGTGCAGGGAGTGCGCAGCACACCTCCGTCACCTCCATATCTGGACCGGGAAATGCAAAGGCCGAAGGCCGGGCCCGGCGGCTGCTTACTGAACGCTGCATGCCGCTAGGAGGTCCCAGTAGCCCCAGCAGGGTGGGGGCTGGCGGGAAGGTAGGGGCAGGCCGAGTTCTGGGAGAGACGCAGGTGCCAGGTGGGGTGGGATCTAGAGGCCCCTGGAGCAAGAGGGGAAGCCGCTGTGGGTTCTCCTTGGAAAGGGCTCGCGCGCCCGCCTCCAGGCTTGGAGGCTCTCCCAGGCTGCGGTCGGTCTCCGTCCAGGCGGGTATGGTGGGGCTGGAGCGAGCGGTGCTGCACAGTCGTGGAAAGGGGCTCTGCTTTGCAGGTGGAGCCGGCAGAACTTGCCTCCATGCTCTCCAGGCGTAGCGGACCTGGCTGGAGCCGGACAGTGCACCTAGAGCCGTTTCGGACCGGCTCACGGCAGCCGCCTAGACCTCCCGGAAGCGTCGCGGGCGGGGGCGGGGGCGGGGGCGGGGTGGGGGGCAATCACAGAAATGGGTGTGGGGCCCCAGATGGGGCTCCTGGCCCAGCCCCGAGCTGACCCTTGTCTTGGGCCGGTGCAGGACCCCCATTGTTAAAATACCGCGAGCAGACTCTACTGAATTTCCAAAACGTCACCCAAGTCACTGGCTCCTTCCTCCGAGCTATTTCTAGGGCGGACCCCCAGGACAGGCCTGAGGGGTCAGGGAGGAAGAGCCGAGTCCCGTGGACACCCTGCAGGCCCCTTCAGGGGCGGGACAGTCGCGCGCGTAGAGGACCCAGGATGCGCCGTCAGGGTCCTGAGGAGCGCAGGGGACCCGGGGGAAAAGGACGCGGGTGAGAGCTGGGAGAGCAGGGCGGGGCCACATCAGGAGGGGCGTGGCCTGGGCGGCTCGAGGCTCAGCACCGCCGCCCCGTCCCCGCGACCCGTGACTCGGCGCCCCAGCCCGCGGCCAAAGAGGTGGCGTCTACCCCAGTCTCACTGATAGTCGCTGCCCGCGGTACATGAGCTCACGTGAGGAGAAGAAACTTAGAATGACAGAGTGCAAAGCACAGTGACAATCCTTATCGTTCTCTCCCGGACCACAGCATCATCCTTGTGTCATCTGAGCTCGCCGTGGGCTGGGGGAATCGCAGTGGGCAGAGGGCGCTGCGAAGTGGAGACGACGTACTGCGGCGGCCGCGAGGGCCTGGGGCTGGCCGGGGTCCGAGGGGGATGGAGACCGCGACCCGGGGGTCGGGGGCGAGTGGGCAGCTGGCGGGTCTGGCCGCTCGCTTCGGAGGCAGTGAATGGCCCGGCCGGGCTCGGCGCCCGCCCAGCCGAGGGCTCCCCCGCCTCCGGCCCAGCCGTCCCGGCTGCCCTCCGAACGCGGCAGTCCGCGCAGGAATCCTCTGCCTTCCCGGGGCCTTCACAGATCCTCCCCCGGGCCGGCAGTTCACGAATTCCAGGAACTTACTAGAGCCTGGGAAGCCCGGGAAGCGCCTCCCGCCGGGCTCCGCCTCCCCCAACCCAACTCCGCGGACTCCTCGAGGGCTCCTGACTGCCTGAGGAGCGCAGTAACACCCAGCCCACACAGCCCCACACAGCCCCCCACAGCCCCCCTACAGAGCCCCCACACAGCCCCCCAACAGTGCACCTAGAGCCGTTTCGGACCGGCCCACGGCAGCCGCCTAGACCTCCCGGAAGCGTCGGGGGCGGGGGCGGGGGCGGGGTGGGGGGCAATCCCAGAAATGGGTGTGGGGCCCCAGATGGGGCTCCTGGCCCAGCCCCGAGCTGACCCTTGTCTTGGGCCGGTGCAGGGCCCCCATTGTTAAAATGCGGCGAGCAGACTCCACTGAATTTCCAAAACGTGGAGTTTTGGAAATTTGGAGCACAGCCCCCCAACAGAGATCCCCCCTCCACAGCCCTACAGCCCCACAAACCCAGCCCCCACAGACCCCACACCCAGGTCCCCGCACTCAGCCCCGCACAGCCCCACAACCCCGACACCCACAGCCCCACACAGCCTACACAGTTCCACACCCAGCCCCCTTCAGCCCCCCACAGCCCAACACCCAGCACCCACCCCCACAGCCTCCTCAGCCCTATACCCAGCCCCCCCACAGGACCACAGAGCACCCCCAGAGGCCCACACAACCCCCTCAGCCCTACAGAGTTCCCCAGAGACCCTCACAGCCCCCTCAGCCCCACACAGCCCCCCCACACTCCCCCACATTATCCACCCCCGCCATAGTCCCCACAGCCCTCCACCCCATAGAGAAGCCCCATGCAGTTGAGAATGTACATCCTTTCCTGACTCAACAGCCTAGTAAGGGTCAGGACAAAATGCCATGGCCAAGAGTGCCATGAACACTGTTTGGGGACAGGGATGGCCAGAAAGGCTCCCACCAGACATGACCTGTGGTCTGGGTCTTAGGGGATGAATGAGATTTGAGTAAGGAAGCCTGTTTCAGCTCAGGGAGCAGACCAGAAGAAAAGAAGGAAAATAAACACAGGGATAATGCCGAACACAGAGATAAGGGACACAGAAGCCTGATTCAGTAAATCCACCTTCAACTAATAGGAATTCCAAAAGAAAAGAATGTAGAGGGAGGGCAATTAACAATACAAGATTAGAGGAAAGCGTTGCAGACCTAAGGAACAGACCTAAGGAGACATGGGTCTGCAGATGGAGTGCTCCGTGGAATGCAGGATCAAGGAAAAAATGACCTGCCTCTAAAAATATCTGAACAAAAGTGCAGAGCAACAGGGAGTAAGATTGGTTGACAGATTTCGAAGATGGTAAAAATAAAATGTTCACGGCAAAGGCTGAGAACTGCAGTGCATCAGATCCCCATCAGTAGCAATGGTTGTAAGAAGATGATTGGCAAGTAATTTTGAACCTTGTTTTCTATACTAGGCCAAATTATGAATCAAGCATGGGGTAGAAAAAAGATACTGTTAGACCTCCAAGGACTCAAAAAAGCAGAAACCCATCGTCCCATGCATCCTTTCTTGGATAGTTACTTGAGGATGTATTCCAGCAAAGTGAGAAAGAAAGCTAAGAGAAAGACCTGGGATTGACTCTTGAGTGATCCACCAGAGGGTGGTAAAGGGAGTCCGGGGCTGTGCTCCCACTCAGGGACAAGGAGTGGGGGTGCGGATCCATGGGGTAGGAGAGGGCAGGGGAGGTCTTGAGAATAAAAGGGTGGCAAAACTGAGGCCACATCAAAGGCACATTATTATTCTGTTATTAATATTATTCTGTTAATAAAAAGGAAGCAAGGCAAATAAAAGCTATAGGGAAAATGTATATAACAAAATTCAACTTCCACTGTAAAGCAAACTAACATAGGATAGGATTTTCAGTTCCTGAGGGAAGGCAAAATGAGTTCGCCCCATTTGCTCTGGATGCTAAGAATATCTTCCTTGTGTGGTTGGAGACGGTGGTGGTGGTGTTGATGACTTTAGGCCCATAGAGAAAGAAATGTGCCCCTGGCCCAGCGGTTAGCTGTGCAGTGAGTAACATGTAACAGTGACATGCCCAACTGCCTAGGGGTGTAGAGGCTCCCACTGTTGCAGTTCGAATCCACTGGGCTCCACTTTTACTATAGACTAAGCTGCAAAAGTAAAGGCTGAGGAGGATGGTGTTGTGGGACCTAGAGAGAGTGGATAGCAGAGGCCATCCTACTCCCACCTTCCATGAAGGGGAGTCAAGATGCAGACCAAAGGTATGGTAGTAAATATAGGGGAGTAAGAGCTAATGTAAAGTTTCAGAGAGAATCTGCAGAAGAGTTAAAACACTCCTCTAATGTAAACACAGGGGGAGGAGGGAGAAGGTGCAGAGGGTAGAGGGGACTGGAGGTAATTACAGTTGATGCTTGAACAACATAGGGGTTGGGACCGTTGATCCCCTCCCCCATTGAGTCAAGAATCCACATAAAACTTTTGACTCCTCAAAAATTTAACTACTGATAGCCTGTTGACGAGAAGAAGCCTTGCTGATCACATGAACAGATAATTAACACATCTTTTGTATGTGAGATATATTCTGCATTCTTACAATATGGTAAGCTAGAGAAAAGAAAATGTTATTAAGAAAATAATTATAAGAAAGAATATATTTAGTATTCATTAAGTAGAAGTGGATCATTATAAAGGTGTTCGTTCATTCTCATTGTCTTCATGTTGAGTAGGCTGAGGAGGAGAAGAAAGAGGAGAAGCTGATCTTGCTGTCTCAGGGGTGGCAGAGGCAAGAGAAAATTTACATGGAAGTGGACCCACGCAGTTCAAACCCATGTTGTTCAATGGTCAACGGTATTCATCTTTCATATTAGGAAGCCAGTGTATTTTGTCAAATACTCATAAATCACAAAGTAGGAGGACAAGTATTTTATTAACACTGAAGGGAATAACGACAAAAACAAATTAAAAACAGAAGCGATAAAAAGTTTAGTCCCCTAAAAAAAAAAAAAAAGTTTAATCCCAAGGTGGTAGAACTGGTGTGTGTGGGGGGAATGGGTAAAGAGACATTCTTATCATTAGTTTTTTTTTTTTTTTTTTTTTGGGATTTTTTAACCTTGTTCGTATGTATGATTAGAATTCCTGAATTTTAAAAATAAAACCAACAATCAAATTACTTCCAAAGTCCTTGAACATCATGACTCAATACTCCATAAAATAAACATATTTTACTGGTTTTCTTTTTCTTTTTTTTTTTTTTTTTGAGACAGAGTTTCGCTCTTGTCACTCAGGCTGAAATCTTGGCTCACCGCAACCTCCACCTCCTGGGTTCAAGCGATTCTCCTGCCTCAGCCTCCTGAGTAGCTGAGAGGGATTATAGGCACGCACCACCGCACCCGGCTAATTTTGTATTTTTACATGGAGAGACAGGGTTTCTCCATGTTGGTCAGGCTGGTCTTGAACTCCTGACCTCAGGTGATCTGCCCTCCTCAGCCTCCCAAAGTGCTGGGATTACAGGCGTGAGCCACCACACCCAGCCTTTCTGTTTCATTTTTAAAATCATTTTCACTGGCACTTTCTCAGTTTTACAACTGTCACCAACTGTACACAGAGCATGCATTCTATACCCTAGACATGAAGGGAAAACAAACAAACAATCAAACAAACAAACAGTTTCTAATGCTTACCTAAAGTTACAGTGCCAGCTGATGAGAAGAATAATAACCACCCAGGCCCATCATGTTCAGGCACTTCCAGGTACCAGGACAGATGACTTCGACTCCTTCCTGACTCGTGGCAGCATCCTTACCTAGTCTCAGATCAATGAAACCTGTTCTTGTTTTAAAGGCCTCCCAGCAAGGAGCTCAGCCTGTCTCCTCTCCGGCTGAAGCAGTTCTATTTTTATTCCATGCTGTTTGATGGCTCATGTCCAAGCCAGTGGCTGTGCTCCAGGTGCCAGACTCCCTGGCAGCACCCCTATTATGGGACAAAGCTCTGCCTGGTCCAGGCAGCAACCTGGTCACAGCCTGATCACAGGCTGGTCACAGCCCTGTCACGGACATCTGTGCACACTTCAATCTGCCCGTTGTAGGGACAGCCTGCAGGCCTGCCTGAACCTGGCCAAGCCCTGATAACATGCAGGAACCACATCTGTGAACCATGTCACAGACTGTCAAATTGTCAAACATTTCACACCTACAGTGAATACAAAGAAAGGAAAAACAAGCCCCACTTTTCCCACCACCCAGTTCTCGTACAGGCAGACCTCAAAGATATTGTGGGTTTGGTTCCAGACCACTGCAATAAAGCAAATATCACAATAAAGTGAGTCACACACATTTTTTGGTTTCCCAGTGCATATAAAAGTTATGTTTAAACTATACTGTAGCCTATTAAGTGTGCAATAGCATTCTGTCTATAAAAATAATGTACATACCTTAATTTAAAAATACTTTTTTTGCTAACAAATGCTAACAATCATCTAAGCCTTCAGCAAGTTTTGGTCTTTTTCCTGCTGGAAGGTCTTGATTCAATGTTGATGGTTGCAGACTGATCAGGGTGGTGGTTGCTGAGGTTTGGGTGGCTGTGGCAATTTCTTCAAATAAGACAACAATGAAGTTTGCCACACCCAATTGACTAGTCTTTTAGTGATGGACTTCTCTGTAGTGTGCAATGCTGATAGCATTTTACCCACGGTAAAACTTCCTCCAAAATTGGAGTCGGTCCTCTCAAACCCTGGCACTGCTTTATCAACTAAGTTTATGGAATATTCTAAATCCTTTGCTGTCATTTCAACAATGTTCACAGCATCTTCACAAGGAGTAGATTCCATCTCAAGAAACCACTGTTTTTGCTCATCCATAAGAAGCAACTCCTCATTCATTCAAGTTTCATCGGAAAGGAGTCTTTTTTCCTGAGCAGTAGATCTCAAAGTGGGCTTAAAAATATTCAGTAAACCATGCTGTAAATAGACGTGCTGTCATCCAGGCTTTGTTCTTCCATTTCTAGAGCATAGGCAGAGTAGATTTAGTGTATTTTTAATGGTCCCAGGATTTTCCGAATGGTAAATTAGCACTGGCTTTAACTTAAAGTCATCAACTGTGTTAGCCTTTAACAAGAGAGCCAGCCTGTCCTTTAAAGCCAGCCATTGACTTATCTCTAGCTTTGAAAGTCCTAGATGGGATCTTCCTCAAATAGAGTCAGTTTCATTTACATTGAAAATCTGTTGTGTAGTAAAGCCACCTTCATCAATGATCTTGGCTAGATCTTCTGGATAACTTGCTGCAGCTTCTATAGCAGCACTTGCTGCTTCATCTTGCACTTTTATGTTGTGGAGATGCCTTCTTTCTTTTTTCTTTTCTTTTTTTTTAAGATGGAGTTTCATTCTTGTTGCCCAAGGTGGAGTGCAATGGCACGATCTCGGCTCACTGCAACCTCCGCCTCCCAGATTCAAGTGATTCTCCTGCTTCAGCCTTTCAAGTAGCTAGGATTACAGGTGCACGCCACCACGCCCAGCTAATTTTTTGTACTTTTAGTAGAAACAGGGTTTCACCGTGTTAGCTAGGCTGGTCTCAAACTCCTGACCTCAGGTGATCCTCCTGCCTTGGTCTCCCAAAATGCTAGGATTACAGGCATGAGCCACTGCGCCCAGCCTAATACTTTCTTTCTTTAAACCTCATGAATAAACCTCTGCTAGCTTCCAACTTTTCTTTTCTAGCTTTGTAGCTTCTCTTAGCCTTTGTAGAATTGAAAGAAAGTTAGGGACCTTGCTCTGAATTAGGCTTTGACTAAAGGGAATGTTGTGGCTGGTTTGATCTTCTATCCAAGCCACTGAAACTTTCTCCATATCAGCAATAAGCCCATTTCACTTTCGTATCATTCATGCATTCACTGGAGTTAACACTTTTAAGTTCCTTCGAGAACATTTCCTTTGCATTCACAATGTGGCTAACTACTTGGCACAGCCTACCTCACCTTTTGAGACTTCCTCACATGGCTTCCTCACTAGCTTAACTATTTCTAGCTTTTGATTTAAAGTGAGAGACCTGTGACTCTTCCCTTCACTTGAACACTTAGAGGCAATTGTAAGGTTATTAATTGGCCTAATTTCGATATTGTGTCTTAGGGAATAGGGAGGCCTGAGGAGAGGGAGAAAGACAGGGAAAGGCAGGTTGGTGGAGCAGTGAGAACACACACATTTATCAATTAAATTTGCCATCTTATATGGAAGTGGTTCATGGCACTCCAATTACAAGAGTAACATCAAAGATCACTGATCACAGATCACCATAATAGATGTAATAATAGTAAAAATGTTTGAAATATTTTGAGAAATACCAAAATGTGACCAAGACACAAAGTGAGCATGTGCTGTTGGAAAAATGGCACCAATAGACTTGTTCAAGGTGGATTTGCCACAAATCTTCAATTTCTAAAAAACACAATATTTGCAAAGTGCAATAAAATCATGTGCACTAGAACAAGGTATACCTGTAAATCCTAAATAAATCTAATGTTGCAACCCCCTTGGGCCCCTCTCAGTCACCTTGTCCTGACTTTGGGATTAACCTTCATCATGTAGGTTTCATGCTCTTGGTCTATAGATACTCATCAGTTCAGGCTGCTAAAACTAATTACTATAGACTGGATGACTTAAACAACAAACATTTACTTTTCACAGTTCTAGAGGCAGGGAAGTCCAATATCAAGGTGCGGACAGATCCAGCGTCTGGTGGGGGCTCTCCTCCTTGTTTGCAGATGGCCACCACCTTCTTATATCCTCATGTGGATGAGAGAGAGATCATCCCTCTCACATCTCTTCTTGTGAAGGGATCAATCCCATTCATGAGGATTATGAAATCATGAGATCCACCCTCATGGTCTAATCACCTCCCCAAGGCCTTACCTCCTTAATGCCATCCTATTGAGGGTTAGAGTTCAACACGTGAGTTTGGCAGGGACACAAACATTCAGTCCATAGCAGGTATGGATGCATGAGTAGCACATGGCATTGCTTGGTGTGTTTGGTGCTCCTTTAGCAGCTTGCTTTTGTGGTGCAGCATGGTTTTTGGGTGACTTTGGGATGACACACTCAGCTCTATGTCATCCCTTTGCACCAACGT
This sequence comes from Homo sapiens, assembly GCF_000001405.40. Lineage (NCBI taxonomy): Eukaryota > Metazoa > Chordata > Mammalia > Primates > Hominidae > Homo > Homo sapiens. Next base: position 31,384,746 of record NC_000015.10, on the reverse strand, counting down.
GTGGACAGCCTTTGGGCGTGTCTGTCCTTGTGTGGACATGTTGAGGGCATTTGGGGTATGTCCAAAAGTACGCTCATGAATGTTGGTGGACATCTTTTGGGGGATGAAGTGGGGACACACTGTGCCAGCTTACCTTTGGCAAGCTCTTAGCCTCACAAAAGTGCTATTGTGAGTTTTAATGACAAAAGTGATACCTGAGTAGTTTTGAGAATTTAGAGAGCATACAAAAATAAGTAAATAAAAGTCATCTGTTGTCCTCTACCTAAAGGTAACAATTGCTTGAGTTGGTTCTGTCTCTTACCTGTCCTTATGTTTTTGAGAAGGAGCCTCACTCTCACCCAGGTTGGAGTGCAGTGGTGTGATCTCGGCTCACTGCAACCTCCACCTCCAGGGTTTAAGCCATTCTCCTGCCTCAGCCTCCTGAGTAGCTGGGATTACAGGCACCACACCCGGCTAATTTTTGTATTTTTAGTAGAGACGAGGTTTCACCATGTTGGTCAGGCTGGTCTTGAACTCCTGAGCTCAGGTGATCTGCCCGCCTCAGCCTTCCAAAGTGCTGGGATTACAGGCATGAGCCACCTCACCTGGCCTACCTACCCTTTTTCTATGCATTTAAACATGTAAACACAATATAGCTATAGAGAAAAGTGTTTTAATAAATCATGATCATACTTCTGTACTGTTTTGCAACCTACCTCACCTCTTTCACTTAATAATAGATTGGGTATTAGTCATAATGGAGGTTATGTGGTTCATTGAATTAATCTCCTATTCCTGGACATTTAAGCTATTCGAAACATCTTGATATTTTTATTTTATTTTATTTATTTATTTATTTATTTTTTGAGACGGAGTCTCGCTCTGTTGCCCAGGCTGGAGTGCAGTGGCGTGATCTTGGCTCACTGCAAGCTCTGCCTCCCAGGTTCACACCATTCTCCTGCCTCAGCCTCCCGAGTAGCTGGGACTACAGGCGCCCACCACCACGCCCAGCTAATTTTTTTTGCATTTTTAGTAGAAACGGGGTTTCACCGTGTTAGCCAGGATGGTCTCGATCTCCTGACCTCGTGATCTGCCCGCCTTGGCCTCCCAAAGTGCTGGGATTATAGGCGTGAGCCACCGCGCCCGGCCCATCTTGATATTTTTAACAGATAACTTTCTTTTAATGTTGTTCTTATGTGACATTCGCTGCATTCACAAGAACATATGTAATGAAAGTGTGAGTGCGACCCTGTCCTCAGCACTAGGCTGTCATCATCGCTGACACTCCTATGTGTGCCTCTCCTGGCCCTGTGACCCTCACTGCAGAGGCACCTGTTCTCTTGGATTTAGAGTTTGTGTTTCCATTGTAATCCAGGTTCCACAAACTAGTAGCTGGTCTTCCCAAAGTGGAAGGTTCATGTACAAAGTCCACTGGGCCACGGTGGGAGAGCACTGCAGAGCCCGGGAAGGAGGCCATCCTCCCTGCTCTGAGCATGTTCCGCCCCCACAGGCCAACAGTCGATCTCAGAAAACCCACTGGAGTGTGTTTATGGTTAAAAGAGCAGGAGACAGACAAGAGACAGGGAGCAGCTGTGTTCATCAGGGTAAGCATGCAATAACCACTTTCCCAAAACACCTTGTGTTGCTGGTGTTGAGATGAGGACCCCTCTTAGGAGGTGCAGAGGAAGTCTGCTGATTATGCAGGCCATCTTGATATTTACTGTTGATTCTCCCTGGTCCCCTGGCCCATTCATAAGTAAATGATTACCTAATTGTGAGGTTGGGAATGGAAGACATTATGATGGGGCAGGGGTCAAGAATGAGCCCTGGAGCTGGGGTCAGGACACCCAGACTGAGCTCCTTGGGCCTATCATGTGCTTGTAAATGAGGGCAACGCCCGTCACGACTTTGTACTGTCTGTCTCTGAGTTCCAAGAGGTCTGAGTGAGTGGACGCGGTACCTAGACACATTGGCAGCCTGGGCACAGGGAGTCACAGCTATGCAGGGGAAAGGGCTTTGCCTGGTTGCTTGGTGGGCCCTGAAGGGAGGTCTGAACCTCACAGTGCCTGGGACTGGGCCCCCCTGAGGGCAGCTTGCTCATCTTTTTAGAGGACATTGCATTGGACACACTGAGCTGCCAGGTGCAGGCCCACACTGGCCAGTGTTCAGGCCCCAGAAATGCAGCAGCCAGAAAAATGCTAAGTCACCAGCCCTGTGTCATGGGGCCTGTCACTCTTCTGGGCCTGTCCCACAATGCCAGAGAATAGACAAAGGTACCCCTAGACAGGTTAGAAGCCTTTAGAACTCAGAGCTTAAAAGGCAGCTGTGGCCAGTGGTCCAATCAGACCAGGGTCCCTCCGTGACTTTTGCCAGCTGTGTGACCTTGAGAAGGCCACTTCAACCCTCTGAGCCTCGTACCCTCTGCAGCCCTAAGTTGGGACTACTCACACCTCCCTCCCTCTGAGAGTGCTCAGAGGGTACAGCTCAGCAAGCAACCCTCTGGCCCAGGATCTGGGCAAGTGGCTGCTGCCCGGCAGGCCTCTGGGACAGGGAGTGCAATGTGGGACAGCCTTCCTCTGTGTCCCAGGTCAGTCCCAGTCTCTGTCCACAGGGATCATTTCCCAGTGGCATGTGAGAGTGGAGGCCTGGCCTGGGGGCCTGAGTATCTGGCATGGGTACAGTTCCCAGCATCTGACATCTCGCACACCACTGGGAACTTCACCATGACCCCACACAGACCATGCCAAGCTTGCTTCCCAGGTGAAGGCAAGGCTCAGGAAAAGACTTCTTTCCACAGCTGCGTGGCAGGCTGCTCAGAGCTGAAGGCCCAGCTGCGTCTGGCACGGAGACACCAGACCTTTCTCCGCCCTGAGCAACGGCTGTGCAGGCAGCAGCAGGTGAACTGGGGTGCAGGTCTTCAAGAACTGATCGGCTTTTAAGAACTGTAGTGAAGTGACAATTATTTTTACTATTACTCCTACTTTTTAAAGCTGAATAGTTGATAGGGAATACTATGAAGGATGACAAAACACAGGTGGAAGAGATGCTCAGTCCAGTTTAATTCAACTATGTTTTGTGAATTTGCTTGGGTCATGGAGAGTGGGATGCAGGCTCCTTCCACTAGGCAGGAGTTCATCAAGCCCTGCAGCCTAAGCTGCCACTTTGCTCCCTGCAGCTCAGGGGAGTGCAGGAAGGACATGAAGGCTGGGGTGGATGGGGGGCTCATCCTGGACTAGTTCAGGGTTGGGGGCAGCCTGATGTGCAGCCACATCTCAGCCGCACAGGGTAATCACAGAGGTCCTTATAAGAGGGAGATTAGGAGGTCAGAGAGGAGACGCTACTCTGATGGATTTGAAGACAGTGGAGGAGGCCACAAGCCAAGGAACGTAGGTGGCCTCTACAAGCTGGGAAGGAAAACAAGACTCCAGAAGGAAGCAGCCCTGATGACACCTGGATTTTAGCCCTGTAAGACTTGTTTTGCACTTCTGACCTCCAGAGCTGCAAGAGAATAAAAGAATAAATTTGTGTTGCTTTAAGCCACTGCTTATGGTAATTTGTTACAGCAGGAATAGGCATTCTATTTTTTTTTTTTTTTTGAGACAGAGTCTTGCACTGTCGCCCAGGCAGGAGTGCAATGGCGCGATCTTCGCTCACTGCAACTTCCAGCTCCCGGGTTCAAGCCGTTCTCCTGCCTCAGCCTCCCGAGTAGCTGGGATTACAGGCACCCGCCACCATGCCCGGCTAATTTTTGTATTTTTAGTGGGGATGGGGTTTCATGATGTTAGCCAGGCTGGTCTCAAACTCCTGACCTCGTGATCTGCCTGCCTTGGCCTTCCAGAATGCTGGGATTACAGGCATAAGCCACTGTGCCCAGCCAGCAACTGGCAATTAATACAGGCCTTGTGTTTCCAACACTGTCTTCTGTACAAACCTGCCTGTCCTATGTACCATTGGAATGCTGGTCTCTGATGCGTAACGGTGGAGGAAAGTTGGTGCAGAGATAGCAGCCCTGCCAGGAGTAGCTGCATGTCTTTACTGCTTTCCACGTAGGAGACTTTTTAGGAGTGGTGCCAATGGCAGGAATTTTAGCATGGCCTAGATGAGGTTTGATTGGGGGTAATTGAGCCACCCATGTCCCCAGAATAAGCTACACATCGCCTAGTCTGTTATTCAAGACCTTCTGCAGCCAAACCCAACCCAGAAAAGGCCAGTCCACACCCCAACATGACCAACAAGGCTAGGAGAAAGTGTCAGAGGGTCTTGATGATTACACCCCAGTGAGTCCACTTGGAAAACACTGTGGCCCTTCCTCTGAACGCTAACTGGGCCCCCTTCCAGAACACCAGTCCCTTCATGGAATTCCTGGCAAGCAGTGTTTCAGCCCCTGCTTGAATGCCTCCAGCGACAGGGTGCTCACTGCCTACAGGCCAGCACCAAGGAATGGGAAGTCCTTCTTTATTAATTTATTTGTTTTTGAGACAGAGTTTCGCTCTTGTTGTCCATGCTGAAGTGCAGTTGCGTGATCTCGGCTCACTGCAACCTCTGCCTCCCGGGTTCAAACGATTCTCCTGCCTCAGCCTCCCAAGTAGCTGGGACTACAGGCACAAGCCACATTTTTGAATTTTTAGTAGAGACAGGGTTTCTCCATGTTGGTCAGGCTAGTCTTGAACTCGAAATCCTGACCTTAGGTGATCTGCCTTCCTCGGCCCCCCAGAGTGCTGGGATTACAGGCGTGAACCACTGCGCGCGGCCAGAAGTCCTTCTTTAGAGGGGCAGATGTCACTGTGAGCCTTTGCCAGGCTTGGCCCTCTTAGGGAGTGCACCTCCGCCCTCCACCAGATGCTTCCCCTCACCTGGGTCACTATGCAGCCAGACACAGCACTTCGCCTAACTGCCACAAACCTGACTTCTAATCCAAGTCCTGAGAAATATGGAAAAAGGGTCAGGTCCAGGAGTGTCCTGAGGCTGGCCTCTCAGGCCTGCCTCCAGGACACTGTCATCTCTGCTCAGCACAGAGGACCTGTCAGCCACAGACCCTCTCCGCCACCCGAAACTGCTTTGTGACCTGGTCCAAAAAGAAAGCGTGAGAAGAAAATGTGCTACACGCATGCCAGAGACACTCATACATTTGTTCTTCAAAAGCCGGGAAAATCTATTGCTTGCTTTTTTTCTCCATTACCGGGGGCCTCTGAAGGCCTTAGGAGACCCCTCATTCCTGGGATGGGGGCTCCATGAATGGTGGGTCCCCCAGTCTTCTGGAAAGAAATACCAGGAGGGGTTTCAAATCTCAGCAGTGACATAACTGACAGGCTTTTTTTTTTTCCTGTCAATATTTTTTAAGCATCTGGGATCCTCTGACAACTATTTATGGAAGCGGATCCACCCTGCAGTTGCTGCTATCTGGGGAAGTTACTGAGCAATAAATGGCTCTGAGAAGGCGGAGCAGTGGCTGTCCTGGGAAAATACTCCAACCAAGAATGGGCTCCAAACGTCTCAGTACCAAAAAGACTTTGTTTGAAAAATGTGTGCTTGTTTTTATGACTGTTCAGTATGTGCCTGGGTGCATTCATTTCACGCCTCCCTCCCCCCAGTCTATGATACAGAAAACAAACGTTCATCAGGCAATGCCAGCTGGTGTCAGGGTAGCTTCAGGAAAAACCATGTCTAATCAACTGCGATGCCTGTATTTGTTAGTAACACTTCACATTTTGTGGTGGTTTTCATTTACCCTATGAACAGGTAATCACAGGCCTGGTATGGTGGCTCAATCCTGTAATCCCCAGCACTTTGGGAGGCTGAGCCAGTGGATCACCTGAGGTCAAGGGTTTGAGACCAGCCTGGCCAATATGGTGAAACCTCGTCTCTACTAAAAATACAAAAATTACCTGGGCGTGGTGGCAGACATCTGTAATCCCAGCTACTCAGGAAGCTGAGGCAGAAGAATCGTTCGAACCTGAGAGGCAGAGGTTGCAGTGAGCTGAGATTGCCACCATTGCACTCCAGCCTCGGCGACAGCAACGAGTGGGGCTACACAGCGAGACTGTGTCTCAAAAAAAAGAAAAAGAACAGGTAGTCATGTATGAACAGTGTACAGCCCAGATGCAGCGCTGGTCTACCCCTGGGTGAGGCTGAGATGTGGCTGCACCAGCACCTCCCTTCTACATGCTGTGGCTAGAACAGGGTTCGGGCCAGACCTCCACCCCAGCAGCCACCTCCTCCACTAGCTGCCAGCTTCCCACTGCCTCCGATGAGGACATCATCTGCCCTGGGGACAGCCAGGGGCAGTTAGTGTTCATTGGGGACTTAAACGGGCTCTGCTATCAACACCTGCCTTCCTACTCCCCAGACTCCCAGTGTCCTGGGACTCGTCCTCGCTGGAGCACACTTTGGGGTCAGTGCCCGTGGTAGGTTGTAGGAACTTTGGTAGCTAGAAACAGGGGAGTTTTCTAGACTCTAGGCTGAGGGGTGAGGCAAGCAGCGCATCTGGGGTTGAAAGAAGCGGTGGCTGCTGCCCAGGAAAAGGAAGTCCAGGTGTTTTGGGGGGACTTTGAGGGAAAGGTGCTGTGCCCTTTGAGGGAATCTGCCATCACCACATCCCGTTCTCCTCCGTGCTCTTTCGGATGGACGGAGGGGTGGGAATGTGAAGAGCTGAAATAGCTTCCCATGGGCAGGAGGGGAAGCCAGAAGAGCACCCACTGTGTGCAAGAGCTCTTCTGCAAAGCCTTCCTTCCAAAATAGGACCCGCCAAGTTCCAGGCAAGCTTCAGTCCCTCAGTCAATTGCAACTGCTTGAGTTTGTGCATTTCAGTTCCCCTCCCCTCCCGGAGCCTCTGCAAGACATGCTCTTCAAAGAAACTAGCTCCAGCAAATAAAATAATGAATCATAAATTTTATTTCAAAATGTAAACGTCACTAAACATGCATACACGTTAAAACAATAAAATTTACAATTTCGTTAATTTTTCTTTTTGCATAGGACATCATTACAATATAGAATCTATGCCATACAAAATACATACAAAGTTTTATCCGAGCAAGCCAAGGCCAGACTGGGAACTGTACAACTGTAATACTTCACTGTAGTGATCCAGGAAAGATGAAACGTGGCCTTCGGAATTATGGTGGGTGCTGGTTAAAAAAAAGTTCCTACAGAAAAGAAAAACATGAGCTCCATGGAAATGGTCTTGGACCCTTGGATTCTGCCTTGGGCTTTTGGCAAATGATTCCAGAGAAGCTCCACCAATGGCTTTGGATGGGAAGGGGTTGCCTGTGCGGGCCTGGGGCAGCTGAGACCCGGAAGCATGCACCCAACACATGCACACAAGCAATTCCCAGTCACCAAGGAACCACCGAAAGCCCCAAACCCGACAATGACAATGCATAGTTGCTCAGTAGTGCCTCCTTTCTGCTGAGGCTTTCCAGCCCCAGAGGCCTCAGCACTAGGCACCAGGGGCCTCTCTAGGATGAGGCCAGGGAGCAAAGTCTCCCACTCACACACCCAGAGGCAGGCACCTGGAGCCGGCACAGACGCTGGGGCTAATGAGCCCACGTGGTGTCTAGAGCCACATGGGAGGTGGCCTCTTGCTCCTCTCAGGGCAGCCAGGTACAAGGGCTCCTCTGCTGAGTGCATGGCCTGGCAGGCATTCGGCTCACACACCTGGTTTCCAAATAAGCACGCACTGCGACCTGTCCACGGGCCCTCTAGAAGAGGCCAGGGAAAACAGGACCCTGAGGCCTTAAGAAAGCTGTTCCCGTGCTCCCACCCCCACCCCCATGACTTCCTGCCTCCACCCCCCACCCCCCTCCCCGGAATGTGTGACTTGTAGGGTAGGGGACGCTACTTCTCTCCCATCCAGTTCATTTTTAAATAAAAGTAGTAAAGTTTTAAAGCTGTATGAGAAAGAGAGAGGCAGGGCAGGGCCAGGTGGCCGCACTGCAAGTCTGAAATCTTCATGGGGGTCAGTAGAAACCAAGCGCGACCCCTCTTCCCTCATGGACACCGGGCTCCCGTCTCCTGCTGAATTCAACTCTTCTGATGCTGAGGGACAGGACAGCAGGCAGGAGGCGGCGCCTCGCCCTAAAGGGTGCTCAGGCGTGTATCAGTAGTAAGGTGGACTATGCATCCAAGTTCTGGTACAAAGGTCTCCGGAATGTGTCTCAGACAAGCCTTCAGAGCCTCAGAATCAGGAAAATTAGTAATAGGACCTGGTTCTTCCTGGGGTAATCCTGATTTCAAAAACCATCAGCCCACGCCTCAGATTTTAGCTTTGGAAAATATGGTGACCAGAATTGTATATGGAAACAGTCAGCAAAAGATGTGGATAACCTACCAAGCGTTTCTTACTGGTTGTGATGTGACCAACACATTACACCCTTTAAACCTCTAGCACTGTGTCTTTGACTAAATGACCTTTTTTAAATGGGGGAAAGAAAATCAGTGACACCTGTCAGAAGTCAAAATAGGTAGCCCTGTACACACAGCCACAACCAGAAGCGGAGAAACAAGGCCACACTATTGCTCAGATCACATCTTCCTGTTGGGTGGCACCCCTGCCCAGCTGAGATCCTGAATGGGTCCCGAGGGAGTGCCGGGACCCTGTGCAGTCCATCTTAGCACCTGCTTCTGGCAAGAAAGAGGCTGGTCTTCTGGACACACCGGGTGGGGAGACAGAACACTTGAGGTCAAGTCCTGAGGCAGAGTGGCCAGCCCTCTCTGCCCATCCCCACCTCTGAATCACCCCTCACTGGTCTGAGCTGTGTTCAGGGTGCTGCAAGGACTGGGATCGCCAGTGCCTCAGATGTTTGTACCCGGAGGCTGCACCATGGCGAATCCTGCACCTGCCTCGGTGTGGGGCCTGGGAATAAAGTCAGGGTTAGGAGTGAGGCGATCTTGCACTCGAGTGTCGTGGGTGGGGGTGCAGCAGGATGCAGGTAGGGCACCTCCAGGACCATGTTCCCATCCAGGACATCTCTGCCCATTCCTATGCAGCATCCTGCAGGACAGGACCCCAGGGCTCTTTAAGGAAAGGGCTGTGTCCGTCTGTTTTCCTGTATGGCTGTAGGATCCAGTAGGCATTTGGGGAGCTGACAACCGTTCCCCTAATATGGCTGATGTAAAGAGGGGCTTCCTTGTCTGGGACAGGAGCAACACCAGCCCCTTGATGGCTGAGCCCCAGATCAATTTTAGGCCTTTTATAGGGGAACTCTCCCTTCACTCAGGCAACCTTCACTTTGACATCTCTGCCCCTATGGACCACGAGAACTGAAGTCCCAAAATAAGGGTTTGAGTTTTCACTATTATTTCTATGAGTCCTATGGGTTCCTCAACCCCACCAAAACTGGCAAGCATGGCCATAAACCACAAAAATGGAAGACCCTGAAATAGACGCAGTCTGGGAAAACATTCTGCATGTTTGAAGAAAATGGAGGCTGTTTCAGGAGGGTCCGCCTTGTGTGCCCGCCTCAGTGGAGGCAGCGTTCCAAGGCCCACCACCCTCTTCCACAGGAGTCCCTCACTTCATGATGAAATGGAAACCTGCCCTTGAGGACCCCTGTGAACCGTGCCTGAGATTCATGGGTTTCTCCCTGCCCTTCAAGCGAGATGAGTTTAAGCCGCAGATGATTCAGGAGGGTCTGGCCAGGAGTACCCAGGAGGATTTCTCTCCTGGTGCCCTACCCCCATTTCCCAGTCCAGGCCGGGGCCTAAGGACCGCACCCTGCCATTAAACGAGAACCACTTTGGGAATGAAGACACGCTCTTATGCCAAAAATAGCCAACGCCTGCATATTTCTGTTTTAAGGCAATGTTACCCTTCCATCTATCAGACGGAACAGCCCTGGGTCATTTAAAGGAAAAATTAAATTAAGTGCTCTCTTTGGAAACAGCCAACACCCGCTTCCCTCCCCCACCCCCCGCCCTGCTCTAAAACAAACCAGCTCTTCTTTTTATTCCAAGATGACTAGGTTTAGAGTCCTATCTTTTCCTTCCTATGTGCAGACAGATGTGGAGCTAGAAAATCTCCTTCCGTGACACCCTGGGCAGATCACAAGGACGTCTGACCCCTCCCTGGAGAGCACTTTGCCAGCCTCCCAGGGACGGGCCACTCCCTCTCCCTGCCTTGGGGAACGGTGGACGGTGAGTGCACCAAAGGACTTTGGAATAAAATTCCTGAACCTGGAATGTGAATTCCTGAGACATAAAATGTATTCAGAGTGTGGCTTTCTCTGCCTCACACGAAAACAACTTTGGGAGGGACCTCACTTTGGAACTGGGCATGAAGATCTTTGCACCACAAGCACCCAGGGCTCTCTTCTGTCAAGGTCCCTACCAAATATTCCACTCTCTCTCCCAGACCCAATGCAAGCAGGGAGGTCAGAGAGCCCCAACACAGCATGGCAGCCAGAGGGACCAGCTCCGCATCCAACCAGAGTGGAGGTGACCCTCTCCCTGCCAGTTCCCACCACAGCAGAAACAATGCCACTGCCCAATTTAGGGTCCATCGGTCTACCTAGAAGTCACCACCACGCTGTCGGCCAATCCCAGCTGACACACAGTGGTAAGAAGCGGGCACCTGACGGCATACTGTGCCTGAGCAGCTGCTGTGGACAGAGCGTACCTGTCCACTCTGGAGCCAGCCAAAACAGTGACCATCAGCTGTGGGCAGTGGCTAGGCCTGGGTCCTGGGTTTGTGCTGCACCCCATAGCATGGCAGGGCTGAGTAGAAGCAGGATGGCCACAACCAAGGCACGCTAGGCCCAGGAAGCCCATCTGTGGCCCTCTGAGGTCCCAGGGCCGTTCCTTTGCATCAAAATAGGTACTCATCAAAACAGGTATCTCTGGCAAGATACCCTGAGTCCACCCCAATCCCCCCACCCCCCCCAACACACGCGTGTGTGCTCACGCGCGCACACACCCACACGCACGCACACACTCTGTCCTGGGCCCTTGTATTTACAGGCCTCAACTCTCAGGAGGAAGGGAAGGTGATACCTGGGCCACAAGCCTGGGTCAACACTCCAGCCATCTGCAGAGGAGTTTGCTGGACCACGGCTTGACTGACCCCCGCCCAGGGCTCGAATCCCAGCCCAGGACCCAGCTCTCTGCTCCTCCTCTCCTGCCAGGAGAAGGCCGGTGATGGGGCACTGGAGCAGCCCCACCAGCTGGGTGTGGCCTGGAGCCTCCAGGCAGGACAAGGAGAAGCAGGAGGAAAAGGGAGGAGGAGTCCAGGGGAAACGGAGAGGCTGGAGGTTTGCTAAGTCTGAGTTGGGGACATGGTGGGTCTGAGAAAAGTGTTGCCCGCAACTTTCTATCTGGCATTCCCTGCGGAGGAAATAGAATGCGCGCTCTCCGACAGCATTTCCTGTAACATCCGCGCCACTCCTGAAAAGGTCCAAGTCACAATGTTCCGGTCTCTTGCTACAGAATGGTCTCTGTGAAGCATGGTGCGCTGCCACATGCACAGCCGCTCACACAGACCCTCTGATGAGGAGGCCCCATGACCTGCCCACTGTTTCCAACAAAAGTGCCCGTGCGGGCAAACTCGGAACTGGATGTGCCACCAGGAATTTCTAACATCTTTTTAGAAGACCAGAATTCCCCATCAGAGGCCCAGGTATAGTAGTGACAGGGTCCTGCATGCCTTCTGCTGGGACACGGAGAAGCGGAGTCCTGGCAGGTGTGACCCCGGCCCCTGCCTCGGAGGTCGGACGGTGCAGTGCTACGCTCAGCCAGGGCTGGCATCTCTGCTTCCAGTGCTCCCTAGCGCCGTAGGAGAGGGCTCCTGAAGGCGGGGTGTGAGGCAGGCAGGGTGCAGAGGGCTGAAGGCCCCCTCCACTATCCCCAAGGTGGAGTGCTCCTCCAGCCAGGGACAGCTTTAAGGCATCCCTCTGCAGGGGCCTGTCTCAGAATCAGCTGCGTTGCAAGCCCAGCCAGGCTCGTTGGGCAGAGGCCAGAGACTGGGTTGGGGGCTGGGCAGGAAGAGGTCAGGCCAGCTGCTTAGGAATCTGCCCTGGAGGCACAAACGTCAGTGAGCACATCTGCTCCCAACAGACCCACAGGCTGGCCAGCCAGCCAGACGCTGAGCTCCACCAGACTGGCTGGCCTGCTCTGTCCCCAGCGTGTTCCCGAACCTAACAGAAAACTCCAGAGTGCAAATCTATGTACAGAGTAAGGCGGCAGGAAGGGGTGTCCTCACTGACCTCGTGAAACGTGTCCATCCCTGAGAAAGGGGGTTCAACAACGCTGAATCTCAACTTTGTGGGTGTATCTATTGTGCAATTTGGTGGGTGGTGTTTTTTGAAATTTTTGTGTTTTTTTTGTTTTTTTAACAAATTTACTTTGACACCTGAGGTGAAAAAAATTGTTTTTTCGTGGACTTTGCATCAAGTTCTCTCTCTTCTTTCTTATTACAAAAGGAAAGGCCAGGGACTCACGAGGGGGTGGGAGCGGCTGCTCATGGCTGTGGCGGGCTCAGGGCGAGCTGGCCGGGCTGATGGTGGGGCTGCTGGCGTCGGAGCGGCTGTAGTCGCTGAGGGAGCCGGTCCGCGAGCCCCCGCCGCGCCGCTGCAGCATTCCCGGGTGGAAGTTGGCGTGGCGGCGCGCGTGCTTGGTCAGGTGGTCGCTGCGCATGAAGCGCTTCTCGCAGATGGGGCAGCTGAACTTCTTCTCGCCCGTGTGTGTGCGGTAGTGCCGCGCCAGCTCGTCGGAGCGCGCGAACTTCTTGTTGCAGTCCTGCCAGCTGCAGGCGAAGGGCCTCTCACCTGTGGGCACAGGGGCAGAGCATCAGTATCCGCACCTGGCCCCGCCTTCACACCCTCTCTGGGGAAGGGCCCGCAACACCCAACACCCTGGTCTCTCAACACCCCTCCCACATGCCCCACCTCCAAGAGCTTCTGTGACAAATCCATCAAGGCAGAGATGAAGGTGGGCCCCTGCCCTCCCGCCCACGCCTGGGATGGAGGCAGAGGACACGGCCTAGGATAAAACAGCATTTCAGGTGCTGAAGCTGCAGGGCCCATGGGTAGGTACAGGTCAGGGCCCCAGGCTCCTGGCAGTGGACCCCCTAAGTACACCACAAAGCAGGCTGCACTACACACCCATGCCGGGCCAGTGGTCTCCAACGCCTGGGGGTTGCAGGCCCATGCCCTGGCTTCACAGGCCTCCCGGAGTCCAGCCGCCCATGCTGCTCCATGGGAGCCACACTCTGCACCCCTGCAGGGCAGGAAGGCAATTCCCATTCTGACCCTCCTCAGTCTAGTCTGTCACATGAGAGGGTCAGCGTAGGTGAGTTCCGGGGCCTGGAATTCTACAACCAGTCTGCTGCTCCTTCTCTCACAAAAGTCCCAAAGTGACCAACCAGGGACGGCTGGCAGAGCAGGAGAATGAAACAGCCTCTTGCAGACCCAAGTGTGGTGACAGACAAGGGCAGCAACCCAGAGCACCCCATTATAGGGGCCTGTGCCGGTAGGGAGGAGGCAGAACACAGTGGGGTGGGAGGTAATGAAGGTTGGCTACGGTCAGGATGCTGCTCCCTCCTTCCCATCCCTCACTCGGAGCGGGAGACAGGCCAGCATTTACCCAGGCAAACTCAACACACAAAACTCTGAATCACAAAAATGACATCAACTGCTCAGGAAGAACCAGGGTGGGGGGCTCTGGCACCCCAGAAACGAGCCCTTCTTGTATTAGGGGTGGCCGCAGGGCTGCCCTTCCTACACGGTCTCATCCCCTCTCACCCCCATACAGACCCTAAAGTGACTGCCAGTCACTGAAGCTGGTCTACCCATGTTCAACAGAGGAAACCCACTCACCCACCCACCTTAAACACAAGCAGATACCCAGGGATGGCCAGACAGCCAGGGAGAACCAGCAGCATGGAAAAGAAAGGCCAAGCGCAATGCAACCACCAACTCTAGAGGAAAAGAGTGAAGCCAGGAAAGAGAAGAAAATTTTAACTTGAAATTTCTGATTAGTATTCTCTGAGGAATTTGAGATGAAATTTGATGCAAAAGCAAAGAGGATACCATACAAAGAAGTTCAGAGAGCAAAAACGGCCAGGCGCGGTGGCTCATGCCTATAATCTCAGCACTTTGGGAGGCTGAGGCGGGTGGATCACTTGAGATCAGGGGTTTGAGACCAGCCTGGCCAACATGGTGAAACCCCGTCTCTACTAAAAATACAAAAATTAGCCAGGTGTGGTGGTGTGCACCTGCAATCCCAGCTACTCGGCAGGCTGAAGCAGGAGAATCACTTGAACCTGGGAGGTGGAGGTTGCAGTGAGTCAAGATTGTGTCACTGCACTCCAGCCTGGGCAAGAGAGCAAGGGTCTGTCTCAAAAAAAAAAAGCAAAAACAACAGCATTTAGGAATTGAAAACAGCATTGTGTGCATATAAAACTTTCATATAAAAGCTGGAAATATACTCAAAGCAAATATATGAGAAAAAAAGAACCAAAAAACAGTTCTGGAAAATATGTGGATGTCACGATGTTCCGTCTCCTGGTACTGCTGAAGCAGGGGCCGTGTGTGGGTACACTTGCTCTCTTTATTGATTTTACATGTTGGGGGAAAGGGTGTTGGGGGGATTCAAAATCAAGTAGCCACCACGATTTCCCAAATACACGACAATTACAATCAAGTGAGAAAACAGAAAACATGGAGAAGAAATTACAAAAGAAATAATAGAACAGTCTCTGTCAAAGAGTAAAAAAAAAAAAAAAAAAAAAAGAAAAAGGAGACAGGAAACTAACATGAGACAGGCTGCACAGAGGTGGACCAGGTAAATGAGTTAAGACCTCTGCTGCGAGAAGCTCTGCAATGTCAGAACACTGAGTAAAAACAGGAGCTCTCACAGCTTAATAGAGAGAGGGGGAAGAAACAAACACCAGGTCATCCACAAAGGAACAAGGCTGGGATAGACATCAGACTTTTCCTAAGTCACACTGGATCCTGAAGACAAAGGAACAGGGCCTTCCAAGTTAATGTCTCACACACTCCAGCTAAAATGAGATAAAACCAAGGAGCTAGAGACATGACTGAATAGTAAAGGGCCATTGCATGACAAGAGTGAGGCAGAGACCCCGGGAGGTCACTGGAGCACAGGACCAAGACTCACGGGGGAAAATTCCAGGAGGAAAGTGAGTTTTGTGCACCAGAGAGTACCATCAAAAGGCTGGGTAAACTTCAGGACCCAGTAAAGACACACCACTCTTCTTTGTTTAAAAGAAAAAAGAGGCAATTAGAAACTCCAGGAAAAATAAAAGACATACAAAAAAATTGTGGTTCAAATTAGATGTAAACGAAAATGCCTCATGATTATGGGTCAAGAGCTCCGAGCCAAGCTCGGTTCTAGGGGTTTTTCCTATGCTCTATTATTTATTCTTCACAACAACTCCATGAGGTGGTGGCAGGAAATGTAATCCCAGCACAGGCCCTGCTGATGGAAGCAAACTTTACACAGTTGTGGTCATGCTAACCTTAGCACTAGTTGTCAATGTTTCAGAACCAATCCTATAAACAAAGGCCATACAACTGACCTGTGGGCCCAGCAGAGAACATGGATTTAAGGGAAAAGTTGGAATGCACACAGTGTGCAAAGAACGTATCTAAATGAAACACAGAGATTTAAAATTACAAAGATAGTCAACAAAATAAGTAAAATAATACATCCATCAATTTAGGAAGAGTTGGAGGGGAGGGATAGGAGTCAGGTAAATCCTTAAATTTCATGGCAGGAGGATAACAGAAAATATCTAAATTTGATAAATCAAGAAACAGCAGTAAAATACAGTTCATTTATGGCAGTAACCATCAAGACAACTAAAATCAGAAAAGAAGTGTTGCTGTCTAGGGAGTGGGGCTGGACTGGTGAGAGGATTTTTTTTGTTGCAAGCTCCTCTGTGTTATGGGTATCTATCTATCTACCTATCTATCTATCTATCTATCTATCTAATCTGAGATAGAGTCTTGCTCTGTCACTGCAGCCTCCACCTCCCAGGTTCAAGTGATTCTTCTGCCTCAGCCTCTCGACTAGCTGGGATTACAGGCGCCTACCCACGCTCGGCTAGTTTTTATATTTTTAGTAGAGACAGAGTTTCACCATGTTGGCTAGGCTGGTCTTGAACTCCTGACCTCAAGTGATCTGTCTTCCTCAGCCTCCCAAAGTGCTGGGATTACAGGTATGAGCCACACGCCTGGCTTGGGCCTTTTAAAAAAATCCTATGTATTTGTTTCTTCCATAACAAGAAGAAGAAGTGTTTAAATATAGTTCCTTAAATATCTAGTCCAATATTTCCCAAAACATGTTCAAAGAAATGTTATCATTGTATAAAACTGTTTATCGTTTCCAGAAAAAAAATTTTGTCAACTAAAGAGTGAAAATGTTGCATGATAATTCCACTCTTGGAGATTCACAACGCACACTAGTCATTAAAAGCTTGGGAAAGTCCAGCATTAAATGGTTTAGCATTAACCATGTCAGGTCTGACAGATGAGGTTCAGACCCTGTTTGCCCTGAGTTGTGACGCTATGGCCTCGAAAAAGCTCCGTGCTGCCAGCAGTAGGGCAGATAATGGTCCCCCAAAAGATATAGCCAAGTGATAACCCTCCAGAACCTGTGCATGTGATCTTATCTGGAAAAAGGGTCTTTGCAGATGTAATCAGGTCAGGATCTGGAGATGAGCTCCCAAGTGTGGAGCATGGAGAAGAGGGGAGGGGAGTGAGGGAGACGGGGAAGGCAGCAAGTGAGAAGGGGGAGAAAGGGGGCAGGGGAAGGAAGGGGAGGTATGGAGTGGATTCTCCCTCAGAGCCTCTGGAAGGAATTAACCCTGCCAACACCTTGATTTCTGGAACTGTGAGAGAGTAAGTTTCGGTTGCTTTTCAGCCACCCAGTTTGCGGTAATGTGTGACAGCAGCCACAGGAAGTGAGCACACTGCCCCGTCCTCATGCGGGGGGTCCATACAGTGATCCCATGGGGCTGCGCACGACCGGCCTCAGCACAGCGCCTGGCACGTTCCAAAGGTCCACTCCTGAAATCTCAGCTGTTATTGTTGCTCTTAGTCATTAGCCCTGTCAACTGGGTCTCCTCTGATTTGGGCCTGTTGGTGTGGGGGGAAGCCAACCCAAATTCAGACTCAGCCTTGCTTCCTAATAGCCCTTGTGAGGAGCCTTGTCCTTTAGCTTCTTCTGCCTGCAGGCTGGGGAAGCATGTGAGGTACACAGAGCTACAGGTGGACCACATGGTGTTGGGGCCGCAGAGAAATGCAGCATCCAATGGATGGGACGTTGGTGCCAGGCAGCCTGGAGTGGAGGAAGGTGGGTGTTGGGTGCAGCCACTCCACCAGCACAGCTCTTGGCCTCCCTATATATCAGGAGCTTTATGCTTTGACAGGGCACATACTGGGTGCCTGGCCCAGAGACATGGTCCTGACCCAGGCAGACGCGGCCCCCACGGCTCCATTCTCTGCTCCTCCCTCAGCCTGCTGCAGAGAGGTGACGGCCAATGAACTGGCCCACAACAGGAGTTATGGCTCAGGCTAGCAAGGAGCAACACTGGGTCTGGCTGGGTCCCCTGGTAGTGACACTCAGGCAGCACCCAGGAGGCTGACAAGGAGCAGCCCAGAGAAGGGAGAACGGGTGGAGGCGGGAACAGGGAGCAACATGCCCCAGGCCACTTTCACCCACATGATCCGCAGGGAGCCCCAGGAGCTTTCCTGTATGTGGGCGGGAGCCACTGCTTTCATCGTATTAGAAATTACAAATTAAAATGGAAAAAAGGTCTTCAACCCAAGCACGCATTCCAGTCGTCGTGGTGCTGTCACACATCCTGTAGCATCTGCAATAGCCTACTGTACTCTTTTGGGAGAATGAGGCAAACAGTGCTATTGTTATGAAAACAGTTTTGATCTCATGGCCCCTCTGAAGGGTCTGAGGCACCTGCGAGTGTCCTCAAGCTTCACTCTAAAAACTGCTGTTATGGGGACAGACTCCAGGCGGGGCTGCGTGCAGCCGAGTACAGTGAGCACAGGGGGGCACACAGTGAGGTGAGGGGCCAGCCAGGCCCGGCCCTTCAGGGAGTGAGCCCGCCTCCCATTCTAAGGCAAAGGGAGCCCAATGGCCTAAACAAATCCAAGCACCCTCCTTGCTGGGCTCAAACCCTGCATCTGCCTCCACCCGGGCATGGGGTACACAGACAGCAACAGCAAGACAGGGACTCACCAGGACAGGAGCTCCCTCTAGCTCCAAAATGACAAGAGAACCAGTAGGAGATTCCAGACTCCTGCAGAGGAGCTCCTAGCCTTCCTGCCGGATCTCAGAGTCACTCCAGCTCCCCAGGTGGGAGGGCCCCAGGGGTTCTGGCTATGTGTGCCTGTGCCTGTGCATGGGGTGGGGGCCGTGGGACAAGGCGGGGTTAGGCCTTGTGAGAAGACTTGGTGAGAGGAAGGGGGCTGGGGTCAAGCCTGGAGGGGCACTAGGTGCCCTGGAGCCCTGAAGGGAGGCTGTAGGAGGGTTGGGGGAACTGTGGGGAGCTGGGAGAGGGGCTAAGCCATGCTGGGGTTTGGGGGTCCTACAGGTGCCAAGCAGAGGGGGGACTCTTCGGGTACCAGGCTGCATGGCCGGGTGATGCAGGGTAGGGGACCGCATGCAGTTGCGGGGAGAGTGGGGTGGGTGGGGATTGGAGTATGGTTGGGCGGGGCAGCTGCTCAGGGCTGCGCGTTACATAAATGTTCCCTGGCGCCACAGCGAGGCCGCGAGCGGAGCAGCGCCCCGAGTGAGAGCAATTGCCTCATCTTATCAGGAACACAGCGTCCCACATGCTGCTCTTGCCCAAGCCGCAGGCCCAGGCGGGGACAACGTGTTCTCTCAGAGAGCCAGCCGGAAGGGGGGCGCAGGGGCTCTCTCTCCTTCAGCTGAGCCCCCAATCCGCCTCAACACCCAAGTCCCAGGCCCTCCCCTCTCCCCCACAGCAGCCACATGCAAATGCAGCCAGCTCAGGAGTGTGCGTGCTCCAGCTCAAAGCCTGAGCTCAGACTCGGGCTGTGGCATGGACTCCACTCTGCTCTGCCCTCCTGCGCAAAGGGCACGCTCCAAGTTATCTCCTGCAATCCAGCCTTAGCCAAACTCCCCCCCAACCCCCCACAGGTGAGTGGGCCCCCCCACCCCACCCGGCTCCAGCTGCACCTGTATAAACCACACTGCAGATCTTTCTGTCTGCGAACCTCCTGTGGGAAGCCTGTTGAGTGGTCATTTTTGCAATGTTTCCAATGCCCGGTACCAAGCTGGGGCCAGAGCAGCGTCTGCCGCAAGGGCCTCTTCTGCCGGCCTCCTGCTGGGTCTTCTCTAGGAAGCCTCGCTGAGCTCCCCTTCATGGAAGGGAGAAGGGAAGAAATGCAACTCCTACCGGGAGGTCCTGGAAAGGCAAATGAGCCATCACCCTCACAGGGATGTCTTGGATACAACAGACCTCTGGAGCGCAAGGGTCCATGTGGGTGTGTATCTGGAGGCAATGGCAGGGGCAGCGCTGGTCAGACTCAAAGGGAGGCACAGGGAGAGGCTTCCAAAGAGAAATTGCTTGCCCTCAGGCTCCCAGGCCACTGTCCCCAGTCTCCAGGTATTCCCCACCAGTGAGTGGGCTGTCATTCACTGATGGACAGCTCTGCCCTGTGGGCACTGGTTTGGGGCCACTTCTAGCTCCCAACCTCAAGACTGCAATGTTTTTCACTCCAGGAAGACTGTTCACCCTCCTGTTCTGGAGCAGGTCAGCATGGCCAAACACAGGGGCTGATCAACTGCTGGCCTCCAATGAAACTCAGGCATACAGCCTCAGGGGTAGCAGAAAGGCCTGGCCTCTGTGGTGGGGGGTGGACTTCCTAACTCCTTAGGAGGCCATTTGACTGTCCTGCTCGTCTCTAGAAATGTTAGTGGTTTATTAAGCCACATGGAGCTGACATGCACATGGCTTCGCAGGAAGTCCAGGTTGGAAGCTCTTACCCACCCACTGAGCAGGTAAGGGAAGTGAGGCCCAGGAGGAGAGAGTGAGCTGTCATTCAGCTGGCTGGCGCCAGAGCTAGAGCCGCAGCTGGAACCTGCCTGGGGCAAGGAAGCAGCCTGCTCTACCTCCACTCCTTTGTTGATGCCTCAGGGATTGTCATCCAGCCTGTTTCTCAGTCACTGTGAGGGTTAAGTGGGAGAATACGTGGGGCACATGCCTGCTGCACAGTGGTGCTTGGAGGAGATAACAATGTTATCACCTATGGGCCAAGGGGCCCCGGGAAGCATGTTTGTGAGCCGCCCAGTAGTGAAAGAGACATGGGGGGCAGGTGTGCCCTGTCCCAGGCGCTCTGGTCTAGTGCCGCTGATCACACACTACTATCCACTCTTCACATGCAAGAGCTGGCAGGGTGCTGAAGCCTGGCTGGAGACTGCCACAGTGTCGGAGGCAACACTGCTTCAGTGAGAGAATCCTCCTTGGGCAAATGTGTGGCTCCACATTTCTACAATGCTTGCGAAGATATTTTTTAAAGTAGGCATTTTTCTTGTTGCTTTGCTTTGTTTTCGAATAGGATAACTTGATCCTAAAAATTCATACAGAAAAACACACAGTAATAGCCAGAAAAAAATCCTGCAAAACAATGACGTGGGGGAAACGAGACCACCAGGATTCAACACAGTTTCGTAAGCTGATCACTGGCCAGTGAAGCCCAGCAGAAATGGCAGAATTAGAACGAAAGGTAGTGGTAACTGTGCAAAGGACAGAGTGACATCTCGAACCCCTAGGGCAGGGAGCAGTCAATACATGTTATGAGGACACTTCGGTAGCATCTGGAAAGGCTGGGTTCATACTTCCCACCCTACACCAGGATAAATTCTAAATGGGTCAAAGATTCTAATGTGAAAAATAAAACCACAAACATTCTAGGAGAAAACTGTAAGACAGAAGTTCCTTCTATGAATCAAAGTCCACAAACCATAAAAGAAAAGACTAAAGGCTGGGCATGGTGGCTCATGCCTGTAATCCCAGCACTTTGGGAGGCTGAGGCAGGAGGATCACCTGAGGTCAGGAGTTCAAGACCAACCTGGCCAACATGGTGAAACCCCGTCTCTACTAAAAATACAAAATCAGCCGGGCGTGGTGGCGAGCGCCTGTAATCCCAGCTACTCAGGAGGCTGAGACAGGAGAATCACTTGAGCGTGGGAGGCAGAGGTTGCAGTGAGCTGAGATCACACCACTGAACTCCAGCCTGGGTGACAGAGTGAGACTCAGTCTCAATCAATCAATCAATCTATTTGACTGCACAAAACAGTATACTATACTTCTCCATGAACAAAGTCACCATAAACAAAGGCAAGAGATAACTGACAAAACTGAGAGAAAAAATATTTGCAGCTCCTATCACAAACGGCTAATCTCCAATACAGAAAGAGCTCACAGGAATTTTAAAAAGAAAAATATCCAACAGAAAAATGGGCAAAGCCCATTCATAAAAAAGGAACTACAAATGGCTCTCAAATGCATGAAAAGATGCTCCACCTCATCCATCAGGAGCTAATGGCAGATGAGACACACTGAAATGCAGCTTGGTAGCTTATCACCTTGGTGAGGCTGCAGGTAAGCAGGCATTCTTTGCTGATGGGAGTACAAACTGCTACAACCTCCATGGAGGGCGATTTGGCAATACCTATTAAAATTAGAAATGTGCACACCCTTTTACCCACATCTGAACTTTTGACATCCTAGCCTACAAACGCATTTGCACACCTACAAAACGGGATATGCTCCTGATTAGTCAATGCAGCAGGAACCTGAAAACAACTCATGTCCTTCCACTGGGGCCTGTCAAATAAATTATGGAACGCACATATAACAGAACACTATCGCAAAGAAGTAGAATGAGTTCTTTACAAACTGATATGGAAAGATCTCCAAGCTGAGTGAGGAAAACAAGGTTGAGGAGAGATGACCAGCAAGGATCTACGTGCGCCTTGGCCTGTATGTGCAGAGAGAGGGTCCCTAGGAAAGTAGGAACAGAGATCACCCAGGGGAACACTGAGCAGATGGAGAACAGGGAAGGTTGACAGAATTTTCCCTGGGGAAACTACTTAAATCTTTTAGATTCTAAAACACACAAATGCATTTCCTATTCAAAAAGTTAAATTCAAAACAAAAAATCCATAGCAAACTAGAAAATGCTAGCCATCAATAATGCCAATTTAAAAATCAGACATTCAACACTCTGGGCACATTACTGGCCCCATTCTGTATTCCCTATTTCAAAGCACAGTTCCTCATATTACCCCAAGAGCTCTCTTAAAATAACAATGGTCGCCCAGGCAGATTCTCCTCAGAATGTGCTGGGCAGTGGCTTCCAGGATGAGAAACTCAAAAATAGCAATAAAGTCCAATCTAGCTTTGTAGGAGATGTTCCCAGGGCAGGGCTCCAGGGCTTTAGAGCCCCTGGGTCACGCTGCAAACTGTCCTATTGGAGAAGGGCCCTCCCTGATAAATTGTTTGATAGGCCCAGCAGTTTAGAACGGGTCAGACCTAAAAGGCTATGGGTGACAAATATTCAGCAAAGGATTTAAACAGAAGCAGTTCCAGAGTTGTAATTCCACGTCAGAAGCCCCCTTCAGGCTCCTGAATACCACACTCCTGCCATAAGACCACTTTGTGACACCACTGTGGGCTGAAAATTAGCCCAGGTGGATGGCAGCTAGGAGAGCCAAGTCCATCCAGCCACTAGGATGCAGATCCCAAGTGCCACTGTAGGGGCTCATGAGGAGTAGGAACCAGGGAATCTGTGGACTACTGGGAAAGGGTTTTCTCTTGCACCAAGAGAAAAGGAAGGAGGGAGGGAGGGAAGAAAGAGGGCAGAGCACGTGGTGGGTAGGGAAAGGGACACAGTATGGAAAGGCCTCTTGGGCCTGCCTCTGGCTGTGACGTCTGGGGTGGGGGGTGGGGGGCACCAGCCTTGACAGTCACAGGGGAGATCTGCAGAATCTCACAGAGAAGTCCAACTGCTTCTTGACACGAACAAGCACCTGCACAGCCAGCCCCAGCTCTGCACCCCAGGTGCCCGTGCTCCCAGCCGGCTCTCTAGGCAACTGAGGGAGGGGCCCCTGTCTGCAGAGCCTTTGGCAACCATCGTGGCCCACTTCCTCTTCCTGTGTCTCCCCTCCCCCAGCCTTCATTTCCTCCCCCTGCCCTCTCCTTCTGTGTCTCCTGGGGGGGACCTTGCCTGCAGGGACCCCACCCTGCTAAGCTCTGCTACAGACACTCAATGGCACAAACAGCTGCATGTACACTCTTTACAGGGGTGCAGCTTTTACTTTTGGCCTGCACTGGGCTCATCTGACTCTACCAACCCGGAAGACAGGAAAGTGTTGATGTGAAACCCTTGTCAGAGGTGAGAAACCAAGTGACCTCACCAAGGTAACACACCCAGAAGGGTGGGCCTGAGGCTAGGCTACACCGGGAAGAAAGACATTCTCACAGCCCCTCCCCAGCATGGAACAGGAACACTGCTGCCCACGTTCACGTTCCAGGAGGAGCAAGCAGGGGCACCCACCCACAGTGCGGCGAGGCTACCCTCTGCACCCAGGGGCCCCTGCTGCCCCCACAGCCAGGCTCTACGAGGCCTATTTCACGGCAGGCTTGCCCAGGCTGGGGGCATGTGGGCCTGAGGACCTGTGGGGGACCTCCACGGTCCCCAGCTCCCCTGCAGCAGGAGGCTGCAGCTGAGGAAGGAGCCAGGCAGTTCCCTGGAAGGGCCCAGCGCTACCAGGCAGCGCACTCAAAACAATGGCACTCAGAAGCCCTGGAGGAGCCTCGGCAGGCTCCTCTTCCAGGCCCAGCACCTGCCACCTGGCCGGCTCCAGGTGCACAGCAGGCTCAGTTTTCTCAGGAAAAATGTGGCAAGGTTTCCAGCAGAATATAACGAAACAATGTATTCTTCAGGGTTGGTTTCACAAAGTAAATACATCCGAATTAAAATGAGCTTGTAATTTGGACGACGGGCCTAAAAAACGCCTTTGGTTTTTGAGGGAGCCGAGACAAAACAACAACAACAACAAATTAGACAACGGTCTGTTTTTTCTGAAACAGGTGAACAGTGCCGGGGCTTCTGCTAGGAACCTCCAGACCCCCAGGGAGGAGCTAGAAAGCCCCCAGACCTCTCCTGCAGCAGCCCAGGCCCATGGAGCCACCAGGGGCTCTCGGTCTTGCCCACTAGGAGCAAGTTACCCCTACCCTTTGGGAAAGCCCTTGTGTTCAAAAACCCTCTTGCAGAGAACAGGTGACCTGGCAGCCCCGGGCCCTGTCCCTCAGCCCTGCCCGCAGGTCTAGTAGCCCCCTACATCCTGCTCAGGCTTGTCGCAGCCTAAGTGCGTTGGAGAGGGCCTGAAACAGAGCCCCACTGCCTGCCATGTGGGGAGACCAGTGCTCTGGGGGGCCACCTCTTCTCAGGAGACAAAGCCCACCCTCTTCCCGGCACAGGCCTGCCCGCTGCATGTCCGTGCCCACACCTTCCTCCCTGTATCCTGCTGGCCCTGTTTCCTAAGCCCTTCCCTGTCCTAACCTAGAACAGGGCCCTAACCTTAAGGCAGCTGACCCCAGGGACACCAGCCGGGAAGAAAAGCAGTGCCACACTCTGCACTATCCCACGGCCAGGCCCCCAGAAGCTTCAAGGTTGGAGTGACCCCCTCTGCAACAGCTCTGTACGGGACTCCAAGACCTGAGGCTACCTAGGTCTGCCTGATGCCAAGGGAGGGCTAGCAAGAGCTGGGAGGAGCCACTGGGGCAGGAACCCTGTTCTGTGTCCTACCTGCCTCCCTCCCCCAAGACCACAACATGCGGGGTGGAGGGCTCAGCGCTCCTTGGTGTCATCCCCAAGGTTACTGGAACCAGGCTTCACAATCTGTTGGATGGGGTAGACGAGGGAGAGTAAGCACACGGAGCCAGCCCAGCTGTCTCTCTCGAATGTTCTTCTGAACCACCAATGTGAGCTGCTGATAAACAGCCCCTGGGAACGTGGACAGGGAAGAAAACAGACTACCAAGTGGCTGAGCCCCACCCTCAAATGCACACATGAAATGCATATGCCAGAGCTCTAATTGCAGGAAGGAAACAGAGGTTACCTCAGGAAGATGGGATTTGTGTGTGACTGTCCTTTCTGCATTTCTGCCTTCATCAAATGAATCACTTTGGACAGTCAGAATTAATGCAATAACACTATGTAACAAAGTGGTGTATGTACACACACGTACCTTTCACCCAAGCTCCAGCTCACCACTGGGACTGCTTCCACAGAACCCAGCACCCCAATCCCTAAGAAGGGAATAGCACTAGTTTGCATGAACCAGTACACTGCCTGGAAAGGTTAAAAGGACCACATGCCAGAATTTCATAAAGGTGTTTGCTCTCCTTTTGCTAAGGGTTACAAAACACACTTGAAAATTTCCGTTCTCAAGGTCCCTTTTAAAAACAGAAATAATAGAATACCAATGGTTTCTGCCAACAGAAGGCCAGAAGCCACCTGAGACAAGGGCTCTGGAGCTTCTCTCCTTCACGCACACCCGAGTCACAACCCTTATTGCTCCTCAATGGATAAGTAGGGAGACGTATATCGGCCCCTTGCCACAGAAGCTTCCAGATCATGGATTGTGCAAGTGAAGGCCTTCTCCAGATGAACGGTGCTACCTGTGGACTCATGAGAGCTGAACCCAAAGAACAGACATTTCCATTTCCTTTCCATTGTGAGACCCTCATCACTAGCTGCCTCCCAGGGGAAGCCAGAAGCATCTTCCCTGAGCACGGTAGGGTGACGCATGTCCAGCTGACCCCACTGCCCCCGCCTTTCCTCTGCCATCTTGAAGGGAATGTTCCCTGGCTTCAGGAGCCAGTGTGCGGTTAACATCCTTGTTCTGGGCATCGGGAGGCAATGTGACTGCTTGCGTACCAACACAGCCCTGATGGCTGGTGATAGCCCAGGGGTGACATTCCTATGCACCTCTTCAGATATTTTCTGAAACACAAGGCAAGACAGGAATATGAGGTTGGAATCCACAATTACAGAGCCAGGTTTATTTAGCTGATAAAAATGCTCTTCATTTGAGGCTGATCAAAAGTAAAGGCAATTTGTATCTAAAATACATAAAGAACTCAATCTCAACAATAAGCAAATGCCAATTTAAAAAATGAACAAAAGATCTGAACACTCTTACCAAAGAAGATAGAGAGATGGTAAACAACTGTGTGAAAAGGTGTTCAGTGTCATTTGTTATTATGAAAATTCAAATTACAACGAGATATCACTATACATATTTATGAGAATGGTTAAAATCCAAAACACTGACAATACTAAATGCTGGTGGAGCAACTGGAGCTCTCATCCATTGCTGCAAGCATGTTAACCACAGGGGAGCTGACCAGCCACTTGGGAAAACGATGTTTTGACAGAAACTGTAAGAATGCAGACAATCGCAACTGTACTATAGTCAACCTGCCAACCTTAGGTTTGGACCCCCTCCTTCCACTGCACAACTGTCTTCTTGTGAGCTGCCTTCAGTTGCTTCCAGGATATTGCTGGATGTATCTCTGGCAAACTCCTGGATAACATTGTTGGGCAAGAACAAAGGAGATGCTGGCTGCCCAACAGCTGGACAACTCTCAGCCGCCCCCTACCTAGTGCTTACCTTACCCTCATCTCTCCCCACGCCTCCTGCACTGGACCAAAGGCCTAACAGGAACTCTGGATAAAGCTGGCAGGTCAGGCACAGGCACCCACCACCCTTCCAGCCCCAGATCCCACTACAATGAAAGAAAGTGGATTTTAACAGACAAAGCAAAAGGGAAAGAGAGTAACAAAAATAATCTGGAAGCAAGAAATTAGAAAGACAGCAGAGAAGGCAAGGAAGCAATCCACGTTTCCCCACAAAGGCTCGGGAGTCTCTGGCGGGGGTGGGGGTGCAGTTGGTGGGGGGCACCTGAACATCAGATAAAGCAGCTGTGGACACAAGGTCTTTCCTCACCTTACAGATGGCTGCTTGCCCTTCCTGCACCTGCCAGGAACCAGAGGCTGACTTTCTGGGAGGGTCTACACAGGAGGGAGCTCTGGACTGACGACTCCAGACCCAGCTCAGAGTAGGGCAGCCTCCAGAACAGGGGTGTGGGGAACAGCCCACTCACAGAGTGCTGCCTCCCAGCTTCTCTCCCAGTGTGCAGCAGGACCACCCTCCCTCCCCCAGGCAGGAGCAGAACACTCCTCTTGGGGGAAAACCCGGAAGGAGATGGCCCAGTAGACCACCCACAGGAGGCCACCGTCGCTGAGCCTGATGGGCACCCAGAAGCCCCCACGCAGCTCGAGGCTCTCTGGGCCGTGTCACCAGACATCAAGGATCAGCAGACAATGCAGAAGAGCCTGACGTGGGTGGGCAAGAGACCCAGACCAAGGAGCAGAGACAGGTGATGTGGAGGGAGCAGAGGCCACGCAACGAGAAGACTTCCAGAGCTGTCACTAACATCCTCACCGCATAGACGGCCTGGCGGAAACAAGAACCGCATGTGCCTTTAAAAGGGAAGCTTAGAAACCTGAGTTTGAAAGCAAAGGCTTAGAAACCTGAGTCTGAAAGTAAAGATACAGAAGGAAAAATGTGGCAGAAATAAAAATCCCAATAGCAGGGTTGGGAGAGAACACTGAGAGAATTTCACAGAAAACAGAGCAAAAATACAAATGGATGGGTAAGAGGGAAAAAATATGAAAATGTAAGGATCAGACCAACAGCTCCAAATAAAAGGAACTGCAGGCAGCCCTGAGAACACAGGAGGTGAGGTGATCGTGAAGAAAGTGGCAAGAATGTTTTCCAGATGCCACCCGACGGGCCCGCTGCAGAGGACAGAGCTTGGCCAAGCACCTCCACACACGTGCACACCTCCAAGCCCTGGTAAAGGCACAAGCCCAAAAGGCCCTGAGAGGCAAAGAGACCGGGAGGTGCACACAGCCAGAATCAGAAAAGCTTCAGTCTTCTCCACAGCAACATCAGAGCTCCAAACCGCACGAGTAAACCATTCCCACCTATGATTCAACCCAGAGAAACGTGAATCAACCTCAGACCAGGATCAAGACATTTCCAGACATATAAGCCTTAAAACAATGGCCTCCCATTCTCCTAAGTGAATTAACGCAGGAACAGAAAACCAAACACTGCATGTTCTCACTTATTTTTTGAGACGGAGTCTCGCTCTGTCGCCCAGGCTGGAGTGCAGTGGCGCGATCTTGGCTCATTGAAACCTCTGTCTCCCGGGTTCAAGCGAGTCTCCTGCCTCAGTCTCCTGAGTAGCTGGGATTACAGGCGCCCGCCACCACGCCCAGCTAATTTTGTATTTTAGTAGAGACAGGGTTTCACCATGTTGGTCAGGCTGGTCTGAAACTCCTGACCTCAGGTGATCCATTCACCTTGGCCTCCCAAAGTGCTGGGATTATAGGTGTGAGCCACCGCGCCCGGCCAGTTCTCACTTATAAGTGGGAGCTACACACTGAGTACACAGGGACACAAAAGAGGGAACAGCAGACACCAGGTCCTACTTGAGCGGGGAGGGAGGAGGGTGAAAGACTGAAAAACTACCTATCGGGTACTATGTTTATCACCTGGGTGATGAAATAAGAACATCAAACCCCGTGACATGCAATTTACCCATGTAACAAACCTGCACATGTACCCCCAACCCTAAAATAAAAGTCAGAAGGAAAGGAAAAATGGCCTCCAGTGCACCCCTTCCAGGAGGCTATGCAGCAGGAGCTCTGCCAAGAAGCAGATGGCAGGGGCTCCAGGAAGTGGGGCCTGGATGGTAGGGGAGGGGTCCCAGGATGACAGCCAACCCCCACAGAGATGTTATCCAGGCCACACGGAGCAGGCCACACTGGGTGTGTGGGGACAAATGGGGGGCTGGGGGTGTGGGGACAACAGCACTGGGAAAACCAAGCAGAAATGGCAACTATTGAGTCTAAGGGAAAGAAACACGTGTAATGTATGGGTCACCTGCAACTAGCATTTACTGTCATGATCCCCCAAAATACCGCATGCTGGCTCCATCCTAAATATCCAATTATCACATGGGTGGGAGAAGGGTGCCTGCAGGCGCTCATGTGCCATCATGGGAAGTCAGGAGATAATGCCTAACACTCTTCTACCATCAAGAAGAGCCCCTATGAGCACGTTATCGAGCTGGGAAAGGTAAATACCAAAGGCAGTAGCTGAAGAAGCTGGCAGATGGTGGGGGTGACCTGCTTATCACAATGAACGTACAGAAAGACAGGATCCTTAAGCTATGTGTATTACCACATGCACTACTCTAACACAATTTTTAACATAATTTACAAAATGGGATGGGTATACTGCTCTCGGCAGTCCAGCCTTTCCTTAGAGCATCACTTTCTTCTCCTAGTAGCTCCTCTTCAGAAGCCATTGGAGAGTGCTGGCCCTGCCATCTCCCCAAGGCATGTGGAGATGACACCCTGCCCTTCTGCTCAGGGGAGGTGAGGGACCGTCCACAGGAGACACTTACTGAGCACCTGGCCTCTTCCTCACCTATCTGTGTTACCTTAGTAGCACTGTTGATTGTTTCGGTTGTTGTTGCTTTTGATCTCATAAACACCTGTGTCCTGGTTGCCTTCTTTTTACCTATGACTAGTTATAACTCGAGGCTGAGGGATGGCGAGATGGGCTCCAACACTTCTTTAAATGGTGGCTCCAACCCCAAGCCCGGGGGTTTTAGGGCTGGATCCACACAATTCCCAATACCAAGTCATGTGGGGTGACTTCAGGCTTTGGATTTTTTGCTTCACACTTACTGTTAGCCCAGTATGAAAATTAGACGTATCAGGCTTTCATTTGAAGATGTAAGGCACTGAAATATTTATGGACAAATTGATATTGCATCTGGGATTTCCTTCAAAACAACTGGAGAGGACGGTGGTGGGGGAGGGGCAGAGATAAGACTGCAGGGGGCTAGCAGGTGCTGAAAATGTGGGTGTCCTGAAGATGTGGGCATCTGTCTGAAGTTCTCCAAACAGAAGTTTAAAAACTATTAATATGACCAGGTGCAGTGGCTCACGCCTGTAATCCCAGCACTTTGGGAGGCCAAGGTGGGCAGATCACTTGAAGTCAAGAGTTCAAGACCAGCCCGGCCAACATTTCGGTGAAACCCCATCTCTACTAAAAATACAAAAAATTAGCTGGGTGTGGTGGTGGGTGCCTGTAATCCCAGCTACTTGAGAGGCTGAGGCAGGAGAATTGCTTGAACGCGGGAGGCAGAGGTTGCAGTGAGCTGAGATCGCGCCATTGCACTCCAGCCTGGGCAACAGGAGTGTAACTCTGTCTCAAAAACAAAAACAAAAATTACAAAACTATTAATATATGGACAAGGATTGCAACCCTAGGCCCTGCCTGGAGGCCATTCCTCCTCGCTGGATTTCAGCCCATCCCTCCTCTGGCTCTCCCCAGGCCTGCTCACCAGCACACCACGGTTTGGGGTTTGGTCAGCTGCTTCTCTCCCTGCCCCAGGCAGGCAAAGTCCCATCCTGCAGGCCTGGGCTGATGTCCTGGACTGGACATTGCTGTCAGTCAACTGCAGCCTGACACTCACTGGGAGGGCAGAGCTGTGCCAGGCTCTGGGGCCAAGCTGGGTAGGGATTGGATAGGCCTGAGGCCTCCACACTGACGCTGTATCCAGGGCCTGGCTGTAGTCAAGTGCCACGTCTGACCCCACACTACAACCTGGGTCCTGGAGTCTGAAGGGCTCAGGGGAGTTAGGGACTCTCAGGGGTCTTCAAGCTAGGCAGGGCTGTGGGGGTGTACTTTTTCCCCAGAAGCAGCCTGGTTTCTGTTTAAAAGAAGGAACAGTGAAGTCCTCTTCTCCTCTGAGGCCCATGCCTGCAGTATAGAGTCCTCGGTGAGAGAGGGGAAGGGTGTGGGGGTTGCCTGCCGAGAGCCCCCTGCCCCAGGCTTGGCCACAGCGAGCCACTCCACAGCCCTGCCAGCTCACTGTTGGAACTCTGGCCACAGCCACCACAGCCCCCCTTCCCAGCAGCTATTCTTGGTCTGTGTCTCCCTTTGGGGGGAGGATAAGAGTGGAAATGATCAGAAGCTAAAATTAGCAAGAGGCAAACAATTGAGGCCAGGAATCTGAGGTCAGCTGAGGACAACAGCTTGTTCTCTGCAGCCCCGAAGTGGTTTTATAGCAATAAAGGGAATTGAAAATGAAAACAGATCTGGAAGCAGCCCAAGCCCTGGTGGGACCAGGCCCAACACAGCCAGCCCCAAGTGGGCAGGCCAGATGGCAGGGACTTTGCCAGCCCAGGCCCCCCAACCTGGGGCTCCCCTCTTCACAAGGGGGCCCTCTACAGCCAGGAGGCAACACCCAGAGCACCTGCAGCTACGGTTACAGAACGCCTGGGACAGGTTTCCCACGCACTTAACGTGGGCGTGACTTCCTCTCCAGGGGAGGCCCAGCACAGGCGGCTGTAAACACCCCCAGTAACTACTGGATGACCAGGGCCACAAGCCCCTGCTTTGATACCTCCAGGCACTCCCCCTTTAACAGGCCCCAGCAAAACTCCCTAAGTGACAGACCAGGAAATGAGGCCACAAAGTCAGATGTGGAGCCACCCTTGAGCCCAGCCCCCTGGCCCAGGGTCCCTTCCCTGTCACTACCTCTGCAGTCCCTCCTCCCCTGGAAGGCCCACCCAGAGCAAGCCGCACACTCCAAGGCGGCATCAACAGAGCCCACAGCCTAGGTGGGCTGCATGGTGGCTGCATACAGACGGGGAGGTGGGTCCAGCCTCGTCATGCTCCACGGTCAAGAAACTGCCCTCCCCACAAAAACTCCAAGTAGCCACCCTGGAGGTCCCAATGCCAGTGGGCTCTGGGTTCTATCTGGTGATGCTCAATCCTAAGGGAACTTGGCTCAGCCTAGGATGCATGGGATTAAATACAGCCTTTTATTAAGTTTTTATTCACTGATCTCTGCCACCTAACAGCTTGCAAATGTCAGAAGAAATAAATCAGCCCAGTGGTCATAATTCAGAGCTGGGAAGCACACAGGAGGCTGGAAATGCACAGACCGGGTTGGTAGACCCAGCCCTGAAGATACTGCTCCTGTCCCCAGGAGAGAGTACATGCTGACAGGCCCTTCCACGGGGCCAGCACAGGGCCAGGAGCCAGAGGCACACCAAGTGGCACCACATACAGACGCTAATCTCAGCAGCTGCTGAGGCTGCTGGCCGACGTCATGGCCCATGGAGAAGGCAGGCATGGAGCCCGTGGCCAGCCCACACCTGGGCCAGGCAGAGCTCACACAGCCTGTCCTTTCTCACTGGTACGGTCAGGTCTGTGCATTCTGAGCGGGACCAAGGGAGCCTGTAGGGCAGACACTGGGACTGAGGGAGGTAGAAACCCCTGAGCGTGGCCTGCAGCAGGCAAGCCTCTGCTGTGAGACAATCTCACCTTTCCCTGGACTGCAAGATCTCAGGACCCGGCATCCAAGGCTGGATCACAAAGCCTCCAAGATCTCAGTGTCCAGGGGAGGCCTATTCGGAACAGTCTGAAGCTCCCAGGTACGGGGCAGCGTGGCGACCCCTCTGTTGTGTAAACTCCAACAGTGACTTTTGTTCACTGCAAAACCCTTTTTTTGTTGTTGTGTGTAAACTCTACTTAAACAGTGACTTCTGTTCACTGCAAAACTCCCCCCGCCTCCCTTTTTTTTTTTTGACACGGAGTCTCACTCTGTTGCTCAGGCTGGAGTGCAGTGGCGTGATCTCAGCTCACTGCAACCTCCACCTCCTGGGTTCAAGCAATTCTCTGCCTCAGCCTCCTCAGTAGCTGGGATTACAGGCGTCCGCCACCACACCCAGCTAATTTTTGTATTTTTAGTAGAGACAGTGTTTCACCATGTTGGCCAGGCCAGTAGTCTTGAACTCCTGACCTCAAGATCTGCCCACCTCAGCCTCCCAAAGTGCTGGGATTATAGGCATGAGCCACCGCGCCCGGTGTGCAAAACCCTTTTAGACATCCAACAGCCACCCGCCCACTCTCCCTGCCAGGGTGCATACCTGGGCGCTCTCATGCCTTGCTTGCGGGTAGCACACTCATCCTTCCTTTCTGAAAAGAAGCAACCTGCCCTGAAAATGCACATTCCTTTGCAGGCTCCTGGGAACTCCCCCTGAAAATAATGAGGTGGACGGCTGTCCCAGGACAGCCAATCACTGGAGCTCTCAGTGCAAGACAAGCGCACACGGGGCAACCACTCAGACCAGGTTAGAAACCAGTCAGTGCCTTGGGGTTATGAGCCTAACAGGATGTTAAAGCAGGAAAATGTAGAACAGAAAATGACTTGTATGGAATGATCCCACGTTTTAACAGTGGTGACTTGTGAGTGGTGGGATTAAAGTTATTGATTTTCCTCTTCATTAATTTTCCTTGATACTTTCCTGTTTCTCAAATCATCCTTAATTAACATGCTTGACTTTCACAAATAGAAATAAAAACAAATGCCAGGCACTCAAATGATGATCTTTTGGCAAGGCAACTTCTTACAACAGGAACACACTTACAAATCTGACCCCAGCCCAGAGCACCAAAAGCAAGTCCATGATACGGGCTGAGAAAAGACTTTCCAACTCAGGTTTCCCAGGCCTTGGCCCAACTCAGAATCTGCGCCAGGTCCAGGGATGGTGGATTTGGGTCATTTTACAAAGCAAGTGGTTCCTGGAGACACTGGGGAACTCTTACTCGGATGTCCATCCACACACTCCCTCCCAGCCTCCCTGCTCTCGCTGTCATCATCATGTTCTTACACAAAGGCCATTAAACATTAGGCTCCTTACTTACTCAAAACTGCTGCTGCCCAGAAGGCGCCTGGGCGAAGAGTGCCAGGCCTGCATTCTGGCCTGGCCATGGGCGCACCTCAAGAGCCTGCTTAGCCTCACCTTCTCCACTGGCATGGCCACCTCTAAGGCCCTTCTCAAGGGCTGTACCCAGACCAAAGCTTCCTTGCGGATCCTTCAAGGTCTGAAAGCTGAGCCAAAGAGCCAGTGCTTGTGCAAGTCCCAGACTTCACCAAAAAAGGGGGTGAAGTTGGGCCAGAGACCACCTTACACGCCAAGCTACTTTCTCTAAATACCCAGTGGATGGAACAGGTACAAAGAACCAAGGCTTGGGTGTCATTTCCTTTATCCTGAACCCTGCAGGGGCATAATTTCCTACACTTCATATTTTAAGAGTTTGGTGAAGACGGAAGCAAAGTGGAGCATCCTTGCCCAGAACCACATAGACTCCCTCCTTTGAGATCTGTAATGAGATGAAGTTCACAGGTGTCCACCTGCTCAGCTGAGAGACCATTGTTCTCATTAGGCCCTGGCAGAAGAGAGCTAAGGCGAGGTTCCGAACAACGGACCAATGTGGTCGGCATCCAGGTGCCCTGCACGCTGGGGGGCCTGCTCGGCTCATCCCCTCCCTCCCCAATCCCAAAGCTTCATCCTTCTGTCCAGGATCCGTGGGTCCAGGATGCCCAATATCCTACCATAACTGCGGCAGACCCTGGCTGCTTCCTGCCCTGTAATGGGCATATTGGCTTAAAAGCAGGGGCCGCATGCTGTACTACTCTCCATGTCTGGAATGGCCGAGGGTTAGGGGCCATTTTCTCTAGGGCTTCACTCAATGGAGAAAAGCACATCATCTCATGAAATGGGATTCATCCCATGAAGCACAAATTCGGCAAAGGCTAGGCTACTCTGAGGACTTGGCAGCTTCAGCAACACTCTGAGTACTTTTGGTTCCGCCAAGAACACATGGCTGGTTACTTTATACCATTCAACTTCATGTGGAATTCCAGGGACATCTGAGCTCATCTGCTTTTCATTAATTCACACCCAAGTTCAAAGTGGCAGGAGGGGACCTGGAAGCTGTGAACCCCCTCCCCAGGAAGCCCTCCAGGCCCAGGAGAAACAGGCTTAAAGCAGCCTGAGGACCTGAAGCCCCCTGCTCCCAGCCTGGGTCACAGGCACAGGGGCACAGGCTTGGCCCATACTCGCCTCACATGGGCCCGGAGGACTTCTCCTGCAGACACCAGCCTAATTCCTCCCCACTGCATGCTAGGCACTAAGAACACAGCACTGCCCTTGCACTCATGCAGCCAGGGCAGTGAAGTATCAGAGGCAAGCTGACTAACCACAGGCTGGCACCAGCTGGAGCAGACTGGGTCCCAGAGACTCATGTTAAGGGTCAGTGCAGAACGAGGCAAGTGCCCTCCAGATCCCCAGGTCCTCGGCATGGTGGCTGTTCCATCGAAGACAGCGCTGCTGTACCACTACTGCCTGACAGGGCACCCGCCTCCCATGTGGCCCAGCGGGCATTGGTCCATCCCACACTCTGGGGAAACATGTCATAATCTGCACAGGTGGCGGCTCATGGGGAAAGCAGTGTCAGCCTCCCCTCCCTAAATGGGCAGCAGCAGCATTGCCCTGGGTCCTGGGATTCCCCCAGATGGAATGACAGTCACAGGCTTCGGCCCTACAAAGTTAAGGGGCAAAAAAGCTGCCATGAGTTGGGGGAGTAGGCCTGCAGAGGATACAGTACCCCACCCTACCTCGCCATCTGCCTTCCGTGGTTAGGCAAGAACGCTGGGCACTATAGGCTGAATGTTTGTGCCTCCTGAAAACCCATACCCTGAAGCCCTAACTCCCAGCTTGATGGATGGTCTTAGGAATTGGGGCCTCTGGAAGGTGATAATGTCATGAGGCTGTAGGGCCCTCCTTATGGGATTAGTACCCTTAGAAAGGAGACCCCAGAAAATCCCTTTGCTCCCTCTACTATGTGACATTATAGTAAGAAGACAGCTGTCTACGAACCAGGAAGAGGGTCCTCACCAGATACAGAATAATCTGCCAGCGCCTTAATCTTGGACTTCCAGCCTCCAGAACTATGAAAATAAACTTGTTGTTTATTTGCCACCCATCTCCAGTATTTCTGTTACAGCAGCACACTGAGCCTCCACCACAGCTCTGGGGCGGTGCTTAAACTCTACAATGCCAGCACCGAGACACCCCACTGGAGCCCAAGGCACTGCGGCCTGAGATGCAGTCAGGACCCCAGGGTCTAAAAAATGCGGACATCAGTGGCCAGAGCAGGCAGGCTGCCGTGACTGCAGGGTCACACCCTTGGCTGCCAGGAGGGGCTTCCTGGGCTCTATGCTGGCAGCTTTTCAGTGAGAACCAGGCCAAGCAACAGTCCTGTCTGGGAGGTAAAACTGTGGGTGCCACTTAATTTCTTCTTTTAGCTTTTCTGTACTTAAATGGTCTGTAGCA
This sequence comes from Homo sapiens, assembly GCF_000001405.40. Classification (NCBI taxonomy): domain Eukaryota; kingdom Metazoa; phylum Chordata; class Mammalia; order Primates; family Hominidae; genus Homo; species Homo sapiens. The sequence goes on along the minus strand of NC_000015.10, from coordinate 31,348,417 downwards.
CACGTATACTTCAATAAAAAGCATGTGGTGCGGCGTGCGTGTGTGCCTACGTACCACGCGTGGTTTTTCCTTTCGGAAGGCACTGGAGGCTGGGCTGACAGAGCCAGGCCCTCTGGGTTCTGCTGTCCCTTTAGTGCAAAACCAAGCTGAAGAGGGGCGCCTGTGCTCCTGCTCTCTCTTCTAGACATCACCTTCCACAGTCATCCTGACAAGAGTGGCAAGCTGCCTGTCCCAGCTCCACAGGCAATCCACGGGAGGAGGAGTGGCGTCCTTTCTTCCCACAAAGCCTGCGTGTTTTCCACTTTCCTCCACCAGCAAGAACACCTGGGGTTCGAGGCCTGCCTTCCGCCTTCAGAAATAAACCCCCCTGAAAGTGCAGGAAGAAGCCTCCACACTGAGGCAGACTCATGTGGAGTGGCCAAGAAGGCCAGGCTGGAGACACTGAAGCCTGAGATCTGGAACGCACTGAGAAGCGCAGCTCTCTTCCTCGTGTTAGGAGGGTGTCACCTTCAGGGGGTGTGGTCCAGGAGAAGCCAACAACACACCTTCCTGTTCCACCAGCGCTGCAGCCACTACAACAGAGGCAGCCCCCAACCCCTGCAGCCTATATGCTGCCCCAGGGCCCCAGAGGCTGGAGGGGGTGGAAGGGCAGACAGAAGAGGTTGGGGCCCCCTCAAGCTGCTGCCACAGGATGGCAGGATGGGAGCCTTTGGGCCCAGCCACTGTGACACCCACTTTTCCTTTAGCCATTTCTTGCCTTGGCTTCCCAAGTCACACTGCCCCGCCTCTCTCCCCTACTCTGAGGCTCCGCTGGCTTAGGGCCTGCCATAGGATGCCCTCGTCCCTCATGAGCAGCACCTCCAAGGCAGAGTCACCTCCTGGGCCCCACATCCTGCCTCTCTCATCACCACAGTCAAGGTGGGGCCCCTCCCCAGCCCAGCCCCCTGAGGGTGCCCTTTGACGCTAGCACACACAGGTTCTAGCGGGCTTGCCACCCACGTGCGGCAAAGCCTGGGTAGCTCTTCCCTGCCTCCAGTCTCCACTGCCCATCCCCAGCCCTGCCTCAGGGGGAAGCCTTGTTCACAGCTCCCCTTCCCCACCACGAGCACCAAGGACGGCCTCTTCCTGAGGTGTGCTGTCCCAGTGGGGCTCAGCAGAGAAGCTGGTCACCCAGCTCCCTCCAGGAGGTTCCCAGGCCCTGCCAAAGAAGCCTTTTTCTGGGAAGGCTGGTGCTACCAGCAGAGCAATGGAGGGGGGAACGCCTGCTGATCCCAGGAGGGTGTCCAAATCCTGAATTCCCTGCTTGACCTTCTAGCTTCACAGGTCCTCAAATCCTCCTACCTGCTGGGCTCGGTGTCGTGCCCTGTCACAGACCTGACCTTGTCCCAGCCCCGATGAGAGCCAGCAGGTAGGGGAACTGAGGTCCTCACCCATGCTTGCTACCACAGTCTGCTCCTGCCCCCAGACTCAGGACCCTACGCTGCCCCTCTCCCCTGCTGGCCCACCCAACCCACACGTCCAGTCTGCATCTCCCCAGACCCTCCCTGATGCCGCCAGCACAGAGGGGTGCAGAGTGGTGGCAGGCAGGAACCTGGCCTGCAGGCCAATAGCCCACCTATGGCCGGCAGGAGCCCTGGCCCCACCACCAAGTGCCTGGGATGTCCCTCGCTAGAAACTGAAAGATTTCGAGGCACAGGTGGTATTTTCATTTCTTCTTCCAGTTGAAGGTGATGCCTTTAAAAGAGAAAGAAAGATACGGAAGTGAAGGCTGCTGTGTGACACAGAAGTCAGCCTGGGGGGCCTGCAAGGAGGGGACGCCTCATGTCCTGAGAAAGCTGGGGCAGGGGGCAGCATGAGGCCTTGGGGCTCTGGCCTGGAAGCTCCTGCAGAGGAAGAAGAGAACCCGGGGAGGAGCTCCTGCCTGGCTGTGGCCTGGGGGCTTTCCACAGCTGTGTGGGTGGCCGCAGCTCCAGGGTGGCTGAATACTGGTAACAGCGGTGGGGGGTCCATCATACTCTTTACCAAAGGGTCAGGTTAGAGTGGACTAGTCCAGAAGGGGAAGGACAGCAGCTGCTATGCAGGAGCTCAGGCCTGTGGCCAGGGCAAAGGGCCGGTGTGGAAATCTCTCCTTCTGGCCTCAGAGAAAAGCAGAGGACAGGAGGTCGGGGGAGAAGGCTGTGAGTTTCAGAAAAACGAAGAGGTGCTTTCTGGAAGCCACAGATGGGTAATCTTCCCAGAAACAGAGTCAAGATCATTGACCTGGTGTTCTGTGCGGAACAGCTCTGGGTTCCCGTCAGGGTTCTCGGGGGCTCCTGAGAGATATGCCTGGGCCGTGGGCATCTCAGCGTGAGGCAGGCATCTGTACAGAGGGGCTCACGCATGCCTGAGCCAGATGCCGGCACAGAGGGGCACACTTGTGGAGCTGCACTCCCTCTGAGCTCAGATACTCTTCCTCTAGAACCAGAACCCCCATCAGTGCCTACAAACGGAACCCTCCGGGAAACAGAGACAACCAGGGGTGAGAGGTGGGGAGCAGTTGCAGCCCTCCCCAGAAGGTCATTTGCCCCCGGTAAACTGACGGTGCAAATATGACCTCGTGTGGCCCACAGCATCTGACGACTTTACACCAGGCTGGCAGGGCAGACACCCGGGTCAGAACTAAGCACACTAAGCCCTGGTGTGGTCAGTCTCAGGCTGCGGCCTCACAACCACAACAGCCAGGCAGGATGCTGCCCATGTAGGGCCACTGGAAGACAGTGAGTAGGGCAGGGTCCCCTGGTGAGGGGGATGGGGGCCAAAGGAACGGTACACCTCCCGGGCTTTCTCCGTCCCACCCTCATACTCACAGATTTCCTGTCAGTTTCAGGATGGGACCCTGCCACGCTCCTGGAGATCCCCTGCTGCTTGCTGCTAGGCACGCGGTGCTCACTCAAGGCAGGATCTGCCCGCACCCCAGTGCTCTCCAGGCAGGTGCCCGAATGGGAAAGAGGCAGGCCAGCGGTGCAGCAGGGCAAAGGCAGGCTGAGGCGGGGGCACAGGCCTCCAGGCCCCCAGAGCAGCACACAGGGTGGAGCCACAGGCCCTGCCCTCAGACACCACGCCCTCAAGGGACAGAAACACCAGCCAAAGCCAGGCCCCTCATGACACTCAGGCAATGAGTGAGGAATGCCCAAGTCCCCACTCCACCCCTGTCTGCTGGCACCCCACAATCCCAGCCCGATGCAGCACGCCTGCATGCCATCTGTCCTGCTCCTCTCCTGGCTCTGCCTGGGATCTCACAGCTGCCTCCTCCTGCCCAGCCCTATGGAACCCAGACCCAACCCCCACCTGCTCAAAGGCGGGGAGGCCAGGGTGGCACCCTCAGAAGGGCCAGGAGAGAACCCTGACCCACAGAGCCTGGAAGGCACCTGCCCCAAACTGCAACAGCTCACACTCCCTGGCCAGCCCCCAGGGTTGGCTTGCACCTAGACTGGCTGTCCTGGGCTGAACCCTGGAACCTTGGCCTGCTCCTGGTTACTTGCGGCCCCTCCCTCCCCACTCAGGCGGCTTCCTTGGGGGACCCAGGGAGGATCCCGCACAGCCTCAGGACAAAGTCAAAACCCCTCCCACCCTCATCCTGCCCCACCCAGCAATCCTCCCAGCTCTTTTCTGCACTGGATTCCAGGAGATTTTGTTAAAAGAAAGGTTCCATTAGGTTTAGAATAAAAATCTGTAAACCCAAGGACCAGAACTCCTTCTCCACATTCTTACAGCAAATTCTGTAATGGTCCCTTGGGGAAGCTCTCCCTCCCCACTGGCCCAAACCCCCACAGTCCAGAAGAGAAACAGGGCCCCTGGCCTGGCCCAGCCCAGTCTCAGCTCCTAAGCAGCAGGTGAACCCTTTCGCCATGGGCCAGCCATGACAGTAGGGTGAAGTCACCCCCAAAGGCCACCAGCCAAGGCACTGAGGAGCCAAGCTTGGCAAATGTCTGGGTGGCTGGGGATTCCTGGCACCCCTGCCACCTCCCCTGGAGCCCTTGCCAGCCAGACACATGAAAACGTCCAGCCATGGCGTGTTTTCAGAGCACGCCCTGGCTTAAAAGGCAGGTGAAGGAGGCCACTCTGCTGACACTCCTCCAGTCCTGCCACAAAGAGGGGAAAGCCTAGGTGCCCACTCCCCTCCTGACACAGGCTGGAGGGGTGGATCTGGGATGTCTGCATCTGCACAGAGATGGGTATGGGTGTGGGGAGAGCCCCACCTCTGGAGCTGGAGTGACAGGCTCAGGGTGGTGTGGGTGCGCAGCGCTAGCAGGAGGTAGCTGCTAAGTATTGGCAGGTGTTTGTCCCAGGGGGTTGGAAAACATCCCCCAGGGCCAAAGTCACCCCTGACAGCCAGGCCATTTGTGCACAGCAAGTATTTAGGGCAGCAACCAGGCATGGGCCACTTGCAATGCGTGGCTCTCCTGTCTCTGCTGCCGTCTCAGAGGGAGGGACACTGAACACATTATACAAAGACTGACAAGTGACCAGAAGTATGGGTGGGGACAGGAGATCAAGAGGTCTCCCAGGGAAGACTAAGGAGCAGGTTAATTCGTGCACCAGAGCCTCAGACCTCTCCAAGGAGACCTTCCCCATGGAGTCATGGTGACCCGCAGTCAGTGGGCACATCCCCACATCAGGACTCAGCCTGGCCCGAGGGCTGTGCGTGCTGTTGGAAAGCCAGAGCTGGCCAGCTCTTAACAACAACAGGCAGTTTAAGTAGAAAACTTTTCCAGGTCATTTCTTGAAGTTGGAAATCATCTCCTAACATGAAATCCAGTTCTTGCTCCTGCGGTTCAGGAGACTGACGGCATGGGTGGGCACACAGACTCTGCCAGGGCCCATCAGCACCCAGGCCACCTGTGGGTCCCCACTGGAGGCTGGATGCACCCCTCATGCCTCCTTGCCTTCTCCCTTCAGGTGAGCAGCCTGAAGGCTGGTCTCCTTCCCACTGCTGGGGGCCGACACCTGGTGGGAGGTGTGCAGACTTAAGACTGCAGGATGCTGTTTGGGAGGCTGTGTGCACCCAGCCTTGTCTGTGGGCACTGCATCCCGCCTTACGGCTGGGGGCAAGTCTGAAATCCCGAAGGCAACTGCCTCTGCAGAACATGCAAATGTGGCCACCCCAGACCTTGCTGCTGTTTCTCCCAGGATGGTGTCTGCTGCACACCTGAGCCGGCGGGCCCTGTGCAAGGGTGCAAGACAGTCCCCAGCTCAGGCGCCACTCTACACCCAGTCACTCAAAGCAGAAGAGAGAAGAGGCCACTCATGACCACAAGAGCAGAGCACGGAGACAGTATGTGCCTCGGCGTCCTCCTCTCCCCAAGCACAGGAGCCTGGCCAGCAGGGGGATGCGGAAACTCCATGGCCAGGAGTGGCCCCGACCCCCTCCAGCAAGCAGGCCCTGCCTGGGGAACAGGCACAAGTGTCCACGGAGCAATCAGACGCCGGGAGAGCGAGGAAGGCCATGCTCTCCTTAGTCACTCCAAATGTTCACCTCCGACCACAGGAAGCGCCTCTATACAACAAAATACACTCACAGGAAGACGGAAATAAAGCAGGAAAGGGGTGCGAAGGCCCAGCTCAGCAGCCAAGAGGCCAGCCTCAAGAAGGCCTCATGCTTCCCTTTAGGAAACAATCCTCATATTTGCAAACATAGAACTGCTGCCCCAAAAAAGAAAGAAAATAAAGAAAAAAATACATATATCCGCAGATGGCCCAAAGCTCATGAAGGCAATTACTCCTGTAAACAAGAAGTGGAATGCCTGTGGAAACGAGCGAAGCCCAGGCGAGACACAAAAATAGCAAACCTAAGTCCTGAGTGGGATTCTCCGGGCTGCTGATGGCTGAGATGCCGACCGCAGCGATGAGCTCGCCCCACTTGAAGGAGCTGTTATGAAGCGATCCAGTGAGGCAAGTTTTGCTGCAAACAGGATTTCTGTTCTCTACTAAAGAGCTGTCAGTTAAGAAACCTGTCATGGTGCCTGGGTCTCAGGAGGGAAGGCGGGGCACCCAGCAGGGCACTGCGTCCCTGGGAGGGCAGCCGGCATCCTCACCCAAGACTGCCCAGTGTGGGGAGTCTCACCCAGAGAATGCCTGGTCTCCGAAAGTCCTTTCCTTGGGGTGGGGTCACTCGGCAGGACTAGCATGGCCACCTGCAGGCACAATCTCTCCTGTCCCTGTAAGACTGCCCAAGACTACTGACACAGGGTGCAGGGCAACTTTCAAGCCCACCTCAGAGAGGTGGACTTGTCCAGAACTGTTCTGATGACTGGTGACTGAGTCTTTCACCTTGAGGTTGAGGTTTCAGTTCATCTACTTCTGCTAATTAAAGAGTCTAGCCAGGTACAGCCTGTTGGTACCTGAGAGGGGTTGGTTACCTGGTAACACGTGAGGCTCACCTGAGACAGGGTCACCACTCCCTAGTCTGAGCATGCCTGATGTCTAGCAACAGGGTCTCCATAGCAACAACAGGATGCTCACAGAAGCTCACAGGCTGTACCACTTTTCTGCAGCCAGTCTGGGTTTATCCAGGAGGATACAGACGCAGAAGCTGAGGCTGGATGCGCCTGGGGCTGGGATGCCAGGAGCATCACCCCACATGCTGTGTCACAGGGTGACTCTGGGAAGGGGGGCTCAGGTCAGGCTGTGAGGATCCTGGAAAGTGACCCAGCACCTGCTTTAAAACAGTAGTTCTGGGCTGGGTGTGGTGGCTCACACCTGGAGTCCCAGCACTTTGGCAGGCTGAGCTGTGAAGATAGTGTGAGCCCAGGAGTTTGAGGCTGTGGTGAGCCATGATCGCACCACTGCACTCCAGCCTGGGTGACAGACTGAGACCCAGCCTCAAAAAAAAAAAAAAAAAGTTCTGAATTGTCCCAGCCTCAAAAAAAAAAAAAAAGATTCTGAATTGTCTATGTGTCTGTTTCTTTTCAAAAGAGAAGACAGCAAACCTGTCTGTTCATTTAGGTACCCATGAACAATACTGCAGGGGGTGAAATTTTGCTCTTGCAAGTTAATCACCACTTACCCGACACACACACGTACACACACGTGAACACACACGCACACACACCCCTCCTACTGGGTGCCTCACCCACATTCTACCCCTCTGCTCCTAGAGGCAGCATGACCAGACCCACTTCACAGTGAAAACCCAGAGATGGGCTCAGCCTGTCCCACTCTGAGGCCAGGGCTCCTCATCACTACACCACAGTGCCTCTGTTTAGATAACAAAGAACCAACAGACAAGAAGGCCTTTCTCTGATGAAAAATAAAACACTGAGAGCCTCCCAAGGAAGGTCATGCAAATACAACATTTGTGGAGTCAAGCTTCCATGAGGCGATCCAATAAGAGAGACACAGCAATGTCTCGGGGCTCCAGGTCCAGAGCCCAAATTGTCAGGATGAACACAGGGCACAGGGGCGCTGGGTCTCCCGTGAAACTCCCAAGTGTGCTCATGTTTTGGACTCCTTTAACACTTTCCAATACTATTTCAATACCTTTGACTTGAGATTTTTTTCTTTTGTTTTTAAGATAGGATCTCCCCGTGTCGCCCAGGTTTGAGTGTAGTGGCAAGATCGTGGCTCACTGCAGCTGCCACCTCCTGGGCTCAAGTGATCCTCCTGCCTGCAGGCTCCTGAGCAGCTGGTACAGGTGTGTGCACCACCATGCCCAGTGGAGTCTCACTATGTTGCCCAAGCTGGTCTCGAACTTCTGGGCTCAAGCAATTCTCCTGCCTCAGCCTCCCAAAGTGCTGGGATTACAGGCATGAGCTACCATGCCCAGCACGAGTTTTTTCTTAAACACTAAAAAAGTATATTTTCCAGGAAAAAAAATCAAATTCTGCATACATCTTTGAAGGGGGTGATGTTAGCAGGACTGTTTCTGCTTTACAAACAGAGAAAGGATGACAAGAAAGGAACTGAGCACCCAGGTGAGGAGGGATGCTGGGGCCCTCACCACAGCCCTGTGCCACCCAACCGCAGGAGAGCTGCCTGTTCAACAGGGAAACCTGGAAAGGCCAGGAGGCTTGGGGTGTGCACAAGCAACACCAGGCACTCATTCCAAAACAAATGCAGCAAATCTGAACATCTTTTTTGGTGCTGAGCTCCCTTGGCAACTGCCACAGCTGCTGCTGCACAGAGAGGCTTTGTAGGCAGGTTCACGCCTGAGGTTGGCCATGAGGGCAGTGGAGAGAGGACCCACAAGGCAGCCCAGCCCAACTGGGTACATCCTCAGCCTGCCTCAGTCGTGAGAAGGGACCCAAATAGACCTGCAGGCCTACAACGAAGACGAGACCCTGGAAACAGGCCTAGAGGCAGAGAGGCTCACAGGACACACCACCCACCAGGGCAACCTGGGTCAGCCCTACTGACAGTAAAATAAACAAAGCCACTTCCCTGGATCCTCACCTGGCTCCTCCATGGGGCAGGTGACTCTTTACAAGATAATCCATGGGTGGGCAGAGCAGGGAAGCCCAGTGAAATCCAAGGTGAAGGGTCAGGCCTGCACGAGAGCCCGCTGCTGCATCTCCCACAGCAAAGTGCCACCTGGGGCACTCCCACGAGACAGCAGGCGGGGGGCGGGAGGACATCCACTGGGCGCAGCCAGCCCAGGCTACCTAGGTGAGCAGTTAGAATTTAACAGCAAACACCAACAAGGTATAAACAAGCACATGCCCTGACCTGCAGGGAGGGGGCCAGGCCTCTGGCGGGAGAGTGCAGCACTGGGTGGGAGGGCGCTCCTCGGGCTCAGTCAGACGCATCAGCCTTCAGACAGCTTCTGGAAGCACCAGTTGTGGGTATCTGAACCCCCCACAGGGGAGAGGCATCTCCCCAAAATTTTCCATGGAACTTAATTAGCCTCAAAGCCAATAAAATCCTCGTGTGGTGTCTACGTAAGCATGCCTGGTCCCTGGATCGTGGCCAGTGCTCTCCCAGCCTCCCGTGCCAGCTGTCGGCAGTGGGGGGTCCTCTGTGCTGCCCCCGCACTGCCTCACCAGGGCCTTGCCACCGTCTAAAAGAAAAGTCAATGAATCACTAAAACATTCCTCCTATAAAGGGAAGACAAATGTTTATTAAGAAATTATAGAAACCAGGTCAGACATTTTGGTATCTTAGTCATTCTTGCTAATTTAAAAAAAAAAAAATCAAAATAGAAACCCATCCTAGAAACTTGAGACAATGGGAACTTCTCTAGCCAGGAGCACTTGGAGCCATGGCACAGCCCAGTTGCCAAGGCAACCCAGTGTTTACCTCCAGTTCTGCTGTGTAGGAGGACCCTGACCATGAGCAGGGACAGTCAGCCAAGCCACCTCCTCCCAACACCCAAGGGACAGGCCGCCAGGGCATCCCCAGAGGGCGGAAGAAGGAAGCCACAGCCTCCCCCACAGTGTCTCCCAGGATGAGCAGCTACAGACAGCACAAAGAAGGGGTGCCTTCACCCTCCCTCCTCAGGCCCCCCTGGGGTCTGCTCCCCTGTATACCCACCTGCTGCTTGTCCTAAGGGCTGGAAACCCCTGAAGGCTGTTAAAGAAATGCTCAGATCCCACAGTACAAGGGGGAGTAGAGGAAGTGAGAATGGGGCCAGACTGAACCTCAGCTTGGCAGCCAAGGAGCTCAGTTCCCATCCATTAACCCGGCCAGGGCCAGGATCCCAGCAGGCTGCTGGCCCCCCTGGTTTGCAGAGGAGGAGCAGAGAGACCAGGGGGCAGAATGGCCCAAGATGGAGTACCTCATCAGGGACCAAGGGTACACACCCTCTGGCTTGGCTCCAGGGTCCCACCCTCCATCCTGAAGGCTGGTTCTGCCTACACAGCCACGGCTGGGCACGCACTGCTGCTTCCTACCCTGCTCTTGTAGAGACCGGCCTTTAAGTGATGCAGCCCCACTGGGGTTCATAGGGCTGGGAGAAACAAACATTGTGCTGCAGCCCGCACCACCTGGCCAGATGCCTCAAGACTGGGTTACTTCCAGTGGAACGATTGTTCTGAGACTTGGCTGCATGGCTGACCACGTGTGCATGCGCATATACAAGCACATACACACATGCTGCAAATACGGGCATATATACACACACACATACACATACACGTGCACACACTCACATAAATGTCCATCTTCCAAGGCCATGTGCAGTGCTAGATGTGCAAAGGAATTCAAACGCTTGGCTCATAATCCAGGGCAACTAGGAAGATCAGGGAAACAAACTTTGAAATTTCTCAAAGGCTAAAGTGAGTGAACTTAAGAATGATACAATTTGTCCAAAGCAAACTGCTGAAGTGTACTACCCAGCCCATCATTAGGGAAACTTCAAATCACAAGCTATAAGTAGCCAAGGCTGTATTTCCTGTAAGACTCTAAAGCCTGACAGTAATTCAGGAAAACCACCTACCTGCTCGCCAACACAGCAGCTCTACACCTGTGACAGTAGACACTGACAGGCTCCTGCTCTGTCAGCCGCAAAGGGGACACAGAATAAAGTGCTAAAACTAATTTCAACCTTGATAAAAGATGGTATCCTGCAAAGCCCCTCAGGCTTACCCAGAGAATGCCCTGGCACCTTAGGCCAAGCAGCAAAGTACAGTCATGCACCACATAATGACGTTTCAAACAATGACAGTCCACGTGGGACGAGAGGCTGGTCCCATAAGACGACACCCCATTTTAATTGTACCTTTTTCTATATTTAGATACAAAATGCTTACCATTGTGTTACAGTTGCCTACAGTATTCAGGACAGTACTATACTGTACCGGCTTGCAGCCTAGAAGCAAGAGGCTACACCATACAGCCTAGGTGTGCAGTAGGCTATGCCATTTAGGTGTGCATAGTAAGTGCATTCTATGATGTTCACATAAGGACGAAACTGCCTAACAACACACTTCTCAGAACGCACCCGTCATTAAGCAACCTATGACTGTAATTTTAGAAAGGGCCTGCCATGCAAGCAGAAAAAAAGGGCGCTCTGGAAAAGATAATAAAACCTTGGGCATCTTCCCTCAGAACACACAGCTGCAAGGGGCCAGAGCCCCTGTGGGTCCTAACGTGCTGCTGTCCAAGGCCTCCTTCTGCCACACCATCCGTGCTAGAAGACAAAAACAACAACTGGTGGACAAGCACAGGAGAAACCTTCCACGTGTAAGGCGGGCGGAAGAAGGAAGTAAGACCTCAGCGATGGGATGGAGGGAATCTGAGTCCCTGCCTGCCCTGCCGCAGGCCACTTAGCATGCCTAGTGGGAGAGGGACATGGGGGCAGATGGCACCCCTGTGGATGCCTTCAATGACGAGTAAACAAACCAGACATGGACAGTCATGCAGGTGAGGACAACGGGGCAGTAAGTCTGGAGAGCAGATAGGCCAAACTATGCAAAGCAAGACCATGGAGAGCCTGCCAAATGCTCAGACTGTGTGTCACATTTACATATCCCAGATTCGGATGTGTGGGAACCATGTCATTAACTCCCATTTATCCGCCCTGGTCCCTGAAAATGTGTTGGGGTTTGTTGTTGCTATGATGCCCAGGTGCACCCAAGGTGCTGACCCCGGCTCCCAGATCCTGGCTTTGAGCAGCACCCCAGCCAGTGGCCCAGGTGAATAGCCTTAACCTTTTTGGTAACCCGAGACCAATGACCTGCTGGACCCATGCCCTCTGCCCCACTCCCAGTCAACAAAGGAGTCAGGTTCTGAGACTCACATACGCCTTCGCTCTATTTCCAATCTCTTTTCCAACAATTCCTTGCAGACACCCCTATTCATGCTCTGCCATCAACTTTAACTTCTACCAATACCCCTAAACCAAGTTCCCTGTATTATTTTTCTTGTTTAGTGAGCATTTAGACAATAAAAGGGTTAAAGACAAGTAGAAAGGCTCAGAGAAGTTTATCAGAGGAGGAAATTCTGGCTGTATCACAGGCCCTGCACATACTTAGGTGTGGCCCAAGAAGGACTCTCAGGTCTCGCTAACCCATGCATACCTGTTAGATCTCCAGGGAGCACCTGACCACCTCCCACATGCCAGGACACTTGGCCTCCCCATCCACAGCTTGGACCCACATATGGAAGCACAAGGCTCCTGCCATCCCCAGTGGCCATAGGTCTTGGGGTCACTGCTTTGTTCACAGGCTCTCCTTACTCCAGGAGGAAGACAGATGTGTCCCCCAACGAGGCCAGACCGGGAAAGGATGGTGGCCCCCCCAAGCATTAGCTGCCAGTGCTCCAAAAGGGAATGAGGAGGCCCCACCCAGGGCCCTGACCACTCGCCAGGCTGCTCAGGCATCACCTCACCTCCCATGTGTGTCCAGTGTACGCTGGGGTCGGGGGAGAAGCTCGTGGCTCCTCTGAGCCCACGTCATCCTCTCCCCACTCCCAAGCTTCCTCCCACCTGGCCTGTGCTCACAGGAGACAAGCACGTGACACAACTCCACCTTTAGAAGTTTCTCCTGAGACAGGAGGCCAAGGTAGGCTCTGAGCCACATGCTCTTTGGTAAGCGATTTTTGCTCTGGGCCTTCAATTCTTGCAGAGCTCTTTCATGATGCAGCGTGGGCTCCAGCTTCAAGGAGACGAGCCTGTGCCCTGTGCCTGGGGACCCAGGGTCACCCATCCATGCAGAGTAGGCCACACCCCTGTGGCACCAGCATAAGGACATTTAATCTGAGACATCAAGCTTCAGTGCTTCCCCAAACAAGTCACCTTGGGACAGACTGGCCAATGGCCACGGAGTGCAGCCAAGTTTCTGGTTAGCAAGTGTTTTTGTGTGATGAACTTCAAAAATGGAGAACAATAAACAGAATACTCCCCCTGCCAAGTGTGCTGTCTTGTTTGTCCAGAAAGATGTTGGTAAAAACCAGGGACTGGTCAAGGCTGTGTTTCTGGTGCTCGGTGCCATGCTGTGCCCTCCCCCCGCCCCCTGCCCCGCCACCATACACACACACACACACACACACACACACACACACACACACATACACACACACACAATGCCCAACAGCAAATGGCGATCACAGCCTGGCCCTGCATCAGGAGGGGAACTGAAGCAGTGTGGAGGACACAGGAGCCGGTCACTCTGCTGGGCAGGGCAGCAGGGTGTGAAGGCATAGCCCCTTCACCACAGCCCTAGTTTCAACTGAACAAACTTCATGTCTCCCCCAAAAGCCTGCCTCACAAACAGCTGGTAACATTTGCTGGGGATGAAGACGGACCTAAGATCTAAAACTGAACTAGAAATCAGAAGTTCCACATAGCCACTATGTTCCAGGTGTGGATGCTCCCCCATTCAGCAAGCATGAGCAGGGTGCCACGTCCACTCACACACACACCCATATGTGTTTCTACACATGTACGTGGCTATGGAGGCATACGTGTTTATGGCCAAATGGCAGAGCTTTTGGTTGGGTGAGGATTTCTTCTGTGCCCAGTGCCCGATTGATGCCAAGAGTAAAACAAGTTCGAGTTTCTGTTATTTTGGCCCAGAAGAGTGTCCAAAGCCTTCTGAACTCAGTATCTCCCACCCCGAGGACTGCACTGGTGGCTGTCTCCATGACCCCAACCTCAGCCACACAGCACAGTGGCTGCTTCTGAATTGCCAAGCTGGAGAAAAGTTTATTCCCATCTCGACAGGAAGTTGACTTCTCAAGAAAATAATCCCATTTGGGGCTTTGAAAGGAAAGAAAAGGTCGGGTGTGGTGGCTCATGCCTGTAATCCCAGCACTTTGGGAGGCCGAGGTGGGCAGATCACCTGAGGTCAGGAGTTCGAAACCAGCCTGGCCAACATGGTGAAACCCCGTCTCTACTAAAAATACAAAAATTAGCTGGGCACGGTGGCAGGCGCCTGTAATCCCAGCTACTTGGGAGGCTGAGGCAGGAGAATCACTTGAACCCGGGAGGCGGAGGTTGCAGTGAGCCGAGATTGTGCCATTGCACTCCAGCCTGGGGGACAAGAGCAAGACTTCGTCTCAAAAAAAAAAAAGAAAGAAAGAAAAGAAAAACAGGTTCAGGTGTGTGGACTTAGGACAATTTTTGTTTATTTCTTGAAAGCACATAAAGACTCACCAGGACTTAGAGAGTGTCACCCGCCGTAGGCCCTCCCCAGCCCTAGGAGACAGGCTGCCTGTGGCCACAGGGCCGGCATTCAGGTGGGCTGACCAAGAACACACTCACAGTTACCCTTGAGCTGGCTATTAATACCATCTGGAGCCATTTTCATTCAAAAGAAAATCAGGGTGTCTTGTCTGTTTGGGGAAAGGAGCACCTAGGCCTCCTCCAGGTGGTCCTTTGACTTCAAAAGCCTTCCAAAGCTGAACCCAACCCCCAACATCTCTCCAGTCAAGGAAGCTGGAAGATGGAGTAGAAACCAACCAGGTGGACAGAAGGGGCTGAGCCTGGCCGCCCACCTTAACCATGTGATCCTGCAGTAGGACAGGCTAATATCCCATGCCCTCCCCCCCCCATGAGGCGATGGAAGTGCCCAGTATCACCTGTGCCATATTTTGGACCAAAATTTGTTTAAACCAGACCTGATCACGGGAAACAATCAGACCAATCCACATTGTGAGTTGTTCTACAAGACAACTGGCTTTGGGCCTTCAAATGCCAGCGTAACATAATAAAGGACCAAAAGATGGGAAACTATCCTAAACTAAGGGAAACTAGAGAGGACAACCAAATGCAATGTGTGATTAACTGGATCCTGAATCCTATACTGGACATTTTAGGAATCACTAGGGGAACTGAATATGGACTGCGTATCAGATAATATATAATATTTAAAGAGAGAGGCGAGATGGAAAAGGGAGAAAAATATAGACAAAAAATTAATTTTTCTTTCTTTAGAAAGAAAAAGAGAAGGAGGAAAGGAGAAAAATGTGGCAAAATATTACCCAATGACCCTATGGGAAGAGTATAGGAGTGTTCACTATACTACTCCCTCAACCTTTAAGAAGCAGCAAAAATCTGTGCGGGAAGCCGTGTGCTGGGGACATCCAGATTTCTACTACCACAGGGCCCTGCTCACCTGCAGTGACCTGAAACACTGGTCCAGACAGGAGTGGCAGTAGGACACAGCAGGTACACCCACCTCGGGGGCGGCTGCCCAGGCTCAAGCCCCAGCTCCAATCCCTGTTCCACCCTCACTTACTGTGTGACCTTGGGCATGATTCCTAAAGCACTGGAGCCTTAGCTTCCTTATTTGAAATTTAGTATTAATAATAGAGCCTACTTCATAGGGTCCTTGTGAAGATTAGATAGCTTGATGTAAACTAACACAAACAGAATGATGCCTGGCCCCTAGAGCAAACAGTCTGGAAGTCTTAGGATTGTGAAAGTTGAGTGTACTATTCTAGAAGTTTTTATTTTTAAAACTATTTTAATTGCTTCCTGAAAGCACAAACTGAACACACTTCACAGTGCCATGGTATCTCAAGATCCCTGCTAGAGTGTTCATTATTCCAGGGTCTCTCATGCAGACCTCAGGGATTGCTGCGGAGAAACATGTGCCTCTCCACAAATGGCCCCATGCTTGTTCCAGTGCTGGTTGACTGTAGGGCTTCTTCATGACCCATTTAAACACACACACTTACACATGCATATGTTAACAACCTGCTGGTTTGTTTCTTCCCCTGCCTTTAGCTGCCATCCATGTCTTTTGCCCTTCCCCAGTAACCAATCAGATTAAAGCTATGTGTAAAGTGGGAGCACACAGGATCTAAGGGCAGGAGGCTGTCAGAAGCTTGAGAATTGGGCTTCAGGGCACCTACTCAGAAGGATCAGGCCCCCATCTCTGCTGTGTTCCAGACATGTGAAGCCCCAGACACAGGCTACTGGTTTAATGAACTGCGTCCTATCAGTTTGCTCAGGCAGCACAGCTTCCAGCCTTCTTTCAGCGAGGGGGAAGGGGGGAGTGGAGATGGCGCCACACCAGCCCCCATCCTACTGCTCCAGGGCTGAGCGCCCACCACACACTTTCCAATCTCTGTAAAACCAGAACTGAAGATGGCCAAGAGAGCCAGCCACCAGGCGTGCGGGAGTGACAGTGGTTTTGCTGGTACTGTTTTAAACGTTCTCAATGTTCTCACACATGCAAAAGGAGAATTGGGAGAAGGAAACATTTTCAAGAAGGTGGAGTCGTGACACAATAGGTCTCTCCCTCAGAGCGGGGACTAACAAGTGTGGTCTCTTTCCTTGAAAAACATAACACAGTAACTCCACAACACATTTAACCAACACTTATCAACCCTGTCAATACCACCACTAGGTCTCAATCCTACAGAAATGCCAGCTCCTCTGCACCAAGACACACACACACCAGAGTCCACTACTACACAACTTGTAATAGCAGAAAAAACAAAAAAAAGGCAATGTAGCTGTCCTTTCCATAAGTGAAGGGTAAATAAGTTACAATGCAGCCATATAACCACATCTTGGAATACCATGCGGCTGTGAAAAAGAATGAAGATGCCTCATTTAAGCAAACACATGGAACAAAATGCCAGCAGTGAGATACTTGCTAGGATCCTATTTAAGTATGTTTCAAAATGTCTACGTGGACACACACATATGCATATGTGCAAATCCATCTAGAAGGTCTGTAAAGAAAAACACCAACGCGGGGTAACAGTGGTTTGGTGGTGGTGCAGGCTGGCACCTCCCATGCTGCATACATTTCTGCATTGTTTGAGGAGTTTCACAACTAGGGCCACTGGCAGCCTGGGACAGCGAGGGTACGAGAGGGAGGGGTGGGCGTGCTGAGCCACTGGCCTGTGTGTGTCTCTGAACAAAGCACAGGCCACCAACAAGCCTGGCTTTGCCCTGGGTAAAGGAGATCCCACCCAGATGCCCTCTGCTCTGCCAGATGCCCTCTGCTCTGCTTTCCCAGGCAGCAGCATCAGGGAGGACCTGCAGGGAGCCCAAGGGGCGGTGTGCTTGGAAACAAGTCTCTAAAGCCAGAGTGTGCCCTGGGGGAGGGGTCGCAATAATCTGTCAGGATCAAATCCTTGCTTCAGTGGGTAAAGATAAATTTCAGGTGAACCCCACCCAAATTATCACAGGAAATGGCTGACAGAATGTGATCTTACTCTACTTCCCTCCTCCACCCCAAACAGGGCCAGGTGACCACAAACATGCCTCGGGTTCTGCAGGAGGGAAGGCTGGGCACGCCACTGTGCCCACCTTTCCATGGGACCCCCAGAACCCAGAAAGGGCCCAGCATGCAGAGAGATGTTTTGACTCCAGCGCTGGAGGGAAAACAGGGCACAGAGCAGTTTTGAAAACAATTCTCTGTGGGAACAAATAGGTAGAAATGTATTCAGGGTCTCTCTGCCAAGAAAGACCAAGTGGCCATTCTGCTGGGGGCCTGCCAAGTCTCCCCATTCAGGACAACACGCAGGACTCTCCAGAGGCAGGATCTGGGCAACCAGTCTGCCCTCAAGAGGGCCCCAGCCTGACCTATCGAAGGTGAGTCCTTGAATTCCTGCATCAAAGCACCTCAGGTTCCAAGAAAATCTGCTCCTGGTCTTGCTGCTCCCCTAAGCCCCTCTTAGCAAACTTTCCAGGTCTGGACTCGGAAGTTCTAATTGGCCAAATAATAAAGTAGCACGAGCTGCAAAGATGTTTTTCTTGGTTTTGTGTTATTACGCATTGTTATAATATCAACAATTACCTAAATGTGACAGAGACCAATGTGTCCACAGGATAACTCCTGGAAGAGTGGGAGTGGGAAACCACACTGCTACACAGCTAACCAGGACAGAAAGCTCTTAGCATGCAGCTGTTCAGAGAGTGGGGGTGGAAAATCAGAGCAGAGCCACGGCCAAGGGACCACAAGTGCCTCCAGAGTCAAGGCTGACCCTTGCACTTCTCAAAGGGTCTTCACATACTTGACCTCATGTCCCTGAAGACTTTGCAGGTGGTCAGGGCAGACATCACCAAGTTGCAGGGAGATCTGGGAACCGGTCCCTGGTCACATAGAGGAACAGCACAGAGCAGCTGGCCACCTTCCTGGTTGTGATATTCACCCTCTGCCATGAAATTACTGTGGATCCTGGAAATGCGGGAAGTGGGGCGGGGGCACCTTCCCGAGCCTAATGGAGTACGGGGCCCGGCATGACCTCAGTCACTGACTGCAGAGACCCCACAATGCTGCTAGAGGCCCACAAACCACGGACACCTCAGAGCCCACGGCTGCAGCAAAGCCATCACCTTGTGCCCTGCCTTCTCAGTCATCCCTGAGGCCTGCCTGGGTTTCTCCCTTCTGCAAGATGCTCTTTTCTCCCCCAACAGCAAGCTCCTCTTCTCCCTTGAGGAACACCAGTTACTTATGCTCTGCACACCTGGGAAGGGGCTGGAAATGGGCTTCCCAGGGGTGCCCTCCACCAGATGCTGAACCAGACTCCCTCCAGAGGCAGGTTTCTGGGCAGTTCAACTCTCATAATGGGTCACCTGGGGTACCGGTAACATGCACTCCCAACTGCACGCTGGAACTGTGTGTACTAGGTCGGCATCAGGGGCCCGGAAATCTGCATTCTTCCCAACTCCCCGCCACCCCGCTGCCGGAGCCCTGTGCACTTCCAACTTGGAGGCCGGCTTCCACCCTGGAGGTAGGACTTCTGATGTCTGCACACCTGAAGGGTGGAATAGTTTCTCTGCTTCAAGAACGAGCACTGTAGCACACTGCAGACACTCAAAGGGTTGGTCCCGTGCTCTTTTGCCTGCCTTCGGTTTCCAGGCGCTCCGAGGAAACTGGCCCCACCTACAGCGGGAGGCCCGGGTCTCCAGAGCCCCTGCGCCAATATTCTAGTCAAGAGGCTCGCGCGGGGCCAGAGCCTGAAGCGGGAGATGAACCCACCAGGAAGACATCCCAAGGCTGAGGCCCTGACAAGCCGGCCCCGCCCACGACGGCGAGCCCCTCCCCTCGGCCACCCCCCTCCTCAATTCCCCGCTACCGGTGCTGCCGAGTGGCAGGCCACCCTGACAGAGGCCGTAGAAAAATTTCCCAAACATTAAGTATCCTGCCCAGCACGGGCATCATCCCCCAAAGCGGATCTCAACCCCAGCCACGCCCCAATCGCTGCCCCCACCCGATACTCAGGATCCACCTGGAGCCGAGCTGAGCCTAGCCTGGCCCCTCCCCCAGGGCCACACCCACCCTGCAGCCGCGTCCCGAGCTGAACTCTGAGCCCACACTGACTCCCACCCCCAACCTGAGCCCCCACACCCTTAACTGACCCCGAATGCCTAGAAATGGCCCCGCTCTCACCCTCTACCCCATCACCTGCCACGTGGTTTGGAGCGGCCACAAAAGCCTCCCTGGGGAAAGTTAGTCCGAGATCTGAAAGCCTCACCTGCAGACCTTGGGCCCTTTCAGTTCCAAATGGTAAAAAAAAGGGGCCTTCAGCTCTAGGGTATCCAAGGCTGCAGCTTCTTTTTATGCCTTTTAATCACTATGTGAACTATTTTACAAATGAGAGACCACCACCCTTGGTCACAAGACAACAGTATTCAGTAGACGGGTTTTGAGCCTGCCCCCAAGGTAGAAGAGGTGAGTGTCACAGAAGAACTCACGTGAGCTCAGAGGAAGCATACAATTCTTTACACCAAAATGGGGAAGGATTGCCGTCCATTAAAATATTTTCATCTTTATGTTAAAAACGAAACAAAAAGGGGGGAGGGAACCGCCACAGATGAATCAACTACAAAGTATCGGGCCGCGCGTGGGAACTGTTGCCGCTGGGCTGGCGGGGGCGGGCGGTGATCCCCAGGCTGGAGGCTCAGCGCCCGCCCTGGTGCAGGTGCCGCCCGCCCCGCACCGGCCCAGGGCAGGTGAGAGGTGGGCAGGCGAGAGGGCAGCACGGAGGATGGGCAGCGGCCAGGGCATTCCTTTCCGGAGAGAGCCTCGAGGCCGAGGAGCCTAGGGCCGGGCGCGCCCCCGCCGGGCCGGATGGGCGGGGGCTCCCACAAAGAGCCGCAGGCGGGGAGCGGGACCCGGGACCGCCCCCCGCATCGCCAAGCGCCGCCGCTGACTTTGGTTACGACAAATTAAACCTTAGAGCGCTGGAAAAATTACAGGAAGAAGAGAGCGAAGAATGTGCCGAGTGGCGAAGGAAACCTTGTCCCTGCGTGAACTTCGCCCGCCGCGCGCCGGGGCCGGCCCCTCCCCTCCTGAGCGCGCGCCCGGGCAGCGGGGGAGGAAACGAGGAGGGACCCCGGAGAGCGTCCCCTGCCCCCGCTCCGGGCGCCCCACCGTCACGAGTGCCGCCTGCGGTCCACACCCAGGCCGCCCGCACCTGCCCGCGCCGCCTCCCGGCCGGGAGGGGTCCCCGCCCCCAGCCCAGATGACTATATCCGCCCCCGCGGCCCCACCCGAGCGCGCCCGGGGAGGGGGCGTGCCCGGCGGGGGCGCGGTCGCCTGGCGGGCGCCGGCTCCGAGAGCCAAGACCCGCCTCGCGCGACGCGCGGGGCCAGCCGCGGGTCGGAGCGGCAGGGGAAGGGGCGAGGCCCCGGGCGTTCCGGCCCGCCCGGCCCCCACCTCGCGCCCCATCGGGGACTCCGGGGGCGTGGTCGGGCAGCTCGCGCCGACCCCGTCCGCGCGATCCGGGCGCCCGCGCCGCCCCACTGACCTGTGTGAGTTCTCAGGTGCGCCTTGAGGTGCGAAGATTTCCCGTAAACTTTCTCGCAGCCCGCGTAGTGGCACTTGTGCTTCCTCTGCGGGGACTCGAGGTCGGCGCGACTTCGGCCCCGCCGGACCCTTTGTCTGAGGCCGGGCTCGCCGCTCCCCGCGGGCCCCGGCTCCCGCTCGGGCTCCAGCCCCGCCTCGGGCTCCGGCTCGCTCCACGCCGGGCTGGGGGGCGCGGCCGCCGCGCCTTCGGCGCCGGGGGAGGTGGGCTCGGGGGCGGGCGGCGGCAGGCGGCAGGGGGTCCTCGCCTTCCGGGCCGCGGCGCCCTCCCTGCGCTCCGCCGGGGCGGGCGCCGGCGCTTGCTGGTTGAGGTCCGCTAGGATCCGCGCCACCACGAAGAGCGAGGCGCTGTCCTTACCGTCGCGGCGCTCCTCGACGCGGGGCAGCGTGGGGGTGGCGGCCACGGCCGCGCCCTCGGGCCGGGACTCCGGCCCCTCCCGCGGCCCGTGCACGACCGCGCGGCTCGACATGGACACGAGGCACTCGGCGGCGAAGTGGTCCACATAGGCGGCGGCTGCCATGCTGCGGGCTGGGGCCGGCGGCGGTGCTCTTGCTGCGAGTCGTCAGCCGCGCATCCGCACCCACGGCCTCGGGAGAGCGGGCGGGGGGCGGGGGCGCGGCGCGCCCTCTCCTCGGGCTGGGCTGGGCTGGGCTGGGCGCGCAGCCGCCTGTGCCGTCACCCGCGCGGCTCCGCGTCTGCGAGGCGCCGGCCCGGCCGGGCACCGAAGAGTGAGCGCATGGGGCGCGCGGGCGACTGGGGTCCCCGCGCGGCGTCAGGGGCGGCCGGTTCTAAGGATGCCGAGCGGCAACGTTAGGGACCACCTCGCCAAGTCGCGGCCGCAGCTTCGCCGCGCATTGTGGCAGGCGGGACAGCTGCCGTGCGCGCCGCGGCTCCGTGTGGGCGGCCCGGCCCCGGGGGTGGGCGGGGCCGGGGCCACATCTGGACCCGACGTCAGCCCCCAGCCACATCCTGGCGGCGCAGGTTACAGGCGGCGGCGGCTGCGGGGAGCTGCGCGCGCGGAGGGGGCGGGGACCCCAGAGCGCGCACCGGCGGAACGGAGCGGTCGCGTGCCCGCGCCTGGGCAAGGGGGCGTGACCGAGGGCCGGGACAGACGCCATTGGTCCGTGAGTGCACGGCCAGGCCAATCCGAGCCGTTAGAGGGGCGTGCCCGGTCCCGGGCCCTGCGCGCGCCAGTGGGCGTGTCCCCTGGGCCGGTGGGAGGAGGGGCGGAAACTGGAGCGGGGCGCGCTGACGCATGACGTCCGGGGGCGGCGGGCCGGGTAGTCGCGGCGCGGAGCGGCTGCTTGTACCCCCCGCGGCGGGGACACAGCGAGCACTTCTCTGCCGGAGCTTTTATGTGGTGACAGCCTTGGCCCCCGGCATGGAGGGGAGCGGTTTCTGGAGGGCGCCATTTGTTCCTCCCGCGATGGGCGCCGGCGGGGAGGCGTGTCTGCCCGGCCGGGCGCGGGGCTGCCTAGGGGCGGAACGCACTCGCGCCGCGCCCTCCGCCGCCGGCTTGCCGGGTGGCCGCGCCTAGAGCCTCAGGCCGCTCGCCCTCCCCACGCCCCTGCCTTGCAGAGCTCCGGGAGTCCGGGCGGGGCAGCTCCCGCGGGAGGGACAGACTCGGGCTCGTTCCTGGGGTCCGGGGTGCGGCCGCGCTGCCCTTCAGCTCGGGTCAGCCCGAGCAGGACTGGCCTCGGCTGGCGGTGAGCCTGGCAGCCCGGGTGGCGCGCCCACCGCGGCCTGTGCCTCCAGAAGCGAACTACGTGCCAGGGCGGCCGGCGCCGCTGCTGAGGGAACGCGGGGCCCCTTCCTCCCCATCCCGCCGCAGGCCCGCTGCCAACTCTTCTAGGCTGCCCCTCTCCCACCGCGGTCGGGGGGGCTTCAAACGCCACCAGCTGCGAGGACCCCGCCCACCGCGCCCCACCCGCCCGCTGTCTGGGCCTCCCGGAGGAAATGCTCGGCTGCGCCCAGCCCGCGCCTCCCAGCCCGGGCTGGGCCACCTTGCCCTTGACTCTCACGGTAACCCCTACCCCAGCCCGCGGCCCCAGCCATTCTCCAGGCCTGGGCCGTCCTCGGAGACGCCGGTGAATAACTTCCCACCGCCGCGGAACCGGGCTCAGCAAACCCCCTACTGCCTCGCCCCGTTGCATTGTGCTTAATGGACGTTCGAAGGAGTCAGCCACCCTTGCTGTGTTCTGAGAGGAGCCTGGAGAATGAAGGAGCCCGGGCACTCACCCTCAGTGGACCCTCGCAGTGGGAGGGGGGTGTCATTCTTCTCTCAGAATTAAGGTTAATAGCCGAGTTCGAGTTCTCACCAAATTAATTTGGGGTTGGAGCTCAGTAAGACTGGTTTTCAGGTAACCGACGAGGGACCGAAACGGCCATTCTGGGTTGCGTGTTACGGTGAACAGCAAACTGCATGGATGTTTGAGCACCCTCAGTATCTGTAACTAAAACCCTGAAATGCGGTCTCGCTGATTGAGTTGCTACCCTCTGGGGAGACTAAAGGTGCTGGACTGGGTCTGGTCCCTTTAGGAGGGTCTGTGCTTGGTAGAAAGTAATCGTGTTTCTTCCAGGCAGATTGTGTTGATGACATTTAATAAGAGACGTGTGTCCTGACCAAGTAATGATTCGGAATGTTCCTCTATTCCCACCACATGTCACAATTAGTCACTTCTTAAGGAAGGAGTGGTCCTACACCAGCTTATCAGCCACCCATACCCTCCTGGCCCCTTTCCAGCCAGCAGAATTCTCCCCAATCTTCAAGGTGCCACGTCTCCCCACTGGGTCACCCCAGCCGGCATACACAATGGTAGGCCGTCTAGAGTCTGCACTATTCTAGTATTAGGCTACTACAGCCATGAACAAAACAGGCCTGCCTTGGGTGAGGGGATGCCCTACGTGGTCAAGGGTCCTCTGCATTGATGCACCCCCCTAAGAGTTTTCCAAGAATGTGGGTCCCAAAGAATTTTGACTGTGCTCTGTGGCATTCTGTATAGAAAACTGAGCTCCTTGGCTGGTTTCTCAAAAATCCACTCATTTGATGATTGTCGTGGTGTTCACTGACTTTATCCCAAACCTACATGGAAGGGTCTTCCGGACAGACAGCTCTTCCCCAAAGAAAATCTCCTCTTAGCTAAGAGTCCATGTTTTCTTTTCTAAGTAAGATTTTGACAGAGATGGCATATGTATATGTGAGGGCTGGGTCGTCTCGTTTCAAATGGAAGCAACAGAAAAGCAGAGCAGGTGTGTCTGGGGCGTATAGAGACTGAAGGCTGAAAGGGTGGTTGAGTTTCTGGGTAAAGTTGGTGGATGGTTAGTATGTATTGACTTTAACTTCCTTCTGGAGCATTTGTTAGAAGGCAGAAATCCACAAAGACAGGGAGAACAAGAGAGGAAGTAACAGCAACGCAGTTCTTGAAGCTAAAATACTTAGCAGATCCAAGAAAATGAAACCCTGAGATAGTAGCTAGGAAGGAAAGCTAAGAACATACTCCATGGAATCCCCCAGAAGGTTCACTAATGGGTGGCACTACGTACCTCTGAATGTGAGAGTAAACGGGGGTGAAAATAAGATTGGCAGAACGTCAGCTTGAGGAGCACTCAGATGCCCATATCTGCACCCCAATTTCATGCAGCCTGACAACTGCCCCTTCCTTGTTCTGACGAAAGGCTGGATATTTATGACCTGAAAAAACTAAAAGGCAGCGTCTTGGGTAGGTGGACACCAGGCACAATTAAGGACAGAGGTACGGTAATAGGATCAGGGGATTAAATACACACATGGATACTGGATGCTGAGACCCACAAACCCCTTTTTGGGATTTCAGAATGCAAGCAGCCAGGAGACTAGAAGGGTCTTTCCTGGGGTAGCCAACCATGCCAAGGGGAAACACCCAGACATTCTAACATTTGTGGCTGCCCAATTAAACAGCCAGCTCACCCTATAGGGAAGGCCACAGTTAACACTGCCACTCATGTGCACAGAAGTTCTCATCAGCCTCTCAGTCCCTCCCAGGCCAAGGACAAGCAGGGAGCCAGAGCTGACCGGCATCTCAGGAAACCCTGTGTCATGAAATACAAAGCCACAATAGAGTTTTTAAAAAGCAAGTTGGAAGAAACAGACTATGCAGAAAGAAAGAAACATCAACAAAACCATCAATAATGTCATTAAATTTTAAAAGACATACAACCTGTGAAGGGAGAACATATATAAAGAAACATTCAGGGGAAAAAAAGTGTTCTTGAGATGTTTACAAGGTAACAGAAATGTAAAAGTAAAAAACCTCCTTGAAAGTAGAACCAAAATTTTTTTTAAAAAATGGAAAGTAGAGAAAAGCTAAATTAGTGGACCAACCAAAAAAATTATTGATCAATGAGTAGGGACCCAAACAGGTGATCAGAGAAAACACAAGAGAGAAAATCGTCAATGAATTATTAATCCAAGAGAGGCCTTCACGACATATGCTGAAAGGGAGAGAGCCCAACACAGTGGGAAAGAATAGCTCTACGCCAAGGCATATCATTGGTGAGTTTCAGAATGCAGGGGACAAAAGTGTCCTAACATTAAAACAGGTCACCTACGGATAGTCGGGTCAGAATGACTGTGGGCCTCTCCACAACAACCAGTTGAAGTTAGAAGGAAGGGAACAAAGCCATGGGAAATAAATGTAAAGGAAAATTATTTTCCAGCCTTCACCCAGCCAAACTATAAACCAAGTATTTTTCAGACGCATGAGGTTTCAAAAAATTTATCCCCCATGCATCCTTTCTCATAGTAGGAAGCCACCAGAGATTATACTTCATCAAAACAAAGATGTAAACCAAGAAAGCAGGAGACGTGATCCACAAAGCAGGGAAGTCATTGCAGGATGGAAGGGAAAGTAAGTCCCAGGTGATAGCTGCCCAGCCAGGTGCAGAGTGTCAGCAGCCCAGGCTGGAGCAGATCGGCAGCTCCAGGAACACGTCTTCAAGAGGTAGAATGAACAGAGTCCCTGTATCAGTCAGGAGAGGCTGGGCCACACTGCAAAGCTCAAAGGTTTATTTCTGGCCATGCTGCGTGTCCATAGGGAGGCACCTGGGGACAGCAGGTTGATGGAGCAGCCTCTGTCTAGAATGTGCTGGTTGCCGCACAGAAGACAAGGGATAGCATGGACCCAAGGGTGTTAACTATCCCTTCTTTCCCACACACGAAATACATTTTACCCCTCCCTGGGTGGGCCTGACCCATCTCACATGCCTTTTTAGTCTGAGTCTAGAGCCCAGAGACAGGATAACAGGAATTTGAGGTGAGGGACATTCTATGGCAGCCAGTCAAAGCCCAGGACCCCCGTGGGAGGAACAGTGGCTTCTTCATGTGGCTCATGTGGTTCCTCTTGGTTTAGAGACCTACGGCCTAAAGATGAATTGTCTGGGCCCCCGCTGCTCGTATGCACACCCAATGCTGAAAGTGCAAAGAGACAGAATAACACAACTAACAGCCTAATTCAGAAAAGGGAGGAGGGGGAGACACACAGTAGACAGTATCCATAGCAATCCTGAAACCCTGCTGGGCAGATACTGCCCCCTGCCCTAAAGTGAGACTAGTCCTTGAATAGCCTCAAATCTGCTCACTGTGGAGTTTGAGGATGGGGCAGTCAGGGCTTTACTCCACCCTCGGGAAGTTTTTCCTTTTGCAATTTATATCTCACAGTTCTGGAGGCCGGAAATTGTATTCCAGCCACAGATTGTATTAATCCTAGTTTTGGGCACTGCTAGTTTCTCAAAAATGTAGTTAACATCTTACCTAGTCTCTTTGCTTTCACTTGGTTTCATTGTATCTACTCACAGTACTTTTCAAGACATGCCTGTCTCTCAACTTAATTGCAGATCCTCTGAGCCTCTCAGTCTTTGATGGTAGAGTAACACCCTTAGTCTCTTTTCCCTGAACCTTTTAAGTTATCCAAGGTGACAATTTACTAAATATTATGCCATTCAATACATGGATGGCCATGCTTCGAGCCTTCAGAATCCATTTTCCCACTGCCTGCTTGATCAGCCACATATCTTGTTTTCTGTTGCAGCAGTGCCCCATTCCTGGTTACTATTCTCTGGACCAGTCAGGATCAGCTAAGTTATGCTACAGTAACAAATAGTTCCTGAAGCTCAATGGCTTAAAATAACAAAAGCCTAATTCTCAGTACATTGAGGGTTGGATGGAGACGTTGCTGTCTGTCATTATCATCCTCACCCCAGCACTCAGATCAACAAAGCAGCCACTCTCTGACAGTCACCATGGCAGAGGAAAAAGGGACTTTCTGTAAGGTCTTGCATTGGCACAGAAGTGACACACATCATTTCTGCTCATAACTGGTCATATGGACCGTCTGCTAAAGACTGCATGTTTGTGTTTCTCCAGGATTCGTATGTTGAAATCCTAATCCCAATATAATGATATTTGGAGGAGAGATCTTTGAGAGGTAATTAGGTAATGAGAGTGGAGCCCTCATAGTGGAATTAGTGTCCTTAGAAAAGAGACCCCAGGCAGGGCGCAGTGGCTCTTGCCTGTAATCCCAGCACTTTGGGATGCTGAGGCAGGTGGATCACTTGAGGTCAGCAGTTCAAGACCAGCCTGGCCAACACGGTGAAACCCCATCTCTACTAAAAAAAATACAAAAATTAGCCAGACATGGTGGTGCACACCTGTAATCCCAGCTACTTGGGAGGCTGAGGCAGGAGAATCACTTGAACCCAGGAGGCAGAGGTTGCAGTTAGCTGAGATCGTTCCACTGCACTCCAGCCTAGGTGAGCAAGACTGTCTCAAAAAAGAAAAAAAAAGAAAGAACAGAGACCCCAGAGTACTCCCAGAGTACTCCCTGGCCCCTTCCACCATGTGAGGTTATAGTAAGGAGATGGCCTTCTATGAACCAGAAAGTAGGGCTTTGCCTGACACCGGATCTGCCAGCTCCTTGATCTTGGACTTTCCGGCCTCCAGAACTGTGAGATACAAATTTTTGTTGTTCATAAGCCTCCCAGTTTCTGGTGATTATGTAATAGCAGCCTGAACAGACTAAGACACCATCCTGTCCACAGGGAGCCAGGAGTAGACCCATGATGTCCCCAAAAGGCAAGGAACTGAACTATTCAGGGACACATTAAGAGTTTCTCCAATACCCAATCTGACTTGAGAAGATTGAGAAAACTGGTGAAGGGTTTGGGATTGAAATAATAAGTAGACAGAAAACTAAATGAAGAGAAA
This sequence comes from Homo sapiens, assembly GCF_000001405.40. Classification (NCBI taxonomy): domain Eukaryota; kingdom Metazoa; phylum Chordata; class Mammalia; order Primates; family Hominidae; genus Homo; species Homo sapiens. The sequence continues at coordinate 31,320,492 of NC_000015.10, read as the reverse complement.
AGACCATAAAAAGCTCCAAAGAAAACAAAAGGAAAGTCCGTTACAGTTGACTACTTGGCACAGTTGCAAATAGTGTTTTCATAATGGTAATAATGAATACTAAACACTGATCTTATAAGCTTTTCTGTATGGATCTGGTAGGGGAATTGGGCACTCATGTGTACACATGGCACAGGGGTGGGAGGGAAGTCCCTGTCTACATAATGGGAAGTCAATAGACACGGCTCCAAACTGAAAAACCGAGAAGCAGCGATGCAATCGTGCTGTGGTTGGTAGAATTCTAAGATGGCACCAGCATCCTGCCTGTGGTCTGTACTCACCTTTCTCCCAGTTAGTCAAACACTGAAGGGGTTTTGCAGATGTGATCAAGGTCCCAAATCAGTTGACTGGAAGATAGGGAGACGGTATCTGGGTGGGCCTGTACTAATCCTGTAAACCCTTTCAATCTGGGTCAAAGGTCAGAGACAGGGAGCTCAGAGAGAGTAGAAGCAAGACAGGGATTTGAAGTGAGGAAGAGTCCGTATTGCTGGCTTTAAAGACAAAGGGGCCACATGGCAAGGAACTCCAGCAGCCTCTGGTAGTTGACAGTGGCCCCCGGATGGCAGTCAACTGAAATGGAGACCTCAGCCCTGTAACCACAAAGAAGACTCTTACCACGTGGAGCTTGCACAAGGACCCAAGCTGCAGTGGACACAGCCTGGGCAATACCTTGATTTTAGCTTCTTGAGACCCTGAGCAGAAACCCAGCTGCACTTTGCCCAGGCTTCTGATCACAGAACCTCGAGATGCTAAACCGGTGCTGTCTCCAGCCACTAAGCTTGTGCTGTTTTGTTATGCAGCAGTGGAAAACGAATACCCATGCTGTTTGAGTCGTGGAAATAATTAGGTAAAAGAGGAAAAAGAGATAATTTCTAGGGATGGAAAGGGGAGGAAAGGAGGGAAGGACTGCTGTGTTTCCTAACAAACCTTATAGAATGACTTGACTCTTCAAGTGATATGCATGGTTAACTTAGATGTAAGGAAAAACAAAAATCAAAAGATGGGGTCAGAGACTACTAGCTGCCCAGTGAAATCTCTCCTCTCCACAGTTGCGACTCAGTTCACTTCCCGGACACCTTTTTGTTTGTTTGTTTGTTTTTTGACAGAGCCTCGCTCTGTTGCTCAGGCTGGAGTATAGTGGCACAATCTGCTCACTGCAGCCTCTGCCTCCTGGGTTCAAGCGATTCTCCTGCCTCAGTTTTCTGAGTAGCTAGGATTACAGGTGCATGCCACCATGCCCGGCTAATTTTTGTATTTTTAGTAGAGACGGGGTTTCACCGTGTTAGCCAGGTAATCCGCCTGCCTCAGCCTCCCAAAGTGCTGGGATTACAGGCGTGAGCCACAGCACCCGGCCTTCCCAGACACCTTGGTAGTTAGTTGTGAGCAGGTGACTAATTCTCAACATGGGAGTATGAGTGGAGGGGCTGCCTGTCACCTCTGCACTGGGGCTTTTAAGAGAGCAGGTCTCCATGCTGTAGCTTCCCTTCCCTGCCTGCCATTTGCATGCTTATGGCGACAGAGCTCTAGGGGATGATGGAGCCACCAAATAGAACGAGCCTGGGACGCAAAAGTCTTTTGGCCAAGAACATGCTCCCGAACCATCACTGTGTTTGAACCACAATATACGCTGGGGTCCACCTGTTACTGGGACTTAGCCTACCGTAATCAATGTGGAAAATGGGACAGGGAAGAAAAACAACAGGTGCCAGGTAGAGTGGGGCTGGACTTTTTTCTGGAGTGTGGCTCTCTAGGCTTCCTGGTGACAGCCAGGCTGTGAGATGCCCACTCTGGGCACCGTCCTCCCTTTCTCCCAGGGTAGCCATTGCCTGCAAGCCCTGCTTCTGCTCACAGAGCCCAGCCTGGAGCTGAGGGTGGTTTGGTTTATCCAGGATGTCTCATAGTGTCAGCGCTCAGTGCCCCCCAATTCAGAGGGCAGGCAATGTCCTCCTCAGCCCAGGAGTCATGTGTAAGTGCTCAAGCCCCCCACACACTCTCCTATCTGCTTTTGACCTGTCTCCTAATGTACTCATAATGTCACCAAGGAATCCTTCCATCCAAGGAGGGCTTTGACCCCAAAGCTTTTGCAGCCCTCAAGCCTGACCATTTCAGAATAGGGTTGTTGGATGAGGAACTTCTGAGAAAAACCTCATCTCAGTCACTGATGGTTTGGCGTTGTACAAAGAATGAGCCATTTTCTGTCGTATGACATGGGATCGGGGTAGAAAACTCTGTTTTCATGCCCTGTCTCCCATTAGTCCAGAGTGCAAAATAATTGATCAAGTTCTAAAGGACGAAAGCCAACTTCACATCTGGTGCACATTTACACGGGGAAAGATTAAAACCAGCAATGCTTCTGAATCCGAGCCATCGAAACACTGGAGAGGTATTTACAGTGTCTGCAACAAATGTACAAGGGAAGCATGTTAAAATGACGGACGATCCCTTCTAGGCTTGCCAGAGCAGATGGCTCCCACTCCTAAACATGAAAACTGACATGGGATCCCTGCCCTCCGTCGTGATCTGGGACGATCTCCAGCCTTGACGACAATTATCCATTCTACGTGTCCCCTTCCACTCTCACTCCTTGGTTGTCTGCCATTCGTAACTGGTGATCCTCTCCCCAGTTAGGTCTCAGGGTCAAATGCTGCGTTTTATCCCATTGACTCTGAGATTCCTGCCAAGCCTCTGATCAATGGCAATAAACCCCCACCCATCAGCGCTCACCAGGCACATTGACACACACAGGAACTCTACACAGAAGGTGCCGTTCATTCACATGTCCAGGTGAGAAAACTCAGCCTCCATCAGGCCAAGAGACTCCGAGAGCCACACGTAGCAAGATGCAGAGCCCAGGCTCTTGGCCTAGAGTCCTTTCACCTCACACTGGTGCCCCCACTGCCAGCCTACAGGAAGCTAGCCAGTTAACGCAGGGACTTACCAAATCAATTCAGGGAGAGCCAGGCTGGTTCATTCTGGGCTGTCATGGGAATCCATTCTAATGAGTGTTCTTATTAATGGGATTGGGAGGATTTATCATGAACAATGTAGGCTATGATTGCCTTGAATTCTGGGCTGTTTGCATCTAGAGCTGAAAGATGGCAAGGATTAGCCGTTCCGATACACATGAAGTTTTTCTTTTTGTTACTGCTAAAGTGAGTACCAGTCAGTAGCATCTAGGCACCATCAAATCACAGGAAGTGGAGCTGGAAATGAACTGCTAGGTCACTCATGGTCAGGTTGAGCTCAGCAATCAGCACACATGGTCTGTTGTTAACCTGGGGGCGGCAGGCAGTGAATCCTCAATCTATCATGTTCTTCATGTATTCAGTTAGTTTTATGGGCCCTGGGCTGTCTTTGTAGGACAGTATATTGAAGAGTCAGGAGCTCTTGCCCTGATTTTATAGTTCAACAAATTGATTTAAAATATTTTCAGAATATAGGTCTCAGTAGTTCTTTCTATCTGAGCCTCTTTGAACTGGAGCTTTCTGATTTGGTATGGGGTGTGAACTTGTTTCCTGTGTAGAGCAGAGAACTGCACCAAGAGGGATGTTAATATTCCAGGAATAAAAAAAAGACTGTTTTCCCCTCAATGAAAGAGAAAGGAGAAGAAGTTAAAAATCAGATTTAATCATATTACAGGAAACTTGAGAGCAGCCACAAGGCTGCCATTTCCAACCTGAAGTCACTTCCTGAAAGTCCAGAAATCATTCCCACTGGAAACCACTGACTGGGACCCTTTGAGGGGTCTGCATTGGGTCTGGTGGGTGGATACAAGGTAGATCCTTAAACAACTCCTCTCCAATGGGGTAAGAATGCCCATGGCTCTCAGCCAGCTCTGGGGTCAGTCACCAGCCATCTCCCCTTGGCGCCCGGTGCCTTGGATGAGCAGCCATTCAGGAAATAGGTGCCCAGTCAATGGGGGAATTCTCCAGCCACATCTGTGGTCTCCTTGAAGTCTCTCCTCAAAGACCTTTATCTGCCCAGGTGTCATTATGACGCGGTAATCCTGGACTGAGACAGCTCAGCTCAGGAACTGCAGCCTGGATTCCTGGGCCTGCTGACAGTGAGACATCCAGGGGAGCTGCCCATGAATGTAACCACCCCAGCGGTGTGCACACATCTCTACTACAGTGGCTCCACCGCGTGCCTGCAACACAGAGAGGACCGGCTGGCATGGGGGCTGCCCCTGATCTCAGGGAGACCTTCAGTGCAAGCAAGGAGGGACCAGGGATCCCCTGAGCTCATGGCCCTGCTGAGCTGAAGGAACCCCCTGCTTCAAGGCAGAGATTGTTCATACAGTGTTGTTGCAGTTTCTTAAAAAATGGCCAGTCCGGGCACGGTGCCTCACATCTGTAATCCCAGCACTATGGGAGGCTGAGGCAGGCAAAATCATTTGAGGTCAGGAGTTCGAGACCAGCCTGGCCAACATGGTGAAACCCCATCTCTACTAAAAGTACCAAAAAAAAAAAAAATTAGCTGAGCATAGTGGTGCACGCCTGTAATCCCAGCTACTCAGGAGGCTGAGGCAGGAGAATTGCTTGAACCCGGGAGATGGAGGTTGCAGTGAGCCAATGTTGCACCACTGCACTCCAGCCTGAGCCACAGAGTGAGACTCGGTCTAAAAAAAAAAACAAAATGGCCACACACTTATTTGATGCTCCTGCCATCGAGTCTGGGCCACTGGTGACTGCTTTGGCCTAGAAGGGCAGCCTTGTGACTTCCAAGGCTGGGTCATAAAAGGTGGGGCAGCTTCCTCCTGGCTCCCTGGGCACGGGCACTCACACATACCTCTGCTTGGGGCACTGAGCTTCATGTAAGAAGTCCAACTACTCAATCTGGTGGGTGTTTGGGGACGGGCCAGCTGAGCCCAGCTTTCCCTCCATCCCTGACACAGTGCCAGGCATGTGCATGGGGCAGCAGGTCCTTAGCTTTCCAGCCCTGGGTGTTCCAGCCCTGATCTGTTGGAATCATCCAGCCTTACAGACCTCCCAGCTGAGGCCTCAAATGGGAGGAGCAGAAACAGATCATCCCTGCTGGGCACTGTCCAAATTCTTGACCCACAGAAGCAATGGTTATTGCTTTAGGCCATTACGTTTGGGCTTGTTTGTTACACAGCAACAGTAACTGGAACAAACAACTTGGTTTATAGTTTCTTTTTTCTTTTTCTTTTTTTTTTTCTTGAGATGGAGTCTCCCTCTGTCACCCAGGCTGGAGTGCAGTGGCACGATCTTGGCTCACTGCAACCTCTGTCTCCTGGGTTCAAGCGATTCTCCTGCCTCAGCCTCCCGAGTAGCTGGGACTACAGGCACACGTCACCACACCCACCTACTTTTTTTTTGTATTTTTAGTAGAGACGAGATTTCACCATGTTGGCCAGGCTGGTCTCGATCCCCTGACCTCGTGATCCACCTGCCTCAGCCTCCCAAAGTGCTGGGATTACAGGCGTGAGCCACCGCGCCCAGCCTATAGTTTCTATAAACCAAGAAACTACTGGTCAAGTGCTCAAACACAAGAAAAGGATCCCTTTCAACCCTGGGGGGAGCAAATGTAGTCAACAGACAGGCTCCAAACTGAAAAACTGAGAAGCAGTGATGCAATCGTGCTGTGGCTGGCAGAATTCTAAGATGGCCCCAGGATCCTGCCTGTGGTCTGTACTCACCTTCTTTCTCCCAGTTAGTCAAATACTCGGTGTTTCTGTGAAGGGGTTTTGCAGATGTGATCAAGGTCCCAAATCAGTTGTGGGGGAACAACCGGTGCTGCTGGCCTTGGGTCTGACGTCTGCACTTGACGGGTGGGCTAAGGCATTTTCACGGGGATTTGACCTATACCACGTTTGACTTGGGGACCGACTTGAGACTTCCCAGTACTTGCGGCTGCCGGGTGGGTCCCCGCTGGTGAGCTATCTGCCTCCTCACAGCCAGCTTCCTCTGAAGGGAGGAGGGGTGCCCATCCCACACCACTCTTCCACCTGGCCACTGTCCACGTGGGGTCCTTGCGGCCCAGTCACCTCCTCAGGGAGATGACAGGGATGATGGCTGTCTCAGACCTGGCCCCTCTGACACAGTCTCCATAGACCCATGCTTCAGTACCTGCCTTATTGTATCATTATTTAAATGGAAAAGTACTTAAAAGCATAATAAGTTAAAAATTGCTGATAACCTTCATTTTCTTCAGGAAAGAACCATTTCTTCACTCTTTTCTGCCATCAACAGACTAGTTTTCTCTTTTTACACATTATGACGGCCACTGCTAATTGTTTACTGTTAGGCAGCTATTGCTGCATAACCAAATACCCCAAAACGTAGTGGCTTAAAGTAACAATAAACATTTACTACCATGTTTGCAGTTTCTGTGGATTTGGGAGTGGCTACAGTGGGGGATGCTGGCTTGGGGTCTCTCATGAGATTATAGTCATGACATTGACTGGGGCTGCTGTTGCCCCAGATTGGGGTTGGAGAATCTGCTTCCATGACAGTAACTCACACAGCTGGAAAGTTAGCACTGGCTGTTAGTGGGAAACCTCAGTTCCTTCCCACTTGGACTTTTCCACAGAGCTGCTTGAGCATCCTCATAACATGGCAGCTGGCTTTCCTGACCTAGAGCAAGTGATCAAGAGGGAACAGCTGTTCTTTTTATGGCCTAGCTTCAGACATCACAGAGCATCACTTTTACCCTATTTATTAGTTGGCTCTTCTGAGTTACTAAGTCTGGCCCAGATTCAAAGGGAGGGAAATTTGGCTCTGCCTTTTGAAGGGAGAAACTTCCAAACATTTGGAGACATCTTTCAAAACCACCACACCTGTCCAGTATCTGTTATTCCCTTCCTTCTGTAACTGTATTCTAAGCAGCAAGGTACCTGGCTAAAAAACATTTCCCAGCCTCCCTTGAAAGAATTGGAGGTTACTGAGATATAAACAGAAGTTGTTAGGTAAGGCTTGCCAAAAGCTTTTTAAGAATGGGAACAAGTAGCTAAAATGTACCCTTTGCCTCTTCCTGTTACTGGCTGTTTGGAATGCAAATGTGATAGCTGGTACTCCAGCAGCCATTTTGTGAATATGAGGCAACTCTGAGACTGGAAATCATATGCTAAAAATCAAAGGGAAAGTGGAATGAAGCCTGGGTCCCTGGTGACATCATGGAGCCTCCCATAACTTACTTGGACTGCCTAACACTGAACTTCTTTTATTGAGGGGGGTGGAGGACTGACATTTCTTGATATTTCTTGATATTTAAGCCAAGGTTACTACCAGATAAACACAGATCCTGGCCGAGCACGGTGGCTCACTCCTGTAATCTCAGCGCTTTGGGAGGCTGAGGTGGGTGGATCACCTGAGGTCAGGAGTTCGAGACCAGCCTGGCCAATATGGTGAAACCCCGTCTCTACTTAAAATACAAAAAATTAGCTGGGCGTGGTGGTGGGCACCTGTAATCTCAGCTACTTAGGAGGCTGAGGCAGGAGAATTGCTTGAACCTGGGAGGCGGAGGTTGCAGTGAGCTATCACACCATTGCACTCCAGCCTGGGCAACAAGAGCCAAACTCCGTCTCAAAAAAAAAAAAAAAAAAAAAAAAAGCAAAAAACCCACAGATCCTAAAAGATAAGCTCACCATAGTTCTTTTTTCACAACTGGCTTATATAGACTCCATCATGGTATTTCTAGGCCCTCTTCCTTCACCGTGGGTATATCTTCCCAAGGGCCTCTGAGCAGAGATAAGGGGGAAAAAAATACAAATCCCTGACTCGCCAACCTCCCTGGCAGCTGGGCGTGCCAGGAGACCACACTTGGGTCCGTGGGATCTAAGGGCCCAGCACGATATCTGTGATTTCCAAGAGACCCCGAACTGGGAGAGAGGAACCCTTGCTGCCTTCTGCTCTCCCTCCACCCACTGCCCGGGACCCAGAGCCTTGCCGGTGGCCCAGGAGCCCCCCACGGGCAGAGGAGCTTCTGCACCCACCCTGCTGCGTCCTCCGGCTACATAATAAGAGAGAATAAGGAGGTCCTCTCTTCCCGCAGCAGGGCTGCCCCTCGCACATACGGCCCTCTCCAGTGCCAAGTCTGGACCCAACGCAGCCCCTTGCGAGGATGCAGTGAGCAGAGCTCACCAGGGGGCCTTGGGAGCTCTGCTGGAGGGACCTGCAGAAACAAGGCTTGGGGAAGGACAACTGGATGCTCAGACAGGAGGACCACCTGGCAGTGACTGCTGTGGGCAGCCCCCTCTCCTGGCTCTCATCCTTTCTCTTGCAGATGCTGCAGCTGCCCCTCTCTGCTGGCTTTGCCCCTTTGGCTCTTAGCATCCCAGGGCTTCCTCTCCTAGCAGCCTCATGGCTCAGCTTCAGCACCCTCTGCTGACTCTCTGAATCTGCAGGGACAGACCCATTGGGGGAGATCTGGTGGGCAGCTGGTGGCTCTGCCATTGGTTCTCCCAGCAGGCCACCTTGCAACCCTGGTCAGCAGAGTGGGCTGCCCCGGGGAAGATCTCAGATCCAGTCTGTCAGGGGAGCACGGTGAGAAGCACGCAGCTGCAGCCAAGAAGCTTCTGGGGCCCCCAGGGGCTGCCCAAGGTGCGCTGTGCAGGGCAGAGGCTGGGCTGGAGTCCTGGCTGGACTGCCCCAAATGCCTGGCGCCCTCATCCTAAAGTGGGGAGCATCGTCCTGCCTCTCATGGGGCTGCCACATAAATATCTCCTCGGTGCTGAAGAGGGCTCTGCAAGGCACTTGATCCACAGGAGACGACCACCCGGGGCTGCAGCAGGGTGAGAGGGCAGTGCCCAGAATGCCAGGACTGTCCAGGACACATGCCTTCAAAGTCAGGGGATACAGCAGAGAGCCTAGCAGCTCCTGTTTTTCTCCTCAACATTCTGTTTCAAAAATTTTCAGCTGGTCGCAGTGGCTCACGCCTGTAATCCCAGCACTTTGGGAGGCCGAGGCAGGTGGATCACGAGGCCAGGAGTTCAAGACCAGCCTGGCCAACATGGTGAAACCCGGTCTCTACTAAAAATACCAAAATTAGCCGGGAGTGGTGGCACACGCCTGTAATCCCAGCTACTTAGGAGGCTGAGGCAGGAGAATCGCTTAAACCTGGGAGGTGGGGGTTGCAGTGAGCCAAGATCACACCACTGCACTCCAACCTGGGCAGCAGTGGGAGACTTTGTCTCAAAATAATAATAATAATAATAAATCAACCAGAAGCCAAAAGAGTAGTGCAAAGAACACGCTTTACTCTGATTCGCCGGCTCTTCAGTGATTGCCATGTTCACTGTATTTCTCTTTCCATCTCTCTGTCTATATCTCTATATTTTTTGAAATGATTTGAAAGTCAGCTGCTGACATCACAACACTTTGCCCTACACATTTGCAAAAAAGGAGGACTTGCTCTTGGATAGCCGCAGAGCCTGTATTGGACTGAAGAACTTTATTGTTAATCTATGAATATTGTATAATATGCAGACCATATTTACATTTTTGCAATGGACTCTTAATCTCTTTTCTATCCAAATAGCTCCTTTTTTTTTTTTTTTTTTTTTTTGAGATGGAGTCTTACTCTGTCACCCAGGCTGGAGTGCAGTGGCGTGATCTTGGCTCACTGCAACCTCCGCCTCCCAGGTTCAAGCAATTCTCCCACCTCAGTCTTCTGAGGAGCTGGGATTACAGGCGCCTGCCACCACGCCTGGCTGATTTTTGTACTTTTAGTAGAGACGGGGTTTCACCATGTTGACCAGGCTGCTCTCAAACTCCTGACCTCCAGTGATCTGCCTGCCTTGGCCTCCCAGAGTGTTGGGATTATAGGCGTGAGCCACTGAGCCTGGCTTAAATATTGCTTCTTTATCAACCAAACTGAGATCTCTGTCTTCAGAATGCTGCACTCTCACCCTGGTCATACCCCATGTTAGGGCTTTTCTGGAGCCTACCCACCTCTTCGGGGTGTGTTGGGAGAGTGCCGGTGAGGGTGGAGAAGGGAGCTGCAGGGACCAGAACATTTCATCCTCTCACTGCCACCGTTGTCTGTAAAGATACAGCTAAGCTCTGACAAAGGCACCGTTGGTTTTCCTGCCCTTTAAGAAGTTTGCTTCCAGGACCACAGACCTCCAGCCCCACTCTCAGCGACCCTAGGCCATGGGGCTGTTCTCAGGCTCACAGCCATCTGTAGCCCTGCCCCCACCCAGTCACCCTCCCATCCTTTCTTAGAGATAAGACAAAAAAAGAGTACCCCTCGTCTTCCCCCAGTGTGCTCTCCAGAAGGCAGGGGGTTATGTCTGGAAGAAATTGGTGATTACTAGGAAATCGTCTACATTTGTCCACCCATCATGACACCAAGCACTCAGGCTTCTCAGGCTCCTGTCTCATCCCCACAGATTGAATTTGGTCCCCACATCCCCAAATTTATGTGTTGAGGCCCCAACCCCCAGTGTGACGGTGGCCTTTGGGAGGTGATTAGGTCATGAGTGCGGAGTCTTCAGGATAGCATTAGTGACCTTTTTTTTTTTTGAGATGGAGTCTTGCTCTATCACCCAGGCTGGAGTGCAGTGGCACAATCATAGCTCAATGAAACCTCTACTTCCTGTGTTCAAGCAATTCTCCTGCCTCAGCCTCCCGAGTAGCTGGAATTGCAGACGCCCACCACCAGACCCGGCTAATTTTTGTGATTTTAGTAGAGTTGGGGTTTCGCCATGTTGGCCAGGCTGGTCTCGAACTCCTGACCTCAGGTGATCCACCTGCCTCAGCCTCCCAAAGTGCTGGGATTACAGGCATGAGTCACCGTGCCCAGCTGGATTCGTGACTTTTTAAGAAGAGAGGGAGGAGAGAGAAGAGAGAGAGAGAACATCTCCACCATGTGCGGTAACAGGAGGAAGACGGCCATCTCCATGCCAGGGAGAAAGCCCGCTGCTGGCGCCTGGATCTTGGACTTCCCAGCCCCAGAACAGTGAGAAATAAGCCACCCAGTCTGTGCTATTTTGTAATAGCCTCCTGAGCTGATAAGACACTCCATGATGCAGGAATTAGGCCCCCTGCACAGGAGGGAAACCTGCTGCAAGAGACACAGTGGGCCACACAAAGCCACGCCCGGGACCTATGTTGGAGCCTGTTGATCTGTTAGATCAGTTGACAGCCAGTTAAACAAACAGGGGTCTCCCATCATAAGAGGTTGGCAGGTGGGCCTTCCCAGGGCCAGGGAAGTGGCTCAGGGGTGCCCACAGGGACCCGGCTCCTCTACCATCCTTAAAGTGTTGGCTTTCTGCTCTAGAGACACTTGTCACTGCTCCAGGTCTGCAGCTGGAGTCAGAAGCCCGGGGAGGCTGGTAGAAGCCAGCAACCTGTGCCCTCCGTAAGAAGAAGCTGCTTTTCCAGAAGACTTCTGCTTCACTTTACTGGCCACAGGGTGCTTGTCCCCGCCAGCACTGGGGGAGATGGGGGAAGCAAGTTTCTGACCTGGCAGCTCTTGTAGGGGAGGTGGCACCGGAGAGTGGCTGGGCACATCCATTGGATCAGCCCATCCAGTGTGGGCCACCCCCGGGGTCTTATTACAGACCCTGAATTCTGACTCAGTTGCATAACTTGGGACAATTTGGGGAACTCATTCAAATTCCAAGTGCCCTTTAAGGTTTAATTGGATACGTAGCAAATGAGCATGCTCTGAGGTGTGGGTTTTTGCTTTCCCAGTAGTGGGGGAGCAGAGGATGAAATGTTTCTAATTCCACAACTCCCTTCTGCCTCTCTGAGATGTCCCAGGGTTTTCCTGGTGAGAATTGTTAGCCTGTGTGTCCGAGGGTTTTCAAGCTCACTGTAAGCTTGATCAAGGCAGCTCTGACCCCCAAAAGCTTCCTCGCAGGTGCGATGGGGGAGTCCCTGGGACCTAAAAGGAGGGCAAGCACCGGTCCTTCTCCCCACAGCCTGCAGCTGGCTCTGTCTTCCCCCACAAGCTGAATGGTTGTGCAGCAGGGGTGCAGGCAGGGGAGGGTGGGGCCCAGGCAAGGGCTCAGCTCCTCCTGGGCTGTGACACTGAGGTCCCGCCCACAGCTCTCCTGCTGGCCCGGCCCACCTGCAGCCTCTCCTTGGGGTCTTCCCCACACCTCCCTTTCTTGTTGAGGCTGCTGGGCCTTTCTCCTCCTGAGCTCTGGCTTCTGCACCTGCTGCATGTTGATCCTTCCCACAGCCCTGTTTCCTAGTCATAGTGTCACCTCCAGCTGGGCCAACCTTTCCCCTGGGGGCTGTGCTCCTGGCTCCTCAGAGGACACACCTCTACCCCAGTCCACTGGGTGCATCATGGACTCCTTTGACCTCCCTCTGGTTGGTTTTGGACTTCAGGGAGTCCCAGCAGGAGATCCCCGGGAGAAAGAAGGAGGGAGCCTCCCCCAGAGTCTCTGCAGGTGGGCTGTGTCCCTCAGGAGCAGGCGGTGGCTTTCAGGGCTCCTCTCCTCATGCTGTTTGCAGGTTTGCTGCACAGCCTTCCCACCCCAGGGTGACTCAGTGGTAATGGCCCCCTTCCCTGCTCTGATCTCTGGAGGGGATGGCCTTCAACACAGCTTTTCCTACACAGTTCCTGTCTCTGTCAAGGCCTCAGGAAAGGCCGCTGCCTGCGGGTGTGCGGAGGCCTTCGCATCTGTGACTGGCACGGCCCTAGCCCCTTCAGGTGAGCCAGAGGCAAGCACTAGTTAAGACTTTCTCCTGTAAGTCAGAGTAGCGACAACATTTGCATTTGGAATACAGTCGTGAAGTTAATTTAGTTTCATGAGCGCTGGCTGAATGCAGGCACTGAGGTGGAGCTTCTGGGCTAGGTACCAGGTGCCAAAATGCAGGTGCTCACAGCCGGGACACAGGACCATGCATGGAGAGAAGGCAGCAGGGCTCAGGAGGAGCTTCTGGGGAAGAGGAGGGGTGCACAGGGCTCGGTGGGCTAACAGGAGTTTGTGGATCCATAAAAGACACAAGGGAGTGGTATGTAATGGACACAGCCCCAGGACCAGTGAGGAAGGGGGAAGTGCTCCACAAGGAAGGGGAGGCCACTGACGGCAGGCACCCCAGGGACGCAGCGAGGGCGGAGGGCACTGTGCTTGCCGCCAAGGCAGCTGGATGCTGTGGCAAGGCCATTGAGGAGAGAGAGAAAGGACTGAGAAGCTCAGAAGGGAAAGGGGAAAGGGCCAGGGGAAACTCTGGGACCGCTGTGAGAAGCATGCCCCGAGGGGCCGGGACCTTCAAACCTCGGCTCTGCTGTGTGATACTGGGCTGGCTAGTGAACCTCTCTGAGCCTGTTTCCCCATTTGAAGAGTAAGAAAAACACCTGTTGTGAGCGAAGCATCAAATAATGCAATGCTGCAGCGTGGGCGCCGCACGCTTGGGGTTTGTGGTTTTCTTCCCTCTTCCAGCCTACACTGGTGACCTTGGAGTCCTCACCTCGCCATGGCCAGCCCCAGGCCATCCCCCCAGGCCCTTTGGGAACCAGGCAAGTTTCCCCCACCACCCACCCCACCCCTCACAATGTGTTCTGGATGATGCCCAGGGCCTCGGGGTCTGCCCCTGGCTGTGTCCTAGCAAAGGCATCAGGCGCGGCGCAGAGCCTCGAGGCAGCCGCGGTGCAGGGAGCAGGTGCTGGCAGCTGCCGTCAGCCCCACAATGTGGCTTTTGTCGGCCGGGGTAGCTGTGGAGCCCAGGAACAACCAATGTCGGGGAACAATTCCCAAGGCTCAGCCTGAGCGAGGCTGCAGCTCTCAACAAAGCCACCGAGAGCCGTTGGGCAGGCGCTTTTGTCATGCAAATACAGGCGGGGGACCGGCGCACTCCCCTGCATGCTAACCACTTTGTGATTCAGAGGAAGCCAGGGCCCTCCCGGGAAAGGCGGTGGCTCCTAGCTTCCCTGGGCCTGCCCTGCCTCTCCCATTGTCCTCTCCTGCACCCGGCTTGGTGAGCATCATGCTGGGCCTGGGACGCAGGCCCGGAGGCTCAGAACTCACAGTCTGACCAGGAAAGATGCAGAGGCTGGAGGACATCACCCCAAAGTGTGCAGCTGGCCTGGAAGAAGGAGACTGGGGAGCTGGGAGAGGGCTGAGCGAGGAGACCCCTCCGAGCAAGCCAAGCTCCCAAGTTCGGACCAGCCAGCCCGGCTGAGGACAGCATCTCATGGGGGAGAGCCTCAGGGGCAGAAGGACTGTGCATCCCAAGGCCCCAATGGGGTGGCCGGTGACTGGTTCCAGGAGAGCCTGGCTGGTGTGAGGAGGGCCAGTCTGCGGGCTCCTGGTGCACAAGGCTTGCATGCTTGAATGGGGCTTGGAGAACAGGTCAAGGGTCCAGGCCCTCTGGGCGGGGCAGGTGCCCCAGGGCTGGGCCTGTGTGCCCTTAGGAAAGGGCCTGACAGGGGCCTGGAGACTCAGGGTCCATCCCGACCCCACCCCACCAGCCCAGATGGCTATTTGGCATGTTGCTGAGTTTTTCTGAGCATCTGTGTGCTTATCTGTAAAACCAGCATCGGAATAAGCTCCATTTTAGGGCCACGGTGAGACGAAATAAAATAATCCAGATAAAATGTTGAGTTCAGTGTTCAGCATGTACTAGGCTCACAATGGATGATATCAACGGACAGCAATTTGCAAAAATTTCCAAACTTAGAAATGCAGATACTAATTTCCCAATAATGCTACTTCTAGGAGTTTATTCTACACATATTCCCACATGTGCAAAATGACATATGTTCAAGGTTATTTTTCACAGATTTGTGATGACCAGAGATTGGAAACAGCCCAACTGTCCATCTAGAGAGCCTGGTTAAATAGATGATGGTCTGTCCATCCATGTCACAGAGTAGTCTGCAAATGAAACAAGAACGGGGTGCCCTTTGTGCACTGACACAGGGATCTGACCTCACAAGGAGACACAAAGGAAGGACCCCTGCACAGCCAGTGCCTGTGGCCCAGAGTCGGTGTCCTATGAAAGGAATGGGGCCAGTATCTTGGGGACCCAGGCAGCCTGCTGGGCAGGGACAGAAGGTCCACTGGGCCCAGGGAAAAGGTTGGGGCAGCAGGAAGGGCAGTGTGCCCATTTCTCTCTCTCTCCTTTCTTCTCTCTCTCTCTCTCTCTCTCTCTCACACACACACACACACACACACACACACACACACACACACACAGAGAGAGACTTGGAGATAGAGACTTTCTCCTGCAAAAACAGACCATCTTGGGCAAGGTGGAGCACACAGCTCTGTAGGCTAGAATAACACAACCAGTCACCATAGCAACAACAGGGAGTTGTAATTTTCAGACTGTGAGCTGCGCCAGAACCCAGGGAGAGGATGCAGGCCACCAGCAGGGCTCCCTCCGGGCAGGTGTCTCTGTAACCCGGGGAATGGAGGCCTCAGCCACCTAACCTGTAAAAGTAGGATCTGATCCGCACACCGCTGCCCTGTGATGCCTTGGAGGAGAAATTGAGAAAGGCTAGGAGCTTTGAAGCAGGCTGAGGGCTCTCCAAAGCGTGAAGGCTGTTAGCCTCTCCCAGCACGCCCAGCGGGGATGCCTGGTCCCCTTCTCTGCTCCCGAATGCCCTCATTAGAGACGCCTGTGTGCAGCCCTGAATTTCTATCATAAAAGCATCTTTCAAATGAATAAATAATGACTAGAGAAAAGGAAGAAAGCAGATTGCATTTCATTGGGCAGGAAAGTTGCTTGGTCTCTCGGGGCTATTTGGCCAAGCTGCCCACAGGTGCCCACTGCGTGAACACAGGTGTGAGTCCCCACCAGATGCTGTTCATTGCTTTCTAAGTACCCTCGCCCCCACCTCCACCCCAACCCCAGCCCCATCCCAGCCCTTCCAGCTTGCAAAGTCATTCTATCATGGCTGTCTCTCCAAAAAAGAGCCATTTCCCAGGAAGGCACCACCCTGACCACTGGCCTTGTCCCGTGGCATGAAGCCAGCGTCACTCTGGACATTGCTGGCTGAGCTGGTTGGACTATGACTGTGGTGGCCAGCACCTCCCAGGCCTGACCCTGCAGAGAAAGGCCGAAGATGAACTCTGACCCCTGGGTGCAGCCACCCCAGCCAGCCCAGCCAGGCCCAGCGGGCAGCACCCCTCTGTCCCCATGGGCCTGGGATGCAGTGTCCCATTTTCCCTGGTGAGACTGGCCTTGTGGGCTATACAGGGGGCAGGAACTAGCAAGGCTATTCAGGGCCTCACCGAGGGGAAGGGCCACTGTCTCCATGGCTGCCAATTTCTGGCGACGTCCCCAGTGGTCTTCCTCCTGCAGGTTCTCAGGCGGTGCCCTCCCACTCCAGGCTGTGCCTGGCTGGGGGGTGGGGGTGCAGGCCAGGCTGGCTCCGGCTCCCACTCACACTAGTGCTACAGGGCTATGGTCCCATCCCTTAGCTGGGCTAGAAACGGAGAGGCGCTAGGCTTGGGGCTTGGGGAAGGGTCCATCTTCAATAGCTTAGTTCTCAAACTGTGTTCTGGGGTGGGCAGGGAGGGTGAGCCACACTCCACAGGCAATGGTGAGTGCTTGAAAACGCCTTTTACAAACTAGTGAAAACAAACACAGGAGTATGCTGAATAGCACACATCATCCCATGACGTTTGAAGGCAGAGCAACATCTCTTGCAGGCAGCTCTGCAGGGGGCCCTCTTGGGCCTTATCACTCTCAGTTGGTGGTAGACAAAAGTCTGAGACCCCCATCGCATGAATTTGTGTTCCTGTCACTTTTCACATGCATTCATGCTGGTGCATGATCTCTAATCTTTATAGGAGTCATTTTATCTCCTTTGGAGGGATTTGGGAGTGAGGAGTTGAGAGGCAAGGCTTTAAAGGAGCTTGAGGTCACCTCCCCTCACCCACTCCCAGGTGGAGTCAGCCCCTGAAGCCCCTCTTCCAGCCAGGTAGGCCTGGTTGTGGCTCGTGGCTCCGGGAAGGGAAGGCTGTGTGGGCGGGGTGGTTGTGTGGGCGGGGTGATTCCTCTTGGCTTGGCTCAGGGGCCCAGCGCTGTCCCAATCTTGTTTGGGGTGTGGTCTCTTTTATGCTGTATAATGACTCAAAAAAAAAAAAAAAAAAAAAGACCTTGTTCTTGAACAAACCAAGAATATCTGTCCCAGCATAATGACAGAAATATTGTGACAAATTAAGCATCTGTCATTGAGCTATCAGGCTCTATTTTAGGTTAAACCTGCTTAGAGATTACGCTCCTTTCAGCTCAGTGCTGCCTCCCACTGTGCCCTGTAGGCACTCTGAGGCTCTGGGGACAATTGTTGGGCCTCACCGGGCCCCAGTGGCTCCGTCTGAGATTCAAGGGGGTGGGCTTAGCCCCTGCTCAGACACTTGCGGCACATCCAGCCAGCCTAGGGAAATTTCATCTACTTCTCCACAGTCCCCATCCCCTCTTCGGCACCCCCATCTCCCACCTAGGTCCTAACGGCATGTGGCACTCAGCGAGCTCCAACTCTCGCTGGACAGTGGGAGTTGTAAAGGGAGCAAGGTGCCCCTGCTTGTCCCTGGCAGAGAGAGCCCAGGGACCCCACGAGGGGTCTAGAGGTCTAGAAACAGGCATGCACCATCTCCTTTCTGGGCCAGGGCCGGAGGGACACACACAAGGCAGCTGAGGGGGTCGAGGTCACCTTCAGGCCACTTGGGGATGGTCTGGAGCCTGTCCTGCTGTGTCCCTCAGCCCCCTCCGTGCCTGGAACTGGCCCTACCCCAGCAGCCCCCCATTCCTAGAGGAGACTCCAGTGACTCGATTTCTCCAAGGATCTCTGTATTTGCAGTGCTTAGTACTTTATCTCCCCCACCGGTCTCAACTTCACAGAAGAGACAACTGCCACAGAGAGGCGACCTGCGTGTGCTTCCCCAGCCACTTCTAACCTGCCGACCTCATGCCCTCTTCCCTAGCCTGCAGGTCCTCTGCCAGCCACACCTGGGGCCATGACGTCCCCTCTCAGGGAAGAGCCAGGGACTCCTGCTCTACAGAAGCTCACCCCTGGGTGGCTTGGACTCATAGCCAGGCCAGGGAGTGCGGAGTGGCCCCCCAGCCAGACGCCACATTGCATTTTGCAGAATGCGCCATTCCGCACGGCCCCCGCACACGCTGCTCCCTGGCCTGGAATACATCCTTGAGCATCCTTTTTCTGCTCTGGGAGCCTTCTCTGCCCACACACTCTCCTGGCAGCCTGGGCACTGTGCAGTTATTTAGGGCTGTTCCTGTTCGTTTGCCTCCTCGGCTTCCTACCAGACTGTGAGCTTCTTGGGGGCTGGTCTGGACTCAGGGGACCCAAGATGGGCCTCATGGTGTCCAGGGAGGGTGTGCAGACCTCCCTCTGTCCCACAGTTCCCACTGGTCCCCTCTATGCATACAGAAAGGTCCAGATGGCGGAGAATGTTCCAGGCCCAGAAGCATCTCTTCAATGATCCCTTCCTGAGTAGGGGTGTCCATAAGGTGCTGTCCCCTAAGTTCCCAGAGCCCCTCACGGCTGGGGCCTTTCTCCACGGGTCTGGGAAAATCAGTCTCAGCAACCAATTGCACCTAATTATTTACAGGACTGAAATGGGTTAGAAATCTTGCAAGATTCAGGCCCAGTAGAAAGGCCCTTTTGCATTTTTAAAAAATCTCAATGCAAATCCAATGCAAAAAAAAAATAAAAATATCTGAGGGTGTTTCTTAAATTAAGTTTGACACGTTACTGTGTCATTCAAAAAAAAAAATAACCAAAACAGGCCTTTCCTGGATTTGTTTCTTAAACATTTCTGTGAACGAGAAGCAATTTCCCTGCCAGCCCCTCACTCCAGATGGCCTAATCCCCTCGGGACCTGCTTCAGGCCCGATAACATCTCTTGGTGAGCTGGTCACAGTAAGGCCCTGCACTCACTTCTCGGCAGGGTCCCCAAGGGACCTCGCCACTGGGCAGCCGTGGCAGATGGGCTGTCCCTGCCTGCCCACACACAGCAGCCATCCCCACGAAGCAGGGGATGGTCCCTGCTGGCTGAAGGATGGCTGTTTTTCTCAGATCCAGGCCAAGTCACTCGGGCAAAAGGTCTGTTCCTTCCTACTGAATGCTCTGTTTGTAGCAATGCTAGGGCAACCCAAAGAGGACGGACTCTGTAGAGAGCCCATTGACACCACCCTTATCTGCCAAGGGAGGAGCTGAGGAGGGGCTTCCTGCCCAGCATCGCCAAGGGTGTTCCTGAGAGCCGGGCTGGACACCAGGGCCCTGCCCTTGCCCCACACAGGCTGCAGGGGAGCTGTGCAGGGCTGCACAAGTGTGCGTTCTCAAGGTGAACAAAGGCAGTGGGGGTGGGGAGGGGCAGGGAAGGGAGAGTCAATGCCATCCCTGGTCCAGATGGGAGAAGGTCCCAGCTCAGGAGAGCCCCCACCCCCACCCAGCTCTGGGAAACTCTGAGGCATCCCACACAGGGCCCTCCAGACGTGACTTCCCGGCTGCTGCCCACCAACTGTTCCCCACGGCTGCCCAGCTGCGCCTGCACGAGGCGCCCAGCCAGCCCAGCCAGCACCGAGGGGTCGATGTTTGGGGGCTTCAGGAGCCACATTTTTATACAGGCTGAAAATAGAGTTGGAGACTTTTAATTTTGCCGATTAAGGATGTTGTCATAAAAACAATCTCTAGGCACTATAATAATTTCATTTAAAAAGGATGTTTTAACATTTCAAAAAACTCATATTAAAAATAATAGAAACATTCAGCATTACAGACATGGGCAAAGCTGTCCTCTTTTTTCTCATTTCACCCAGGACCAGGGAGCTCTGTTAGGAATCCCAAGGCAGGCTGAGTTGGTCCAACCGGTGGCCTGGCGGTCCCAGGGTACCCCACAGGCCCTACTAGTTGGGGACTGACAGCCAGGCCTCCGCTGAAAGTTTCCTGTTCCCCAGACACAGCCTCCAGGGGTCCTGGGTGACCCCTGAAGAAGCCTGGCCAGCCCAGGTGTTTCCTGGAGAGCGCCTGGCCCCAGGCCCTGGAGGGGTTGGGCGGGGTGGATCCTCCCTCCGCGACCTGGCATCTCTGGCTTCCAGGGCTGGCACTGCTGGCCAGGACTGCCCCAGACACTCTGCGTGTGCTCAGAGCCAGCTGCCACACAAAGCCGCATTGTGGGCCTCCTCTTGGCTGGCAGACACGTGACAGCAGAGGGTGGGTGGTGGGCTGGGTGGGTGTGCCCCACTGCCTTCTTCCTGGTCAGGGCTCAGCATCCTCGCATCTGACCCCACATAGCAGGAGCCAGGCCAGGCAGGCTCTGGGGCCTGGGTGGGGGCATGAACAAACACCGAGTTGTAATCATAGTGCCCTGGAGGAGGGCTATCATCCAGGGGCCCCCAGCTGCACTCCTTCCAGGGGCGGCCAGCACCCAGGCCACAACTTCTCCCAGAGCTTGGTCCTTCTGTCTCTGCTCCAGCCCAGGGCCCCCACACTCTCCCTTTCTCTTGCAGTTGATGCATGGACGGCTCTGACTTAGAGCCTCAGCCCGGGCCAACTCGGCTGCAAGGAGAAAAGGGAGCTCCAGACCTCAGGGCCTCCAGCCACCTGGGGGTCTGCCTCCAGGAGCGCAGCTTTCACACAAACAAAACGAGCAAGACTGCTCTGCCCATGCCGCCCATGCCTTCCTGCAAGCCCCCAGTCCTGCTCAAGGCTCCCACAAACAAGGAAACAAATCAACAAGAAACACCCCAAATGGAGAAGAGAGAGCCCTCCCTGGCCCGAGTGTTGTTTGGAGCCTACCCTTGGGTTCCTCTCCTTTCCAAACCTCCCAACAGCACAGCCTGCACCCTGGGGTGACGGGGATGCCCGGGTGTGATGAGGCACCATCTGCACGGTGGAATATTATGCCATTCAAAAATACCAAGACTCCACACTAACATGAAAAGAATGCGGCTGGGTGCGGTGGCTCACGCCTGTAATCCCAGCACTTTGGGAGGCCGAGGCGGGTGGATCATGAGGTCAGGAGTTCAAGACCAGCCTGGCCAAGATGGTGAAACCCTGTCTTTACTAAAAATACAAAAAAAAAAAAAAATAGCTGGGAGCAGTGGCAGGCACCTGTAATCCCAGCTACTCGGGAGGTTGAGGCAGGAGAATCGCTTGAACTCAGAGGGCGGAAGTTGCAGTGAGCTGAGATCACGCCACTGTACTCCAGCCTGGGTGACAGAGTGAGACTTTGTCTCAAAAAAAAAAAAAAAAAGAAAAGAATGCATGCCCAGCCATTTCCCTGGGAGGCCCCATCTTGGTGAAGGGGGCACCACGCTCCTCCTGGCCCAGGCCAGGTGATGCGGTATTCCTTTAGAGTCCTCCCCCCCCTCCTTCCCTGCATTCCCCTGTCACCCCCTGCATGGAGGCCAGTGCCACCATCAGAGCTCCTATTCCGGGCCCTCCTCCAGTGGTGCCCTCCCCACAGACAAGGAGTCTGTGGGCCCAGGAGATCTGCCCACCCAGACCTGTGCCCCTTCTAGACCATGCAGCTGGCCCTGGGGCCTAGAATTCCCCCCAGACACCTCCACCTGGGCCTCATGGGTCTCCCCGGGTCTCTTCCTGATAGGGGTGCACAGCTGTGGGCCTTGCGCCAGAAGGGGCAGCTGTTTCCAGTGATAATCCCCATGTGGGCTGGGCTGGGCTCGGCTGGGCTGGGCTAGCGGGACTGTGGGATGGGCAAGGAGTGGGAGACGAGGGGAACCGGCGGGGCCTAGGCCACACTTCTGTGCAGAACGGATTCCAGGATCCTACACTTGAGGCTGGCCTTGCGGTCATTGTGAAGACTTAGCTGTCAAGGTAAACGGATAGAAGGTATCCCATCAGCAGTGCGGTAGCTGAACCCATCACTTTCCTACACCAGGACATTGTGACATTGCGCTATAATGAGGAATATGCATTTGGCCTTTGTGGTCTCCCCACCCTCTTTCCTGCCACATGGCTTCTAAAACTCTTGAATCTCCAAAGCCATAAGTGTCTTTTTGTGTGCTCATGGGAGGGACTGGTGGCTAGGGACTCCTGGGTAGAATCAGGAGCGGGGTTGGTTGCCAGGGGAACCAACCAATAATCAGAGGGTTGGGATTTCAGCTCCACTACCCGCCTTCAGAGAGGGGAGAAGAGCTGAAGGTCAACTTGATCACCAATGGCCAGTGATGTAATCAATCAGTCTATGTAATGGAGCTTCCATAAAAACCTGAAATGACAGGTTGGGAGAACCCTATGCTGAACACACAGAGGGGCTGGGAGGGTGGCACGTAGAGAGGCCCGGAAGCTCCCACCCCTTTCCACGCTGACCACCTGTGCATGTCTTCCATCTGGCAGTTTATCTGTATCTTTTACAAGATCCTTTAAAATAAACCGGTAAACGTAAGTAAAGTGTTTCCCTGAGTTCTGTGAGCCATTCTAGTAAATGACTGAACCCAGGGAGGGAGTCCCGGGAACCCCTGATTTACAGCCTGTTTGTCAGAAACACAAGTGACAACCTGGACCTGCAATCAGCATGTGACGGGGCGGGGCAGCTCTCTGGGACTGAGCCCAGCCCTTAACCTGTGGGGTCTGATGCTATCAAAGTAGATTGAGTCAGAATTGAGTTACACTGTAGGACACCTGTTTGGCATTTGTAGAGAACTGCATTGCTTGGTGTGGGAGAAGCAACCCACACTTCCAGAGACTGGAGTGGTGCACACAGGTACAGAAGACACATGGCTTGCCCTTCCTGCACAGGTGTGGAGCAGGTGGGCTTTGGGGTGCGCTCAGCCCTGCAGCCCTGAAAGGTGCCTTGATCTGGCCCCCGTATCACTGCCCGAGCTGGGGCTCAGCCCCTCACTTCCGCTAGTCCCAAACCCACTGCTTTCCCAAGCCTCTCCATGCTGAAGGAGCAGCTCTGACCAGACTCACCCAGGCCCTTTTGGCCCCTTTCCCCACGAGCTCAAGGCCTAGGACTTCCCTTGGTTGTCATCACCCATGTCCTTGCAACCCACCCCAGGGTTTTAAGGCTGACTTCCCACTAGCTCTGTCTTATCCCCGCATACCCTTCTCCCCACCCCTGGTGAGCTCAATGGGTGGCCGGCCCATTGGCTGTGACCCCCGTTTCCCCACTATTTGAGGCTCACCTTGATGTGCCCCCTCCTCCCTGCCAGTGATGTGGGGACCGTCCTGGCTGGCCACTACCAGCTGTTTGACTCTCTCCCCACTTGCTGAGAGGGGCTGAGGACCCTGTCCTGCTGATGAGACATAAACAAAAGTCGGCTGGGAATTCCTGGCTAAGGTTTCCTCTCTGATAAAAGAGACCCACAGGAAGAAATAGTCTAGCATGTTCCACTGGACTTTTGCCATTGTCAGGATATCACATCTTTTACCAGCCAAGGGTGAGGCCACACCCGGAGGAGGGCCACACTCAGGGAGACACCCTGGAGCCTGGCATAGGGTGCCCACTGCCACCCTGCCTCTGCACTTTCTGCTACAAGATCCTCAGTCCCTGTTGCTCCTCCAGCTTGAGCCTGGGTCTTTGTCACTTGCAGCCAAACAAACACCCTACACCTGGCACTGCCCTGCAGAGCCTCGTCTGATTCAGTCCCTGGCCTCCTCCCAGGACTCAATCCCTGCTGCCTTTGTGCTCTGGCCCCCTGAGGCAGAACACCACCCGCCAATGTGTACCTGAAAGGCAAAGGTCATCCCGCATCCAGGGCTGCGTCCTGCCCTCTCCTGCCCCTCCCGGCGTCCTGGTGGCAGGCCAGATGCCCGTCCAATAGAGTTCAGTTGAGTTTGTTGACACAATGCATTTTTTTTGTAAAACATCCACTGTGAACCTGCTCCTTTTGTTGTGCAATATCTTTAAAGTCCACATGGTATTAGATTTGTGAAGTAGGAAAACATTTCTCCCTCCCTAGAGATTAATTAACAGCTTCTATTACAGGTCTGCAGTCTCTAACTCACAGTTCCAAAATCTAAATATTCCTGAAAACCAAGACTTTTTCCATAAGTTTGTGGCAAACTCATTTGGTGGCAAAACCTGACCTGGTCAGATATAAGGATAGTTAAAGTCTTAGTGTGAATATTTGCATGTTTCACAGCAAAAATGTATGAATGTGCTTGGTCATGAGTTGCCACCCCGATCCTGTTAGCATGTTACTTAACATACATATGCAGTTTATTACTGGTCTAAAATCCAAATGTTCTGAATCAGAAAAGCATCCACCCCCAAGGGTTTCTAATAAAGAATCACGGAACTGTGTTAGATAGCAAGCGCTTTATAAATGTTCTTTATTTTCCTTTTTTTTTGCCTTGACTGCCAAGAAGGTCAAATTTAAATAATTAAGCTTATTCACAGCAACAAGGCTTTGTCTCAAGTTTCTTAATACAATTATCCTGTCTTTTTATAACTTGCCTTTAAAAAAATTATTTCCACAATATAGCTTTCTTGAATTGGTGTCTTTTATTTAATTCTGGTTTACAACATAATTTTTTTAAATGAAGATAAACTTACAGCAAATTTGTGACTCCAGAAGGCTTCTATGGACTATTGGGACAGATGGTCTGTAAGTGTCTCTGTCTGCCATCCCACCTCCTAGGGGGAAGGAGGGGTGGGGCTGGTCCTATCGTGGATCGATTCTCCCCGTGCATCGATTCTCCCTGTGCCTCACTGCATGTCCAGGGGAAACAAGGGACACTCCCCTGCCATCCCAGCAGCCACAGCCCTCGGAGGCTTCTCAGTGAACTCGTCCATCCCACATCCATCCTGCCACCATCCACATGCAACAACCCGCCTACTTCGGGTCAGTGCAGCAAATAACTGGCTTGTAAATTTGCATCATCAACAACCTCCCTAATTCTTCCATCAGATCCACCCTGCTAGGGAGACCCAAACATAGCATTTATAGAAGTCATACATTATGAGCTAATTTTTTCATACAAGACTATTTGTGTGGATATATTGACAACAGAGTATACATGTTTAGTGCTACAATAAAAAGAGTGACAAGTGCTAACTGATGGGGACTATGGGTGATTCTTTTGGGGGACTTGCCATTACATTCTAAATTTTCAATGATGGATAGGTATTACTTTTGCAGTAACAATCAGGAGTACAAGTTTGTGTTTAATTGCTTTGCAAATATTATCATAGAGCTGCTTCTTAGAGTATGGCAGCCTTTTTCTAAGAAACAGGCTTCCCTGGATCTCCCTAAGACAGTTTCACGGGACTGTGTCAGAAGTCTGAAAATGCAATCAGGCTGTACAATATTTATTTCAATTAAATTTCTTAGGCTATCTCTTTTATCAGGTAACATTTTAATTTTATGTATTTTTTTTTATAGACAGGGTCTCACTCTGCCACCCAGACTGGAGTACAGTGGTACAATCATAGCTCACTCTAACCTTGAACTCCTGGGCTCAAGTGATCCTCCCAAGTGATCCTCCCTGCTCAGCCTCCCAAAGTGCTGGGATTACAGGTATGAGTCATCATGCTCCACCAGGTAACATATTTAAAAAGCAACTTAGAGCTTTGTCTACATGCTGTCAAAGCAGTCCAATAATTCAATAATTCTGATTAAAATAAGCAGACTTTCACTTCCAGTTAAGACAGAGCACTGGCATCACACTAGCCTTCCTGCTGCAAACAAGTTGGAAACCAGACAAAATATATGAAAAAACTATTTGCAAATAACAGGCAGTGCAGGCACATGATCCCTCAGAGCAGCTAGGCAGAGAGCATGAGCCCTACAATCGACCTGGCTTCTTGCCTGCAGGCATTTCCCAGCCCTGGGACAGAGAGGGGATCCAGCAGAGAACAGTGGTCTTGCCGAGCTGAGGAAACTGCAACTGGAGTTTGAGGAGGCAGAAAAAGGGGCTCATAGGCCAGGCATGGTGGCTTCTGCCTGTAATCCCAGCACTCTGGGAGGCCAAGGTGGGTGAATCACTTGAGGTCAGCAGTTCAAGACCAGCCTGGCCAACATGGCGAAACCCCATCTCTACTAAAATTACAAAAATTAGCCAGGCATGGTGGTGAGTGCCTGTAGTCCCAGCTACTCGGGAGGCTGAGGCAGGAGAATTACTTGAACCCAGGAGGCAGAGGTTGCAGTGAGCTGAGATCATGCCAATTACACTCCAGCCTTGGCAACAGAGCTAGACTCCATCTCAAAAAAAAAAAAAAAGAAACAAAAAAGAAAAAGGGGTTCATGAATCTGCATGGGGTCACCCTGAGTCTCAGATGAACACAGATGTGTACCTATATAGGGCAAGAATCCATGGGGCTGGGCATACAACCACAATGCACAGGTATAGGCAGCTGTAGACATTGCAGTAACCAGAGCTCACACAGGTTGGGAGGCCCTCAAGTTCTGGCCAGCCAGAGGAGAGAGTCCTCACTGAACACCAAATTACAGTCATGCACTACATAACGATATTTTTGGCCAACGATGGATCACATATATGACAGGAGTCCCATAAGATTATAATGGGGCTAAAAAATTCCTCTCACCTAGTGACATCGTAGCCATGTGACATTATAATACAACACATTACCTTTCCTATGTTTAGATATGTCTAGATACACAAATATTTACCATTGTGTCACAGTTGCCTACAGTATTCAGCAGCACGTTGCACAGGTTTGTAGCCTAGGAGCAATAGGCTGTACCACATAACTTAGGTGTGTAGCAAGCTATACCATCTAGGTTTGCGTAAGCACACTCAACACTCTATGTTGTTTGCACAACACAATTGCCCAATAATGCATTTCTCAGAATGTATCCCCCTTCTATAGTGGCATGTGCCTGTAGTTCAATAGAGAACACAGAAAGAAATGACCCTAGATAAAGCCCTAACAAAGTTTTAAAACAAATCTTGAAAGTTTCAAGTTGATGCACAAAGGAATTAAGTGCCTATCGGAACAAAGTGCAACACTCTCTAAAGGAAGACAACAAAATCCAGATATTCAATAACGCAATTTTCTCAAGTCCAGCATTCCATAAAAATTATTAGACATGCAAAAGGCAGGAAAATGTAACCCAAAACAAACAAACAAAAAAAAGAATCAATAATAACAGACCAAGAAAAAGCAGAGGTGATAGAATTAGTAATCATGGACTTTAAAACAACTATTATAGATATATTCAAGGATTTTTTTAAAAAATGCAAACATAACAAGGGGAGACATTGAAATCACAAAAAGAAAAAAAAAGGAAACTCTAGAGCTGGAAAAATACCCTATCTGAAATGAAAAATTGACTAGATGGAGGTAGGCTCCTGATCTGGGCGAGAAGAAATAAGCACCTTTCATCTGCCTTTCCACTGAGTGAAATGATGCTTCCTGGACAGAAGGCAAGGGGCAGCCGCCTGAGAACTCTGAAAAAGCAATGGTAAGCTGACAGGGGAATGAGGCCAGAAGCCGGGGGGCCACCAAATTAGTGATGTATTTCCCATGTACTTTTCCTCCAGTATTACCCAGCCTGGACTCAAAGCCCCTTCCCCCAAAACCTGGGAGGGCACAATGGGTGTGGACAAAGAGCACTCCAAGAGAAGCCTTCTCTTTCTGCTAAAAGAGCAGGAAAGGGGAATCCTGAGAGTCAGAGAGTGAGAGGAATACCCTGGTTATTTTTCTGTCCTCTCCCTCCCAGCCTCAAGCAATCCCACAGCAGCAGGGGTGACAAGGGCAGTGGCTGTTGGAAGGGTGCCTAAAACTCTAATGGACAGGAATCCTTCTCTCTGACCAGAAGAGCCATGGTACCAGGAGTGTAAGACAAAGTGTCATTGTTTTTTCTCTCCCTGGATCCTCCCACAGATTGGCTCTGGATGCAGTCACAGTTGTGGGAAGCGTGTAGCAGAGTGAGAAACTAAAGCCTGGCCTTTCTGGCCACAGGTTGAGAAAGGGAGGCTCCAGAGGAGATAATGGAAAGAAAAGGTCTCAAGAGAGAAAGCCCATAGAATTGTGTATGAATTTCTAGGCTCACTTCTGAGCTGCGTCGGCATGGATCTGTTCCTCATAGCACACCACAGGCTTTGAGAATTGAGCTTACAGGTAGACCACAACCCCAGGTCCCAGACAAGCCCATGGAGAATGCACAGGCAGAGCAGAGTCACATAGTATTATTGCAAAGCCTTTGAAAACTGAATTGACATTGGAACCACAGCCCACAGGTGGTGGGTCAGAACCTGTAGCCCAAACCTAATCAGGTCAATTGTGTATTAAAACAAAAATGTCAACATTCTCTTTGGGATTTAAATAAGACACAGAGCCTTATAACATAATATCCAAAATGTCCAGGATACAACCCAAAATGCCTTGTATTTAAAGAACCAGAAAAATCTCAAACTAAAAGGAAAAAGACAATCAAAAGGCATCAACCCTAAAATGACACATGTTGGAATTTTTAAAGACTTAAAGCAGCTATTGTAGCCATGCTGCAATACCTAAAGGGAAACTTTTGAGATGAAAGGATTGAAAATCTTAGCAAAGAAATAGAAAATACAAACAAGAAACAAATGAAAATTTTAGAACGTAAAGCTGCAACAAGTGAAATTAAAAATTCCCTGGATGGACTCAATAACAGAATGGAGAGCAGAGGAAAAAGTCAGTAAAGTTGAAGCTAGAGCAATAGAAATTGAATAGCAGAAAGAAAGAAAATCAATGTACAGAGCATCAGGAACCTATGGAATAACATGAAATGATCTAATGTTTGTATTATTGAAACACAGAAGGAGAAGAGAAAGACTGTGGTACTGATATAATATGTGAAGAAATACCAGCTGAGGCCAGGTGTGGTGTCTCACGCCTGTAATCCCAGTACTTTAGGAGATCAATGCAGGTGGATCACGTGAAGTCAGGAGTTCAAAAGCAGCCTAGACAACATGGTGAAACCCCGTTTCTACTAAAAACACAAAAATTAGCCGAGTATGGTGGCTCATGCCTGTAATCCCAGCTACTCAGGAGGCTGATGCATGAGAATTGCTTGAACCAGGGAGGCAGAGGTTGCAGTGAGCTGAGATCACACCACTGCACTCCAGCCTGGGCAACAGAGAAAGACCCTGTCTCAAGAAAGAAAAGGAAAAGAAAAGAAAGGGAAAAAGAAAAAAGAAAGAGAGAGAGAGAGAGAAAGAGAGAGAAAGGAAGGAAGGAAGGAAGGAAGGAAAGAAGGAAAGAAGGAAGGGAAGGGAAAGGAAAGAAAGAAGGAAGGAAGAAAGAAAGGAAGGAAGGAAGGAAAGGAAGGAGGGAAGGGGAGGGGAGGGGAGGAAGGAAAGAAAGAAAAGAAAGACGGATGGAAGGAAGGAAGGAAGAAAGGAAGGAAAGACTACTGGCTGAGAATTTCCCGATTTGGTGAAAGACATGAACTTACACATTCAAGAAGCTCAGTGCATCCCAAACAAGATAAACTTAAACAAATTAATGAACAGACACAGGATAATCAACTGCTAAATACAACGACAAAGAAAAGAATCTTGAAAGCAGCCAAACAGAAATGAAACATTAAACAGGGGATCAAGTATTTGTATGATGATGGATTTCTCATCAGAAATTACAGAGGATAGAAGAAAGTGGCACAGCATTTAAAAAATACTGAAAAAAAAACCCAAAACTGTCTGCCCAGAGTTTTCTGTCCAGTGAAAATATTCCTTAGAAATGAAAATGGTATAAATATATTGTAAGATGAAGGAAAATTAAGAAAATTCATTGCCAGTAGATCTCCTTTAAGAAAAAAAAAATCTAAAGGAAGTTTTTTTTAGATAGGAGGAAAATGACACCAGAGGCAAACTTGAAACATTGGGAATTTAAGAAGAAAAACAGAAATGGCAAATATATGGGTAAATATAACACACTATCTTTATCCTCTTAAATTCATTAAAATATGTATGACCATTTAATGTCAAAGTATAACACTGATGTGATTTTCACTGGGGGTAGTATCACACATGTATCATATATGGCAACTATATGATAAAGGGAAAAGGGTAAAGTATGACAGTAAAATTTTTAAATTTCAGCCAGGTGTAGGGGCTCATGCCTGTAATCCCAGCACTTTGGGAGGCTGAGGCGGGTAGATCACTTGAGGTCAGGAGTTCGAGACCAGTCTGGCCAACATGGTGAAACTTTGTCTCTACTAAAAATACAAAAATTAGCCAGGAATGGTGGCACGCGCCTGTAGTCCCAGCTACTTGAAATGCAAATGCAGCAGAATCACTTGAACCCAGGAGGTGGAGGTTGCAGAGAGCTGCGATTGTGCCACTGCACTCCCGCCTGGGCCACAGAGTGAGACTCTGTCTCAAAAAAAAAAAAAGTTTTTAAAATTCCACCTAAAGTGGTAAAATACTAATTCTATGTAGATTACAAAAAAGATATATATATATATATATATATATATATATATATATAACAATGAATATTGTAATCCACAGTGCAATCACTTAAGAAAGTACAGAGATATCATTTAAAAATCTGAAGAATTAAATATAAATTAAATACTAAACATATTTAAATAATCCAAATAAAGGAAGGGAGGGGAAAATACCAGAATAAAAAAATCAAGGAACAAATAGAAAACCAACAAAGAAATTGTAGATCTAAACCCAAACTTCAAAAATTACATTAAATATAAGTGTTTAAACATACAAATTAAAGGAGAGAGATTATAAGAATGGAATTAGAAAACAAGAACCAATTGTATGCTGTCTATAAGAAACCCATTTAGAATATTATTATATGGATAAGATAAAGGTAAAAGGATGCAAAATGATATACCATACAAATAGGTTGGAGTGGGTATATAAATATTAGAAAAAGTAGACATCAGAGCAATGATATAAAGGTCTATTCACTAAGAACACATAAAAGTCCTAAATATGTATACAGCTAACAATGGAGCTTCAAAATAAATGAAGCAAAAGCTGACAAAACTGTAAGAAGAAATAGAAACACTCACAATTATAGTTTGAAACTTTAATACCTTTCTCTCAATTACCAATAGAAGAAGTAAACTGAAAATCAGTAAGGATTTGGAAGACCTGAACAACACCATCTACCAAAAGAATCCAGTTGACACTTTTAGAATACTCCATCTGACAATAGCAGAGCACAAATTTTTTCTTTTCAAGTACATGTGGAATATCTAACAAGATGGATTATATCTTGCATCATAAAATAACCTTAACTAATTTTTAAAAATTTAAATAATTCAAAGTATGTTCTCTGACAATAATGAAGTTAAACTAGAAATCAGTAACAGAAAAATAAGTGGGAAGTCAGCAAACACTTGTAAATTAACACATCGAAATAACTCGTTGGACAAGAAGTCTCAAGAGGAATTAGAAAATATTTTTGACTAAATGTAATTGAAAATATATCCAAATTTGAGGGTATAGCTAAAGCATTGGCTAGAAAATTTTTTTATCACTTAATGTTTTTATTAGAAAAAAAGAAATAATTCAAAATTATTAAATCTAAACTTCTACCTTAATCAAGTAAACAAAGGAAAGCATAATACACCCAAAACAAGAAGAAGGAAGGAAACAATAAAAATGAGAGAAGAAATCAGCGGAGGCAGAAAAATAATAGAGAAAATAAATGAAACAGAATAATTGTTCTTTGAAAAGATCAGTACAATTAGCTAACTTCTAGTCAGGCTGATGAAGAAAAAAGAAAAAAGATAAAAACTACCTATATCAGCAAAGAAGGGATATCACTACACACCATAAACATTAAACAGATAATAAGGGAGTTCCATGTACAAATTTATGTATGTACCTATATTTTAAATTTTAGATGAACCAACTCTTTTTTTTTTTTGAGATGGAGTCTCATTCTGTTGCCCAGCCTGGAGTGCAGTGGCATGCTCTCAGCTCACTGCAACCTCCACCTCCTGGGTTCAAGTGATTCTCCTGCCCCAGCCTCCTGAGTAGCTGGGACTACAGATGCCCGCCACCACGCCCGGCTAATTTTTGTATTTTTAGTAGAGACAGGTTTCACCACATTGGCCAGGCAGGTCTCGAACTCCTGACCTCATGATCTGCCCGCCTTAGCCTCCGAAAGTGCTGGGATTACAGGCATGAGCCACCACGCCTGGCTGAACCAACTCTTTAAAAGCTACAAACTACCAAAACCCACCCAGGGAGAAACAGACAACCTGAATGGTCCTATGTCATTTGAAGAAATTAAATTTGCAATTAAAATTGTTTTGGAACAGAAATTTCTAGGCTCATTGGTGAATTCCACCAAACACTTACAGAAGAAATAACACCAATTTGACACAATCTCTTCCAGAAAAATAAAATAGGAGGAAACACTTCTCTACTCAACTTATGAAGCCAACACTACTCTGATACTAAAACCAGGGAACAGTGCAGGAAAAGAAAACTACAAACCAATATCCTGCATGAACAGAGACACAAACAACCTCAACAAAATGTTCTCAAATAGAATCCAGAAATATATTTTTTAAAATACCTTATACCTAAATGGGGTTTATCCCATGAATGCAAGGCTGGTTCAATATTTGAAAATTAGTCAATATAATTCACAATGTTAGCATACTAAAGAAGAAAAGCCATATGATAATGTCAATTCATGCAGAAAGTATTGAAAAATTTCAACATCCATTCATGATTTAAAAAAAACTTTGCACAAACTAGGAATAGTGGGGAAAATCCTTAATATAATCAAGGACATCTATGATGGTAAATTACTGAATGCATCTCCCTAAAATCAGGAACAAGGCAAAGATGTCTGGTCTCATCACCCCTATTTAATATTGTATTGGAAGTATTGGCAAGTGCAATTAGGTGAGAAAAAGAAATAAAAGCACACCAATTTTATAAGAAAAATGAGCTGTTCCTATTCACTGGTAGCTGCCTATGAGGAAAATTCTAATGAATCTACACAAAAGATTTTGGAATTAATTGATGAGCCTTGCAGGGTTTCAGGATAAAAGGTCAACATGTAAAAGTCAATTGTATTTCTATTTACTAGCAATGTACATTTAGAAACCAAAATGTAATACAAATATCTCTTAAAGCTTCAGAAAGTATAATCAACCTCATTTACAATAAGAGAGATGAAATTTTAACTACACTGAGGTATCACAGTGAATATAGTGAACTATTAGAGAAATAAGATAGAGGGAAGAGCATGAGATATGCATAAAATATAACTATGGGTTTGTCCAAGAAAATGCTAACACTGCGGCTTGTGGGGAAACTGGATGATTGAGAGACTGGGAAGAAAGAAAGAATTCAGTGTACAAATTTCTTTTGTACATTTAGGATTTTGGATCACGTGAATGACTTTGAAACACATGAAAAAATAAATAAAATTGAACTCTTAAAAAATTGTTTAACCACAAATTTTTTAAAAATCACATATAGTTTCAAAAAATGAAACATTTATGATAAATATAACAAAACGTGGTTGAGATCTATATGCAGAAAACTACAAAATATTGACGAAAGAAATAAAAGAAGCCCTGAATAAATAAAGAAACATGCTTTGTTCATGGATTGGAAGACAATATATTTTATATGTCAGTTTTCTCCCAGATTGATCTCTAGACTCAACACAATTTCAATCAAAATCCCAACAATGGGGATGGTTAATGGGTACAAAAATAAAGTTAGAATGAATAAGATCTAGTATTTGATAGCACAACAGGGTGACTACAGTCAACAATAATTTATTGTACATTTAAAAATCAAAGTATAATTGGATTATTTACAGAACAAAGACATGATAAATACTTTAGATGATGGATACCTCATTTACTCTGTAATTATTATGCATTGTATGCCAGTATCAAAATATCTCATGTACCCCATACATATCTACACCTACCATGTACCCATAAAAATTAAACATTAAAAATTTTTAAAAATCAGCAATACTTATATACATAGACAATATAACTCTAAAATTTATATTGAAAGCAAAAGATGTTTGAATAGTTAAACAATTTTAGAAAAGAAGAATAAAGATCAAGGATTCACACTACCCAGTTTTAAGACTTACTATGTATTATAGCTACAACAATGAAGACAGTATGATATTGGTGAAGGGACAGAAACATAGGCCAATAAAATAGATTAGAGTCAGAAATAGACTCACATGAAAATGGCCAAATGATTTTTTCAAACATTTAAAAAATTTAGATATAATTCACACACCATAAAACTATTCTGAAGTGCACAGTTCAGTTGTTTTTAGTATATTCAGAAGTTACGCAAACATTCTCACTGCCCAGTTCCAGACCATTTCCATCATTCCTAAGATTAAAAAGTAACAACAACCTGTATTCATTACCAGTGACTCTCATTGTCCCTTCCTCTAGCCCTTGGAAACCACCAATTTGCTTTCTGTCTGTGGGGATTCACCTATTCTGAACATTTTGTATAAGTGGAATCATATAATATGTGGCTTTTTGTGTCTGGTTTCTTTCACTTAGCTAAATATTTTCAAGGCTCAGCCATGTTGTCATGTTTCAGTACTTCCTTTTATGGCTGCAGAATTTTTTGTTGTATGGGTATACCACATTGTGTTTATCCATTCATGAGTTGTTTCCACTTTTGGCTATTTGAATAATGCTACTAGGAACATTTGTGTACAAGTTTTTGTGTGGCCATACGTTTTTATTTCTCTTGGGACTATACCTAGGAGTGGAATTACTGGGTCATGTGGTAACTCTATATTTAACTGTTTAAAGAACTGCTAGCCTGTTTTCTAAAGCAGCTGTACCATTTTACATCCCCACTAGCAGTGTATGAAGGTGCTAATACCTCCACATCCTTGCTACCACTTGCTGTTATCTGTCTGAGATATTTGATTATAGCAACCCTGGTGGGTGTGAACTGTTATCTTATCATTTTGATTTGCATTTATCCTGATGGGTAATGACGTTGAGAATCTTTTCATGTTCTTATTGATCATTTGTATCTTTTCTTTGGAGAGATGTCTATTTGAATCCTTTGCTCATAATTTAGTTTTTTAAATTATTGTGCTGTAAGAGTTGTATATATATATATTATTTTCCTGGATATTTGACACTTGTCAAATATATTATTTACAAGTATTTTCTCCCATTCCATTGGGCTGTTTATTCTCTGTAATAGTGTCCTTTAAAACACATAGGTTTTAGGGCCAGGCATGGTGGCTCATGCCTGTAAACCCAGCACTTTGGGAGGCCGAGGTGGGCAGATCACCTGAGATTGGGAGTTCGAGACCAGCCTGACCAACATGAAGAAACCACATCTCTACTAAAAATACAAAATTAGCCAGGCATGATGGCACACGCCTATAGTCCCAGCTACCAGGGAGGCTGAGGCAGGAGAATTGCTTGAACCCGGGAGGCAGAGGTTGCAGTGAGCCAAGATCGTGCCATTGCACTCCAGCCTGGGCAACAGAGTGAAACTCTGTCTCAAAAATAAAATAAAATAAAATTAAAATAAAAAATAAAACACATAGGTTTTAAATTTTGATGCCAATTTATCTATTTTTCTTTTATGCTTTAGCTGTCATATCTAAGAAACCACTGCCTAATCCAAAATGATGGAGATTTATGCCTATGTTTTTTCTAAAATATTATAGTTTTAGCTCTTATGTTTAGGTTTTTGAAACATTTTTAGTTAATTTTTGTAAATAGTATGAGCTAAGGGTCCATCTTCATTCTTATGCTGTGTGGGTATCCAGTTGTCCCAGTACCACTTATTATAGAAACTATTACTTCTTCCATTGAATTGTCTTTGTCATGCTTGTTGAAAATCAATTGCCCATAAATATATGGGTTTACTTGTGGGCTCTCAATTCTATTACATTGATCTATATGTCTATTGCTATTTTACATCCACATAGTGTTGATTACCATGACTTTATAGTAAGTTTTGAAACTGGGAATTGCGAACCCCCAAATTTGTTCTTTATCAAGAATGCTTTGGCTATTTTGGGTTTCTTATGTTTTCCTACGAATTTTAGGATCAGCTTGTCAGTTTTGATGGTACACCAAAAAAAAAAGTTTATTGTACTGTACGTTAATTTTAAAAAATAATGTAAGTCTGAAAAAACACCAGATAGGCTTAACAGAAAATGTGATGTGACAAAAGGAAAGGCAGTAAAATGGAAGACAAGGTACTCGAACTATCCAAGCTAAAGCACAGAGAGGGAAATGACTGGAAAAAAATGAACTTGTTAAGGAGTGTAACATCTCTAAAGATGAACAATGTCAAGGGGTGTAACTTATCTCTAATTGCAGTCCTAGAAGGGGTCAAGGGCAGAGAAAATGTATGGAGAAACGATAACTGAAAATGTTCTGCATTTGATGAAAAATATAAACACACTATTCTAAAGAATGCATTGAAACCTAAGAAGAATTAATGCAAAAAGCATCATGGGCAATGTCATTATATTCAAATTGCTAAAAACCTGTGATAAAGAGAACATCTCAAAATCAGCCAGCAATAAAAGACACACTATGTCCCTCACCAAGGAAGAGGTACAGGTGGCAAATAGGCACATGAAAAAATACTCAACATCACATGTCGTCAGGGAAATGCAAATTACAACAACAGTGAGCTACCACTGCACACCTATCAGAATGGCCAAAATCCAGAACACTGACACCACCAATTGCTGATGAAGAGGGGGAGCAACAGGAACTCTCATTTATTGTTGGCGGGGAACTCTAAATGCTACAGCCATTTTGGAAGACAGTTTGTGGTTTCTCACAAAACTAAACATATTCTTAGCGTACAATACAGCAATGTGCTCCTTGGTATTTACCCAAAGGAATTGAAAACTTTAGTCCACTGGATGTTCATTTGTGTCTGAAATACCTGCATATGGATGTTTATAACAGCTTTATTCTTAGCAGCAATCATGATGCTCTTCAGTAGGTGAATGAATAAGTAAAACGTGGTACATCCCGACAATGAAATACTATTCAGTGATGAAAAGAAATGAGATATCAAGCCATGAAAAGACATGGAAGAAACTTAAATGCATATTACCAAGTGAAAGAAGCTGATGTGAAAGGCTACAGACTGTGACTCCAACTATATGATACTCTGGAAAAGCAAAACTATGGAAACAGTAAAAAGGTCAGCGGTTGTCAAGGGTTTCAGGGAGGGAGGGATAGGCAGGGCACAGAAGATTTTTTTAGGGCAGTGAAACTACTCTCTATGATACTATCATGGTGGATAAATACCATTATACATTTGTCTAAACCCAGAGAATTAATGACACCAAGAATAAAAACTAATGTAAACTGTGGACTCTGGGTGATAGTGATGTGTCAGTGTAGGTTATCAGTTGTAACATATGCACCGCTCTGGCAGGGGATGCGTATGCGGGGGGAGGTGATGTGTGTGTAAAGGCAGGCAGCATTTGTGAAATCTCTGTGCCTTTCACTCCATTTTGCTGTGACCCCAAAAAATAAAGTCTCTTTTTAAAAAAGGTACCTTACGTATAGGGAACAAAAATAATAATGACCATCAGAAACAATGCAGGGCAGGAGACAGTCAAATGGATATTTTTTAAGTGCTGTGGAAGACAACTTGTTAACTTTTCTCGTTCAAAAAAAAAAAAGTCTTCAGAAGCAATGGACTGTTTACAACAATAATAATATTAATATGCTGTGGAATTTATTAAATATGTGGACATAATATATCCGATAACAGTGGGATGGAAGGCTAACAATGGGAAGACAAAGGATGAAAGAAATGAAAGTATATCACTTTAAGGTTTTCCACCTTATGTAAGCAAGTATACTATTATTCGATTAGTTAATGACAGATCTTGTAAACTCTAAATCAACTAGTAAAAGAATAAAGATAATACATATAGCTAATTGGCCAATGGAGGAAATAAAAATGGAATATTGAAAAATACACAATTCAAAAAAACAGAAAGAGAAAAAGGAACAGATAGACAAAAAGTAGACAAGTAGCAAGATGGCAAATTTAAAGCCAACTATTTCAATATCTAAAAAAAGAAGAACTAAACTAAAAGCAGCAACGGCCATATTGAATTAAAAAAAAAAACTCCCAAATACATGTTATCTATAAGAAATATATTTTTAATCTAAATCCCAGGGAGATAAACAGTAAAAGGATAGAAAAAATATGTATAATGTAAACACTAATCATAGATAGTAAGAATTGCTTCATTTATATCAAATAAAATAGACTTCAGTAAAAGGAATACTGCTAGAAATAAGGAGGAGTATTCATATTAGTAAAAGTGTCCATTCATCCAAAGGTATAACCTTCTGCTATAGATTGAACTGTGTCCCCTACAAATTTATATGTTGAAGCCCTAACCCCTGTGGTGACTGTATTTGAAGGGCCTTTAGGAATTGATTAAAGTTAAATGAGGTTGTAAAAATGGGGCCCTGATCTGAAAGGATTAGCGTATTTGTAAGAAGAGGAAGAGAGAGGCTGGGCGCAGTGGCTCACACCTGTAATCCCAGCACTTTGGGAGGTGAGGGGGGGCGGATCACCTGAGATCAGGAGTTCAAAATCAGCCTGGCCAACATGGTGAAACCTTGTCTCTACTAAAAATAAAAAACTTAGCTGGGCATGGTGGTGCACACCTGCAGTCCCAACTACTCGGGAGGCTGAGGCACGAGAATTGCTTGATCCTGGGAGATGGAGGTTGCTGTGAGCTGAGATCACGCCATTGCATTCCAGCCTGGGCGATGGAGTGAGACATCATCTCAAAAAAAAAAAAAAAAGAAGAGGAAGAGAGAGGGACTCTTCTTGGTCTGTGTATGCATGCACTGAGGAGAGGCCACATGAGCACACAGTGAGAAGGCAGCTGTCTGCAAGCCAGGAAGAGAGCCCTCACCAGGACCCAACCATGCTGCCACCCTGATCTTGGACTTCCAGACTCCAGAACTGTGAGAATACATTTCTGTTATTTAAGCCACGCGGCCTATGGGATTTTGTTATGGCGGTTATGTTTAACCATGTTAAATGTGCATGCACATAATAAGAGAGCTTCAAAATATATAAGGCAAAAACAGCTAGAACTGAAAGGAGAAACAGACAAATCCACGATTACAGTGGAAGATTTCAACACCCAACAGACAGAAAATCAGCAAGGATTGAGAAGACTTGAACAACACCATCAACCAGCTTGACCGAATTGACATTTACACAATATTTCATCTCCCACTGCAGACGACACATTATTTCCATGCTGGATCATAAAACAAGTCTCAATACATTTTAAATGGCTGGAAATTATACCAAGAATATCCTCTGACCGCCGTGGAATCAAAGTAGAAATAAATCACATAAAGTTGTCTGGATATCCCCCAAATAGTTGGAAGTCAAACAGAATACTTCTAAAAATTCCACGGGTCAAAGCAGAAATAACAAGAAAAATTACAGTCTTTCGAATTGAATGGTAGTGAAAATACAACCTGTCGAAATCTCCAGATACAGCTAAACAGTGCTTGGAGGGAAACGTGTGGCTCGAAACACTTACATTAGGAGAAGGGTGGGTGGCAGCCAGGACCACAGCCGTGTGTGAATGATGCTTTGGAAGGGGCTCCAGGACAGCACATGAGGGGCAGCTGGCCAGGCAAGGGATCAGGCTCAGGGTCCTAAGCAAACAGAGCCAGAGAAATGTCTGTGCCTTTTGCACATGCACACACACACATGTGTGTGTGTGCATGCATGTGTGTGTGTGTGTTTGTGTGTGTGTTTTGGGTTTGGATAGAAGGTCACTGAGCACCAGAGAATTCCTTCAATTGCACTTTCTGCCTGAAAATGGAGAAATGCCTCCTAGTGTTCAGTGCCACCCAAATACCTGGAAAGCAGTTTGGTCAGTGGGGGTCGAGGAGGGTTAGACCTGGTGGGGGTTGGGCAGCTGAGACCTGAGGGTGCAAGTGTGGGGGCAGGGGGCTCAGGCACCCCACCCAGGAGTTTGTCTAAATTCCCACAGCCTGGAACTGACTCCCCCGGCATTCTCATTCTCTCTGGGTGGGGACAGGACGGAGCTGCTGTGTTCTGACCTCACAGTGAAATCTGAATAATTGATGCCCAGTCTAATGTTTCGCCCAATTGTCATAAAGCAAGAAACACAAGCCCAGTGTGTGGCAGATGAGGCCCTGGACAAAGGGCTGTTTTCATTGCCCCCTTTCCCGGCCTCAGGTCTGCGAGGCTCTCCTCCCCAGCACATGATCTGTGACAATCATCCTGTGTTCTCCTGCCCCTCCCCGGGGAGCCATGGGAGGGATTATCGGGAGGTGGCTCCCCCAGGGTAGGAGAGGGCTGCGCCCCCACCCCCGCATGTGTCATCTGGAGCGTGTGCCCGACCGTTGCTTGATACCCACTTGGCACAGCCTTCTCTCTGCCGAGGGCTGCCAGGAGAGCTGCTGTCAATACAGAGCTCTCACCCAAACAAACAGCGCAGATGGGTCCCCAGGGGCCTGCGAGTTCCCAGCTCCAGCTCCATGTGCTGGGGGGTGGGATATGAGGAGTGGGTGTTGGGGACAGCAGAGGGACTCCCTGAGCCCCAGGCAGATGGGATAGAGCCCAACCCTGTTTGGATTTCTGGCACTGTTGTCTGGGGGTAGGGCTCATTTGTCACACCCCGAGGGGAAAATACACAGTAAATGAACTTCAAACATACTCAGCTCCATGAGCAGGGGACAGGTGACAGACCTCATTTAACTTGGCACCCAAGGCCATGACAGCATGTCTGGGCCAGGACAGAGCAGCGGCACAGCGGTGTCAGTGCCAACCTGGTCACCATAGGCGCTACAGAAGCCGGGCCTACGGGCAGGATGTGGCTTGTGTTCCCTGCAAGTTTTCCCAAATCAGTCATATATGCAATCTCGGAAAATCACAGAAATCTTTGGTGAGCTCAAGTTTAACACTCCCACCCTCCCCAAGTTAATAGGACTCGGCCTTGGAGTGTGTTTCTAGGTTTGGGCAGGGAGAAAGGGGCTGAGCCTCTTCCTCATGAAGAGAAGATGGGGAAGAAGGTGAGATTTGGGGACCAGTGTGTGGGCTGTGTGGGCCACAGTCAGCAGCTTGCAGGCCCTTCTGGTTTGTCCATTGAGAAGACACTCTGAGAGCAGGGCAGGCAGCAAATGAAAGTGTGGGCCGTTGTTCAGAAAGCAGGAAGGGTGTTTTTCTCTGCTATTTAAAATCAGCCCTGGGCTCAGGGATCCCTGTGGGGCATGTGCAGACCTCCCAGGTGCCCAGGGCTCTGTCTCATCCGTGGAGTGTCTGTGCAGGACAGCCGGGGCCTGTGGCAGGGCAGGTGGCAGCCCAGAACACCTAACAGGGGGTGTGAAGGAAGCAGGGAAAGGAGCCTTGGTGGATGCTCCATTGCCCCATTGACTTCACTTACAAAACACACATTCAAGGATAAACTCATTAAGAATCCCAAGAGCGGAACCCCAGGGCACGGCCGAAGGGGTGGCATGCGTGGGAGCCTCCCCTGCCCGTGAGGCCTTCTTCCCATCCAGGACAAACTGGCCTCCTGCTGGGGCAGGGTGGAGTGGGGACCATGCCAGGGATGGGGCACCGTTGCAGGACTGGAGGTTTGGGACAAACCTTAGCCCCAGGCGGCCCAAGGCAGCCACAGTGCAGAGCAGAGGGGAGACAGCGAGGGCTGCTGAATGCAGGGTGGGAGTGGACACCAGGCGCTCCGCCCCACACCTTCCTCACAGCCCTCATGCCCACCCCACCCACTGGACAGAGACTGGTTCACAGCCTGTTCCTCCCCAGTAATTGTCCTCTGCCTCAGGGAAGGTCCCTCCTGAGACAATGCTGCCACCAGTGGGACAATGACCCGCCAATGTTGCTGGTGCAGAGGCCCAGCCCCTTCAGGGTGCGAGGGCATCGTGAGCCTGTCTCTCTCTGTACCCCGTCCTGCCCTCCTCACTGTATGGAGCATGGGTGGTGAACCAGGGGGACTCTAGCCAGGGGAAGGGGTCCGACCAGCTGACGCAACATCCTAGTGGGTAAGGGACCTGGAGCCGGAGGACGGGGCTGCTCTGAGCACCACTCAGAAGATGATGGAGAATGACAACCAATGAAATCAAAATGGGAAAGTCAGAAGTCCTCCCTGATCTCCGGCATTTGGGGAATTTGGGGGATGGAAGTGAGAGGTGGATCACACCAAGGACATGGCGCAAAGTTACTGCTAGGTGTAGTGGAGCTCTCAGCCTCCAGGGGTGTCCCAAGCTAGGTCAGGACCTCGGTAGGGAAGGGAAGGGACCCTGAGATCTGGGACGGGGAGTCTGGGGAGGTGCAAGTGAGGACCTAGAGCTTCGGATTCCTATGTACATGCAAGGCCTGTGGAAGTGACCACTCCCCCTTAGGCAATAGTGTCCCTTCCCCCAGCCAGCTTGAAGACTGCATAATGGCCTCAAGCTGGTGGTGTCTGACAAGACAGTGC
The DNA here is from genome assembly GCF_000001405.40 of Homo sapiens. NCBI lineage: Eukaryota > Metazoa > Chordata > Mammalia > Primates > Hominidae > Homo > Homo sapiens. The sequence goes on along the minus strand of NC_000015.10, from coordinate 31,278,143 downwards.
TTCCTTCAGACGCACCTCCACCATCCCTCCAGGCAGCCAGACTGATGGGAAGGGTCAAACCCCAATGCAGCCCGACTGGAGAGGACTGGACCTGCTAAGGGAGTAGAAGCCTGGTTTTGATTTTTAAAAGAATTGGAGTGAAATACATGTAACATAAAAGTTGTTATTTCTGGGTGTAGAGCTCCCTGGCAGTAAGTACACTGGCAACCGTCACCACATCCATCTCCAGAACATTTTCATCTTCCCAAACTGAAACTCTTCCCCATTCATCACTAAGTCCTCACTGCCCCCTCCCCCCTAGTCCTGGCAGCCACCATTCTATTCTCTGTCTCTGTGGATTTGGCTACTCTGGGTTCCTTATGTAAGTGGATTCATACAAGATTTGTCCTTTTGCTACTGGCTTATCTCACTCAAAGTAATGTCCTCAAGGTTCATCCAAGTTGGGTCATGGACAGGGAAGGCTTTGATGCCAAAGAAGCTGCAGGCCCAGGCTGGACCAGGAAGACCAGTAGAGTGTGCCTGGGCCTGGGCCTGAGGATGCCGGAGCACAGGATGAGGGAGAGCCTGTCAGTGTGGGCACACCCACCCTGAGGCAGAATTTCACAGCCAGCCAGGACCCCAGGAGATCTCTGATGCGGAACTTCACGGCCTGGCCTGCACCCCAGGAGACCCCTGATGTGCAATGTCACAACCCAGCCAGGACCCCAGGAGATGGTGTTACCATGTGCTAGAGTGATTCTTGGAATGCCTGGGAGGGGACAGCTCAGGACCAAAGGCTCTGAGTAAGGCTGGAAAACCCAGGAGGTCTGATGGACCCCCATACACCAAAGTGACAAAGAGCACTGGTGAGGGGGTGGCACGTGGTTGAGAAGTCAGTGGTGCTGTCCTCTGAGGGTCAGGGCTGACAGTAGAGGTTTCTAGAGGACCTTAATAGCAACAGGGATGATGACAAAGTCTCGATGGCATAGAGAACAGATGGTGCTGCTTAACCTTCAGAAGCGAGGTGGATGCAATTATCTCAGCAGATGGCCACTCCAAGTAGCATCTGGGGCCCATTGTGCAGAGAGCCGCAGAGGTGGTTCCTCAAACCCAGAGTCCACAGAGGCAAGCTGGGTAGGCAGTTAACAAGGGCATGGCTTAATTGTGCGATAAACAGTACCCAGGATGGACGACCAGGAGGCTGAGGGCAGCCACCTCCCACCCCCAAATCACAATCCTTTGGCTGGTTTCTGGCCCCAAGCCAGTCCTCAGACCCAGAACCCAGACTGAAGGAGATACCAGATCTGTGAAGACTGACCTGCAAACCCTGGCAAGTGTGGGCAGTAATGACTCCTCCAGGCCTTCCCCAAGGGGCTCCTCAGCCATGGACTTGCATTTCCATGCACAGGGGAAAGGGAGACATCCAGAAATGTGTGGGACTCTGCTGGACGCAGGATCTGAGTTGACATTGATGAGTGGAGGTCCCAGTATCTCCATGGGCCCATGGTGGGGAGGAGCATGAGGGACCAGATCCCGAGTCTGGCTCACTGTGGTCAGGGGTCACCTCTCCACCACCTGCACATATGCTTAGGATGGAGATTCCCAGCAGTCAGCAGAACCCACATGGATTCCTTCACCTGTGGGGGAAGAGCCATCAGAGCAGGAGGGCCAAGTGGAAGCCTCTGGGTCTCCCCTCCCCTGGCCAGGATAGCAAATCAAAAATGGTATCACATGGCAGGGGGGAAGTGGCAGAGATTAATGCCACCCTCAAAAAGTTCAGTAGTTCAGGGGTGGTGGTCCCTGTCATATCCCCATTTAATTTACAAGCCTAGTTTCTACAAAAACCAGATACGTGGTATCAGTGGCAGTGGACCATCCAAACTGAAGCAAGTACTGCCCATTGCAGCTGAGGCATCAGAAGCAGTGTCTAGGGTAGAGCAGAAGAATGAAGCTCAGGGGCGTGGCATGAACCCATCCATCTGGGACTGTCGTCCTTTCCATTCCCATAAGAAGGGGACCAGGAGCAATTTGTATTCCTGTTGGGTGGACAACAACACACCGTTATCCAGGGGAGCCCAGACCATCTGGTCATTCTATGAATGGATGATTCATGTCTATTGGGTTCTACCCGCAGATGGCTTGTCCTCCAGGCTCACCACACAATGATGTGGTGGTTCTTTGGCAAGTCCAAAAAATAAAATAAAAATCACTCATGCCATGGTCACGGTGGGAGCCAGCTGAGGGGTGACGCGTCCAGCTGGCCTGCTCCCTAGAGTCAGGGGCAGGAGGCCAGCCCCAGGTTGGGGGAACCTGGCAAAGGAAGGGGTGCTGGAGAGTGTCACCATGCATGTCAGAGGACAGGGAACCCGGAGCGGGGTGGGGTTCGTGTCTGACATGGGAGCAGGGCAGGCACTGTTCCAGGCCTAGGAGATGGGATCACTTTAGGGAACAACTGGGCAGATGCTGGAGGGTCTCCAAGACAGGCTGGGGTAATGGAGCATTGTGCACAATAGCCTGGCAGAGCTCCCACAGCCCGTGTGGCCACTCTGCGATCCAATCAGAAATGGCCCCTCTCCTGTAGAATGAAGGGCAGGACTCTGGGTGGGACTCAACCTGCACAGCAGCACCCAGAGCCCGTGCCAAGTACCCAAGAGCTGACAGGCAACCGGGGCATGGCCTGGAGACTGCAGCTGACCGTGAGGCTTGCATTCCTCCAGCCCCTCTGCTGCCAGCCCAGCTTTGCGTCTTCTGCCTTATAAGTGTCCAGGCATGAGCCACTGTCCCTCTCCTCTACAGTTCCTCATGTGCTAACCGCAAGTGGAGCAAATGCTATGGATGGGCTGGCCGCACACCCTCAGACACACAGGTGGGCTCTCCTGCCCCGTACTCAATCCTCTCCTTCATTCTACTCTGTGAGCAGCTCAGGGCAGCAGAGCAGTCGGTTCCAACCAGGCCTCTGGGATCCTCCTTCTACCGTGGGGACTTATCCCGCCATTGCTCCTTCCAAAGGGGAATTCCAGAGCCAGATAGCAGGATAATAAAAATGCTTCCACTTTTTCCTTTGGGAACCAACCGAGAGCAGGGAAGGAGCCTGTGGCGCTGTGAACTGGCCAGTGGGCAGAAGCACAAGTCCATTCTCCCTGCATCTACATCCAGCCAATCACCACCCCTAGGCCTCATGGTCTCTGAGAAGTGACAGTAATGAGGCCGACAGGCTCCTCCACCTTCCCCAACAGATGCATCATCCCCTTCTCCAGCTGTTCTGGGAGCTCAGGAAATGCCCCTTCCTGTGGGGCCCCTGGCTGGAGCCCTGCCTGAAGAAAGGAGCAGTGCTTTTGCCTCTGGCCCACGAGGGTGCTCAGAAAGGGCCTCACATGCTCAAGGCTGGGTTAGGATCTGCTGGAGCCTCACAGACACCAGGAACCAAGGGACACCCAGCAGGGGTGAATGAGGGCAGCTCCCAAGCCCTTAACAGCTGCCCTGCAAGTAGAGGACTGCAGGCTCTCGCAACCCTTGACTGTGCCGCGCACCCAGGACACTATTCTGTTGTTTGTTTTCAAAGGAGATCTTACTGAGATTGTGAATAAAGATTATGAGAACAAATAGAGCCATGTTTCCTCAACATCAGCTGTTGCCCTTTCACGTGTTGGTGCGAAGTTTATTTGTCCAAAAGGTTTAGGAGGCTAAGCCATGCTTCTTTTTTCTTTTCTTTTCTTTTTTTTTTTTGAGAGAGTCTTGCTCTGTTGCCCAGGCTGGAGTGCAGTGGCACGATCTCGGCTCACTGCAAGCTCCGCCTCCTGGGTTCACGCCATTCTCCTGCCTCAGCCTCCTGAGTAGCTGGGACTACAGGCGCCTGCCACCACGCCCGGCTAATTTTTTGTATTTTTTTTTTTTTAGTAGAGATGGAGTTTCACCATGTTGGCCAGGATGGTCTCGATCTCCTGACCTTGTGATCCGCCCGCCTCGGCCTCCCAAAGTGCTGGGATTACGCGTGAGCCACCGCGCCCGGCCCATGCTGTTTTCTTGACTGTGCCCCAGAAACTTAAGACACACAGTAGGTCGCATCCAAGAGAGAACATCCGGGTCACCTGTGTGCCTAAGCAGCCCTAAGAACAGGGCTCTGTGCAGAAGGAGGAAGATGCCTGGGTGAGAGACACCGCATACATGCAAGGTTTCTGTCAAGAGGCTCCCCTGGCCTGGATGGCCCTGGGGGTGAAATTAGTGTCTTTAGGGAGAGTTGCAGAGCCTTTGAGGCTGCCCAAAGGACGGAAGTGCAGCCCATGGCTGTGGCGGGGGAGGGCAACACTTGTAACAGAGAACAGTGCCTCACTCAGGCCTGCCAATCCACACGTGGGTGGAGGGTCCTCTTTCCCTTTGAGACTGTAGGCTTCAGGGTCATGGGGTCCCCCTTCGCTCACCTCTCCTCTGAGGAGTGCATTGGTGCATATTTGAATCCCGTCAGGCCTGAGAGGCAGTTCCTGGCCCCACGGAAGCTCCGGATGGCAGCCTGGTCAACCGCATGGCATCTGGGGGATACGACTCATGTCCAAATCCCTGTTCCACTGCCTGCTGGCCTCATCCTCTGAGAGGATCGGGTCACTTCTGTAAATGGAAGTTTCCAGATTTATAAGATGGGAGTAAAATCACACCTACTGCCCCCAGGGTTTTGTGAAGATGAAGCCGGGTAACAAAGGTGAAGCTCTTGGCCTGGTATTGGCCACTGTGCAGGAGGCAGGAGACGCTGTTTGCGTGTCGTGGCCCAGGTCGGAGAGGGGCTGCAGTCTCCAATTCCAGCTAGAGTGTAGCAGGATGAGCCGTAGACAAAAGCCCTCAGACACCCGGTTAAGGAAGGATTTGGCTTTATTTGGCCGGGAACTTCGGCAGACTCACGTCTCAAGAAGGGCTTACAAATCTAAGGGGTTCCACGTGAAAGGGTCATGATAGATTGAGAGCACATCTGGTTAGAGTGGGGGCGGCGTTAATCTTTTAACCTCAGGCCTGGTCACCAGTGGCACCGGCTGGTCTTGCCACTGACTTCATTCCTGTTGTTTTTCAACTTTTACTTCCTCCTTCCCTTCAGAGACCGGAGACAGTAAAATAAATGGCCTCTCTCCTCAGGAGGACGTGGTCAGAAGTGGCTCAGGCCCAGGCAGGCCTCCGCAGAGGGCCTGGATTTTAAGGACCATCTGATGAAGCTCTCAACCTGTTCCCTGGAGCAGATGGAGCTCCCAGGGCTGCCGGCAGAAGGACACAATTCATCCAGCCTGGTTCTGAACCCAAAATAGCCATCCTGCTTAGGGCAGAGCAGCTTGCCCACTATCCTCCACGGGTGCAGGTTCCTTGGCCCAAGCTAAGCTCCATCTCCCACAGGAGGCTTGGAGCTCCTCCACCTGTGGGGGCAGGGCCACGGCGGGGGCCTTGGGGCTTCTTTGGAAACTACCAGGGTGAGGCAGGTGTCAAGGGCAAGGAGGTGGGAGGCCCCAGGAGCAGGATGCACAGGATCTGGGCCCGCCCACACCTGAGCCCGGCCACACCCACCTGGATCCTGTCCGGCTTCTACCAAAGGCCACTCCTTGCCTTGCATTGTGGTCTATTTTTTTCTTTTAATTGTCAATGACAGACCAGTCTTCTGCAGAGGCTTCCTGAAGGGCCTTTAAATTTCCAAGTCCAAACTCCTCAGCCTGGCAGCCAGACCTGCCTGGCCTCTGCCAAACTGTCACCTGCAGCCCCTGGAATGAAAAGCGTGAGTCTCCCTTTCCCCCTGCTCCATGCTGGCCAGGCTCTGTGTGGAAAGCCCACCTGCTCCTCCACCGCACAGCCCAGTGGGTTCAGAACTTCTGCTCATGCCAGGCTCCTGCAAACAGAATGGGAATCATTGACGCAACCCAAGCCTTTTGGGCCATGCCTCCCCCCCGGTGGAGTCCCCACCAGGGCCATATGCCATTTCGTCCTCCAATCTGGGCTTGGTGTTTTTATTAGCTCCATTTTACGATTGAGGTTTTCGAAGCCAAAGACAAAAAGGCTGGCTCTGGGACTGAAACCTTGGGCCACGCAGAGCCTTTCCGGTGGCCTAGGATCCCCTGAGGTGTCCATCATGTCCTTTTGTACCAGGCTGGCCCAGATTCCACTTGGGCCTCCTGACCAAGCTTTGCAAACAGGGATCAGCATGCCTGCATTCATCACTCACTGCCAGACACTGGGCTGGGGCTGGGGAGGCAGAGATGGGCAGCTGAGGTCCTCCACCCCTGTTGGGAGCTGAAGGCCTCCACGTGGCAGAGGCAGAACCACTGGGCAGAGAGCCAGGGCAAGGGGCTCCAGAGAAGACACCGTCACCTCCCGGCATGACAGAGACCACAGCCAGCACACAGTAGGCACCTTAATATCCACAGAGCAGATCAGCACCAGGGATGCATGCCCAGGCCTCAGCCCATGTGGCCCCAGAGAGTGAAGTGTCAAGCCCTGGTCTAGAACCTTCTTTCCTGCATCCCTTCCACGACCCCACAGCCTGAGCCTCAGCACCAGCTCTGCCCACGGGGATGTCTCAAACTCCGCCTGCTGGGTGCTTTCTGAGGTCACGTTTGGCCTCTACATCACTACAGTAAACATCAGCCTGAACCATGCTCCAGCCGTGGCTAAGTTGTAAGTCGATTTTATCTGCAGCCTGCTATCCCAAGGGCCTCTGGGTTCTTAAATCTGGCTGCATCAACTCCCAAGACTTAACTGGTCTTAGTGTCTTCTGAGGAGAAAGAAACTGCTTCCTGCCTCCCCACATTGGAACCCGGCCCCAAGAGGAGTCACTCAGTCAATATCCACCTTGGAGCTTCACACCACCATCATGTGGGGGCCCAGATATGGGAGAAGTCCCTGCGAGGTCGCAGCGCTTAGACTCATACTTGTGCTTTCCAGAGTCCCCCTGGCCGGTTCTGACTATGTGAATTCTGCTGTGCACAGGGGGATGCAACCACAAATGGCTTGTACTGCTGGAAGGATGGGAGCATTTCAAAGTAAAAATAAGAGCCATTGAGTTAAGTTGGCAGCTTCTGTGCCAGAGTACTCTGTTGGCCCTCAGCTCCATGCCTGCCCACCCTGCTCTCCTTAGTAGTCAAGGGGCTAGAAGCCTGAAAACTACATTTCCCAGGCTCCCTTGCAACTGGTTTCTGGTTAAGTGCTGCCAATGGGAAGTGGACGGGTGGGAGATAGGAGGAAGCCACTTTGCTCCTGGCTGTAGCTCCAATGGTGGCAGTGGGGTGATTGCTCCTGCAGTGACAATGGGAGTGGCCCCAGCAGCATTAGTAACAGAGGCAATGGGGATAAGAGGCTGGGCATCAGGGTGGCCCCTTCTCTGGGACACAGTTGGTGTCTGCAGAAGCTCAATACAGGCGCAGAGCAGGAGCAGCCTCAGATCTCTGTGTAACACCCTCTTGGCCCATTTGCTCCTCCAGCTTTTACAACATCTTTGTCATCGATTCCAGCACTAAATACCCTCTGCTTAAAATGCCTGGGATAGTTTCTGTTTTCCTGGCTAGAAGTTAACTGATTATAGAGTTGTTTGCCAATTAGATGTTTCCAGGTCTGGGCATTAAACCCCCTAGGCATTAAACTCCCCTGATTCTTCCAGAGGCCACCGTATCCTGGGCCCTTCCTCTTTCCTATCCCTCCTGGACTTGCACCCAAAGCCCTCCCCTCTCACCCCAGTTGGAATCACTTTCCCTTAGCCCACGCTTTACCCTTCTTGAAGCACAGACTCCTGCCATCCTGGGGGCCCTGGTCAGTGGGGAGGAACACACAATGCTTCAGGACCTTCTAGGACAGTTTCCCTGAGCCATTCTGGGCCTGAGGCCTCCATGTTTACACCTTTTCAGCTTCCTGTGGACCCCAGGGATCTCTTGGCTTCTACATGGAGGGAGCTGCTGTCATTCCAATCCTTTTCCCTAGGAGCTCGGGGCCCTAGCTTCTAGGGAACACTACTTCCATTCCCCTGCTCACTCTCTTTCTCTTTCCCCAGCTCACTCTTCTCCCTCACAGCTTATTTCTGATGATAATATCCAAAAAACAAGATCACGATGTGGTCCCGAAAGCTGCCACATCATCCTTACTAATGATAGCATTCTCTGGAAGATGACATTCACTGGGGTTCAGAGGACATATTGCTGAACCACCCCAAACAGTGATCTATTATTTCTCATGATTCTCTTGGCTACTATCATCCCATGGCATTGACTAGAGTCACATTTTTGGCTGTGCTCACTTGGCTACCAGTCTGTGTTGGAAGGTCCCCAAAGCCTTCCCTCACCTGCTTAGTGCCTTAGTGGTCCTCCACATCACCTTTCTATGTGGTTAGCTTGGGATTCCTCACAGCCTGGTGGCCCCAAGGCAATATGACTTCTTACATGGTGTAGAAACATGGGTTTGTGTGCCCTGCAGAGCTGAAGGAGAGGGCAGGACTTCAGGAAAATGGTGAAAAGGTTCAGGACTTCTCGAGAAACCATGACCCAGCATCAGGGCCCAGACTGCATTCTTTGGGGGCCCATCCAATGCATGTGCCCAGGACACTCTCTCTTAGCCCTCCCTTGACCACCATGGGCTCCTGTGCATGTTAACAATGCCTGATTGGGAACAGCAGTGCCTAGAAGGTGACCAGCAGTGCCAGGGTGATGTCCCCTGGAGGGGAGGAGTCTACAGATACAGCAGCAGCAGGAGCTGGCAAAGAATCTCTCCTTGACCAAACCAGTCAGCCTCTACTGAGCCCTCTTCTCCACTCAGCGTCACCTTTGGTCTATAAAAACTGCAGACTCTCAGCGCAAATGACTTTGTCCCTCTGCACCCCCCACCCATCACTAAGAGACTTATAAAAATACCAGCATAGCTGTTAACAGGCGTGTCCCTAGGATGATGCCCCAAGTCACCCTCAGGGGCCTGCCCGAGAGAGCGCAGTGCTGCCAGGAGAATTTACTGTTTGTCACAGCCACAACCTGGTGACAGGTGGATAGGCCCCTGAACCCTCTCGTTGAGCAGCCACTTCAGAAAGCTTGCAACTGTGAAGGCTTTCGCTGCCCCTTGAGAATGTAAATCTGCCACCACCCAGAACTGTCTCCACAAGGTCCTGGGAGCTGCCTCTGCAATGCGAACTTCCAGAGGCTCTCACTCTGGCTTTGCTCCCAGTCCCTGTGGGAGGCAACGGGGCTGACTTGGGTGGGCTTCTTGCTCTAACCTGCACCATTGTCATAAAGACACTAAAGGCTGGGCGTGGTGGCTCATGCCTGTAATCCCAGCACTTTGGGAGGCTGAGGCGGGCAGATCACGAGGTCAAGAGAAGAGATTTTTTTAGTATACAGGACACGCCTGTATACTAAAAAAAAAAAAAAAATTAGCTGGGCATGGTGGCAGGCGCCTGTAATCTCAGCTACCTGGGAGGCTGAGGCAGGAGAATTGCTTGAACCCGGGAGGTGGACGTTGCAATGAGCCAAGATCACGCCACTGCACTCCAGCCTGGGCCACAAAGTGAGACTCCATCTCAAAAAAAAAAAAAAGACACTAAAGACACAAGGAATTTGCTTCTCCTCCAGATGAGCACCAGTTATCATATCCAGGTGGCCTAGTCACTATCACACCCAGGTGGCCTAGTCTCATGGACCAAAGCTCCTTAACATCCCCAGTGTCTTCTTAGTACATGCACCTTTACCCCCTGCCTTCTGTTTCAGGGAAGTTGAGCTCAGTTCACCCTGGCCCCTCTTCTGGATTGCAGTCATTCTTACTCAATAAAGTCTGTCCTCACCCCTTTAATGAGTGCCCAGCTTCGCTGATCTTGGAGAGAGGCAAGAGGCCAGCACTGGCATCTCACCCTCATTCCTACCAGGGTGTGTCCCAGTGAGGCCTGGGCAACCCAGGCTGTGTTTAGATCCCCTAGTCTCTTCCATCTTTAAGGAGCCTCTCCAAGGATTAGTGACACATAAAGCAATGCCATTTTGTCCCCGGTGGTGGGACAAAACTTTTTCAAGACCTAACTCAGCTCCTCAGGACCTCCTCTGTCATGAAGCAGGCATTTGGTGACATTCTCCTGCTGCACTGGCATTGTTCCCCAGGTCTGCAACTGGCGGCATGTGTTGAGATTAGGGCCACAGGTGCAGCAGCTGGACTCAAACGCTACCCTTATCTGGGTGGACGGACTGCCGCTGTCTCCACAGGGGCCTTCAGCCTTAAGGTGCCAAGTGTTGAAGAGAGCAGAGGGCAGGGGGGTCAGTCAGACCAGACTGGAGCCAGGAACCACAGGGCCACCACCCTCAGGGACACAGAACATATCACTAAGGTATGGCCTTAAAGGACTTTGCCGGCACAAGCAGGATGAGACCATGTGAAGGGGAGGCTCCAGGGAGGGAGCTCCCGGTGTGGGTGTGTGCGTGTGTGCATGTGTGTGTGCCTGCATGTGTGTGTGTGCGTGTGCGCATGTGTGTATTTGTGCGTGTGTGTGTATTTGTATGTGCGTGTGTATTCGTGCATGTGTATTTGTGTATTTGTGCATGTGTGTATTTGTGTGTGTGTGTATTTGTGTTTGCAGTGCAGCTTCTGCATGGCAGGTGGGCTCCAAGACTCAGGGTTTGGGCGGGGCCTAGAAAAGAGATGTTCAGGCAGGCGGCAGCATGGGAGTGGGGCAGCTGGTCTGGCAGCCCCTGAGAGGGCAGCAGCGGACAGGAGGAGCCCTTGGGGCTGGGGCTTTGCTGGGAGGCACCTGGCTCCTGCCCCACTGATGGCTGGGGTTCACTTCCTGGCCCTGCCATGGAGGCTGGGCCCTAAGCATGCCTCTAGCCCCCAACTCAGTCTCCAACCCATGAGTGGCCCCAAGTCCCCAGAACTTTGCCTTCTGAGGAGAACTGGCAGATCTGAGACTGGGCTGCGGGTGGGAGCGGGCAGGCCTGATCAGAGCACCTTCTGGAAGGTGGGGAGTCAGAGCAGGGCTTCCGGTCAGTAGCCCCGGCCCTAGACGCCCTTGGGGGACCTGTGCATAAAGGATAAAGAATGGTGGACTCCAGCCTGAGCTGCAAACTCGTGACATGCACCTCTTCGGGCTGAGAGCAGCTCCTTTTCAGCCCTCCTGATTTCTGGAGCCACCTTTGCAGCGGCCTCTGCCCTGCCATCTGCCTTGGCACATCACTGTATTCACCTCACTGCCCAGTTCTGCTCTGACGCCTGAGGGAGCTGCTCGGAGCAGGTCCCAGTGTACCCTGAGATCCCTTCGGCAATATAGCAGTGTCCCACGACTGGAGGGGGAGGGGGCAGGGCGTGAGGGAGCATGCAAGGTCCCGGACAGGGACTCGCTGCTTCTCCAGCCCCAGCTCTGAACAAGTGGGGACCCCAGCGCAGGTGTGAGACTCAGTCAGGGCTGCTCAGAGAGTGGAACTAACCCACTCAATGACAAAGAAACGAGGCCCCACTGTCCCTAAACAAACGCCACTCGTCCTCTGGCAGAGGGGTATCTTTTGGGGATTTGAACATGATCCCACCCTTCTTTTTCTTGCCTTTAACACAAACCACACAACAGCTGCACCCGCCTTGCAGACAGCAGGATCTGGGTTGAGCCCTCAGGCCCAGCTGCAGCGACATTGCGTGTTTTTGTCTTTTTGTGGTTTCTCCCTGGGGTTAGGCAATGTTTCGTTTCTCAGCACAACGACCCACTGAGCAGGCCTCTCTCCGCGGTGTCAACAGTGTCATCAGTGGAGGGGGCTGGGGCGGGGCGGGGGGGGGGTTCTGCGCTGTGCCTGCCTCTGGACTCCTTCCCAGCAGATTAACTCATTAGGAAGCCCCAGTGTTCCCCAGAGGTGCTGGGTGGAGGGGGACGCTGGCCGAGGGGTGTTCTAGTGAGATTAGGATATAGCCAATGCCTAAGGCGGTGTGCACTGCTCTGGGATAGGGGCCACGTTTATCACCAGTCGCCCGGCACTGGCATCTCAACTAAGAAGGCCCCAGGCTCTGAACCAGCAGCCCCTCTGACAGCTGGGCCAGACTAAGCTGGGGCCCCATGATGTCCCGGCTTCCTGGAAGTCAGCCCCATCCCAGTTTCTCTTCTGTCTCACCCTCTGCGTCCCCAGCTGACCCCGTGGCCTCCTCTGAGGGCTACCCAGGGAGTCCCTGCAGGTGCCAGGTGTTTACCACATGTCGCCTCACTTCCAAGATGCAAGGGGTCACTAGAGGGCAACAGCAAGGCTGTAACGTGGGGCTGGAGCCCCAGCCTGGTGACTGCAAGACCACCCGGCTCTCTCCTTGCACCATCAAGGCACATCAAAGGGCTGCCTTCACACCTGTGTGCTCGGCCAACCCATGCAGACTCCTGCACCCGGGTGTCGATGCCCCCTCAGCCTAAAAAGAGACTCCTGACCCTGGGGCTTGGGGCCTTCCCAGGGACTCCCCAGAGCTTCTGCCTAGACAGGCCACCCCATGCCAGACTCCAGGTCCCTGATCCTCCTGCCCCCCCACCAGACCCTGCCCTGTTTGGTGGCAGCCACAAGAGCTCTCACTGTGGAGAACCCTCCAATATCCTAATATCCCGCCCACTCCTGAGTGCTGTTCGGCGGCTGCGGTCAAAGTCCATTTCGACAGCCCCGTTCACTCTCCTAGCCTAGCTCACAGCTTGGGTGGCCTGAGACCCTAAACAAGGTCGGCTGGGAAAATCTATTGCTTCCCTGATATCAGCAATGCCGCAGCAGGCAAGGCCTTTGCCTTCCTCACCCCTTGCTGGCGGCCCAGTGTCTAGAGCACCACACCAGGAGGGAGGCCCCCCGGAAGGCCCTCGAATAGCAGAGCTGAACGTGCACAGCTGCCTGCCCCAGACCTCTCTCTGTGGCAGAAAACGAGCTGCTGCCCTAAGCCTCTGGGGTGGGCCCCTGTCCCTTGTAGCCAGACATTTTTCTAGCTGCTGCCCCAATGGACCCTGCAGACCGGGGGCCCTAGGACCACCGAGTGCAGAGGTGGGGGCGGGTGCCCTCTGCCCCCTCCACTCCCTGGAGCCCAGCAGTCTGGGCAGTGGGGTTACCCCCTAAGGGATGCCACAGCCCACCAGCTCCCCACAGAGGCGGCGTCCTGAAGCCCCTCTGTCACCGTCTCTTAGTTGTCCTTTCTGGCTCAGAGCATGCACAGGGAAAGGCAGGAGGCAGGGACAGGTCTGCAGGTGAGAACCACTGGAATGGACTCTGCCTGGGGATTATTTGTGGCCAGTCCTGGTGAAGGTGCTTCCTGAAATGCCTTCTCTCTGTGCCCCTTTGATACTCCCTACTCCCCTATCTCCCACAGTGGGGCCTTTCCTCCCGGCAGCCCCCTCCCAGTGCTTAGTCCAGGGTGGGGAGATGGGGATCATGGGAGGTGCTGGGGAGGTACGGTTCATGTGAGGCCTGGGGACCTTTGTATGGGGTCCCTAAAGCTGCTCCACTCCTTCCCTAGGGTCCCCAAGCCCAGGACCTCACAGTCGCCCCTGCCCCCTGCCCCTCATCCCCCTCCTTCTCAAAGCCAAAAGGTTCTGCGTGCTGCTCTCCAGGGCTCCTCCTCTGGATCCTAAGCCCATAGCTGAGTTTAGGCCTCAGCCTGCTAAGTGCACGTTTCCTGAAGCCCACCCATAGCAGGAGACACAAGAAGGGGTGAGGGAGGGCTGCCGGGCAGCCTAGGTGCCACTCGGATGGCAGGGGTGTTGGGGCCGGTCCCCTGCCGCCCCCTGGAGCTGGCAGTCCATTTCAGAAGCAGAAACAGGAAGTCCTTCCTGACTGCCAAGCAGGGCAGGGCAGGTGCTCAGTGTGGCCCAGCTGCTCAGAGCAGGCTGGTGAGGCCCTGGCAGCAGGCACAGCAGGGCCCCGACAGCAGGATCCCCAGCCGAAGACACTCTCTGGGCCACAGGACAGGGAGCCGGCCACAGGATCAGCCCACAGTTCGTGGCTGGGAGCTGGGCATGGGAACGAGAAGAAAGACCAGCTCAGGAACCGGCAACCACAGTGGGTTTCGGTTCAACCAGCGTTTGCGGAACCCTGGCTTTGTGCCAGGCAGAACACTCAGCACTGGAAAGGCGCCAAGGGGAAGGTGGCGCAGGCCTGCCCATCTCAGTTTCTGCTCTGAGCAGACGGGTCACCCAGGAAAGGGCCACTGCAGAAACACGTGGAGATCAGACAAGACACAGTGGGGCTGGTCCCCGAAGAAGCAGTCCCCAGATGTTGGCTGGGTGGGGAGGGGAGTGTGGGGTTCGAATCAGCCAGGGAGGGAACAGGGCGAGAGCAGGACAGGCCGGGCCTGGCTAGCATGTGGCTGGCACACAGCTGAGGGCAAGACAGATGGCTGGGAGCAGGCACTGTGCTCAGTGGAACCTTTTCAGGACCCAGGCTGGGGAGAGACAAGCTGAGAGCAGAGGTTCGGGAAGATGGCAGGGTGGCGGCGGCAGCATTGCAGAGGTGGGATTGCCCTGGCTTTCAGGGGGGCATCACATCAGGGCCTTTGAGCTGAGCTGCAGAGTCTAAGTGGCATAGGGAATTTCCCAGCTCAAGTCAAGAGAGCTAGGACATAGTTAAAACCTGGAAAGGACGGGCAGGTAGAAGTCCAATTCCAGGTTCAGCCTCATTGGGTAAATGACGCATCGAAAACTATGCACGTGCTGTGGGATAAATTTCCAGAGTCTGCATGCTTAGGCCAGATTCTCTAGAGCAAGAGAGGGCCTGCCAAAAGGTCAGTGCATGATTCAGGTCTTTTGCAAGTCACCAATTCTAGCTGACTTTACACTGAAAGAGGAACTTGAGACAAGGAAGCCACGCTGGAGCTCCAGAGAGCCCTGGGGAGGGTGCAGCAGAATCACCTCAAACTCTCTCTGCGTTGGCTTGGAGCTCCTTCCTCTGCAGACAGATGCCCTGTGCTCCCAGACCCTGCCATGGGAAATGACTGTCCCAAATCCCCCCAAGTTTATGTCTCGGTAAAGTGAGCTAGGATCTCCTGGGGCCAGTTCTGCACTCCTGAGGAGGGGGCTTTGGTTGGTCAAGTGCACATCCCTGCGCTAATCCAGCGTAGCTGGGGCAAAGTCACCTCATCCGGATCAGAAAGATCAGACCCCAGGAAAGTGCTGAGAGGCGCTGAAGGTGTGGGGCTCATATACATGCACCCCAGAACCTGATTTACTATGCCCAGAGAAGATGGCATATGGCCGTGTGTTTGCCTTCCAGAATCTCAATGCAGCCTTGTTTGCATGTGATATGTGTGACATGGATGAACAGCAACAGATTTAGGGCCAGATAGGCTTCTTGATTTTTGTCGGATGTCTACAAGCCTGGCCTGTAGTGTGACCCCTTCAGGTGTTCAGCTTGGACAGTAAACAGTCATCAAGGGCTTGCCTGCCACACCAGGCTGTACCCTGAGGGTACAATGTAAAATAAGGTCCCTGTCCATAAAGGATTACCCAGGATCCAGGAGGAACTGGTGATAGGTCACTGTTATGTGCACTAGAAAGAGAGCTTAGATATTAACTTGCCCCTGGTTGTTTTTGCGTGTGTGTATGTGTGTGTGTGTGTGTGTCTGTGTGTGTGTGTATATTGAAGAACTTTTTTCCCCAAGCAAAATCCTACCTGAAACTCTTAACACGCCAGAGACATCCCCAAAGACAGGGGTGACTCCTCCCCTGGAGTAATTCCTGAACAAATCTTTGGAACCAGTTTGAAAGCTAAACGGGTCTTCACACCCCCAATGCTGGGTTTTTCCTCCTCCCCCAGGCTGCCTCGGCCTCCTTCCTCTCCACAGCACACCTCTTCTGAGTCCCAGGGTGAGCCTCTCTGGGATCCACAAAGACCGTGGGTGCCAGGAGGCAGAGTCTGGAAATCAGAAATGCCAGCTTTGGGCCATACATGGAGAGGCTGGGGATGAGCTGGTGAAGATGCCCCGTGGTGCTGACTCAGGGCTCCTGCAGCTCCCACCTCCAGACCCTCCTCTGCCTGGACTCCTGTGGGCTGCCCCTCAGACCACAGCCAGCCCATGATTCCCCACTGGACTGACCCACCTAAGTCCTCTTGCACCCCGTAGAGCATCGATGTGCCTACCTCATTTTACAGAGGAAATAACTTCCAGATAAGCCAAAGGAAGCCAAGGCAAACCGTGTCTACTCTGCCATATGTCACTTACATTACCTTATTAATCCCCACAATCACCTTTGTCTTTACACCTGAATAATCTGGAGTCTGAGCTCACTCATGTCCTCAAGCTCACACAACTGGTGTGGCCGAGCAGGAGTTTAGACCAGATCTCTGAGATTTCAAAGCCCTCACTCTGCAACAAAGGAGCATGGATTGCCAGTGGCAAGCGGAGGACACGGATCCCAGGCCCCATCTCCCATCCATGCATCTTTGACAAAACATGGTGAGTTCTCACCTTGTCCCTCCTGACTTAGAATCCTGAAAGGGACCCAGTGCCCATCAAACAACAGCTGGGAGGTTGGATCCCTGCCAGCCACAGGCGCTGCTGCTTGCAAAGCTCCATCTTTCAGCTCCACTGACTTACCCCAAAGGTGCATGCCTTTTACTGCTCCATACCCTGAAACGTGCTGTTCCTGCTGCCTTGAGTGCCCTCTCATCCGGGGTGGTCCACCCTGATTACCAAGGGGAAGCTGGGTGCTGCTATACACCAAGGCAGAAGGAAGGTCCAGAAGCCAGGGGGAGTCTCTGGGGTTCCTACAAGTACCTGCTGTCCGGTCATAAAGGTCAGTGAGGAAGTGCAGCAACAACCAAAGGCACAAATAAAGCCTCAATGATCCCATCATGTAAAGAGCCCCGACTAGCTGAGCTGCAGGCAGAAGGCGAAGGAGAGCTGCATTGGCTGGAGAGCACACAAAGTTGTAGATGCCAACAGGCCTCAGGACTACTTATAGGGGCTGGGCTTCATGGCTTATACCTATAATTCCAGTGCTTTGGGAGGCTGAGCTGGGAAGATCCCTTGAGGCCAGCAGTTCAAGACCAGCCTGGACAATCTAGTAAGACTCCGTCTACTAAAAATACAAAAAAATTAGCCAGGCATGGTGGTGCATGCCTGTAATCCCACCGACTCAGGAGGCTGAGGCATGAGAATCGCTTGAGGCCGGGAGGCGGAGCCCACAGTGAACCGATGCAGGTGCCACTGCACTCCAACCTGGGCAACAGAGTGGGACTCTGCCTAAAAAAAAGAAAAAGTACACAAATTGTAAGTGTACAACCCGACATAAAGCACACATCTGTGTAACAGCATCCAGGCCAAAAGCACATGGCCAGCACCCTAGAGCTCCCTCTGGGCCCCTCCAAGGCCTACCCTCCACCCCCTAGAGTGACCATCACCCTGACCCTAACCCCAGGTGGCAGTTCTGCCTATTTGAACTTTGTACGAATGGACGCATATTGTCTGTACTTTAGGGCCTGGCTTCTTTCTCTCAACTCTCTGTGTCTAAGAGTCATCTCTGTGGTTCTGTGTGATTGTGCATGGTTGATACTCGTAGTTATGAAGATTTCATGTACGAGGATAAAAGCAATTATTTGTCTATTCTACTGTTGATGAATATTTGGGTAGTTTTCAGTGTTTGTCTACTACAAAGTGCTGCTTTCATCTTTTTTTTTTCTTCTTTTTTTTTGAGACAGAGTCTCACTCTGTCACCCAGGCTAGAGTGCAGTGGCGCAATCTCGGCTCATCGCAATCTCGCTTATCACAACCTCTGCCTCCCAGGTTCAAGTGATTCTCCTGCCTCAGCCTCCTGAGTAGCTGGAACTGCAGGTACGCGCCACTAGCCCAGCTGATTTTTGTATTTTTTTTTAGTAGAGACGGGGTTTCACCGTATTGGCCAGGCTGGTCTCGAACTCCTGACCTCATGATCCACCCACCTCGGCCTCCCAAAGTGCTGGGATTACAGCCATGAGCCACTATGCCCGGCCTGCTTTGATCATTCTTAGGACCTATCTTTTGGTGAACACACACACACACACACACACACACACACACATATGTATTTCTGTTGGTTATATTCCTAGGGGTGGAATTGCTGGGTCATAGGCAAGCACATGTTCAGCTTTGGTCATGCACCTGTCTTCCAAAGTGATAACGCCAAGCCACTCTCCCCACTGCAGTCTGGTTTCTCTCCATCCTCAACTATGTTTGGGATTCAGTCTTTTACATTTTAGCCTTTCTAGTGGGTAGGTGGTGGCATTGCATTTTCTCCCTTCCCTCCCCTCCCCTCCCCTCTCTTTTCTCTTCTGTCTTCTCTTCCTCTTTCTTTCTTTCTCTTTCTTTCCTCTCTTTCTCTCTCTCTCTATCCCTCCCCTCCTCCTTCTTTCCCTCCCTCCCTTCTTTCTTCTTTTTTCTTTCCTTTCTTCTCTTTTCCTCTTTCTTTCCTTTCTCTTTTTCTTTCTTTTCATTATTTCTTCCATCCTTTCTTTTTCTTTCTTTTCTTCTTTATTTTCTTCTTTCTTTCTTCCTTGTTTCCCTCCTTCCCTTTCTTTCTTTCTTCTTTCTTTTTCTCTTTCTCCCTTCCTTCCTTTCTTTCTTTTTTCTTTCTTTCTCTCTCTCTTTCTCTCTTTCCCTCCCTCCCTCCCTTCTTCCTTCCTCCCTCCCTCCCTTCCTTCTTTTTCTTTCTTCTTTTCTTTCCCTTTCCTTTTCTCTTTATTTTTCTTTATTACAGCTGAGCTCTAACACCCATCTGAAGTGTACAATTCAATGAATTTTAGTATATGCAGAGTCATACAGCTATCACCACAATCAATTTTAGAGCATTTTCATCACCCCCAAAAGTAACCTTATAACCTTTAGCAATCACCTCCAACACCCCCTTCTCCCTATCCCTGGCAACCACTAATCTATTTTCTGTCTCCATAGATTTGCCTATTCTGGACTCTTCTTTTCTTTTCTTTTCATACAGGGTCTCACTCTGTCGCCTAGGTTGGAGTGCAGTGGCATGATCCCGACTCACTGCAACCTCTGCCTCCTAGGCTCAAGCAATCCTCCCACCTCCTGAGTAGCTGGGACAACAGGTGCACCCCACCACACCTGGCTTTTTTTTTTTTTTTTTGTATTTTTGGTAGAGATGAGGTTTTGCCATGTTGCCCAGGCAGGTCTCAAGCTCCTGAGCTCAAGCCATCCGCCTACCTCCGTCTCCCAAAGTGCTTGGATTACAGGTGTGAGACACAGCACCTGGCCTATTCTGGACATTTCATATATATGGAATTAGGTCATGTGTGGTCTTTGTGACTGGCTTCTTTTAACTAGCATGATGTTTTCAAGGTTCATTCATGTGGTGGCATGTCTGTCAGTACTTCATTCCTTTTAATGGTCAAATACCATTTTGTTGTACAGAAACATCACTTTTTGTTAATCCATTCATCAGTGGGTAGATATTTGGATTGTTTTCACTTTTTGGCTCCTGTGAACATTGCAGCCAATGAACATAGCAGCACATGACTAATGGTGCTATGAACATTCACGTCCAGGTTCTTGTGTGAACACACATTTTCATTCCTCTTGGAAACTCTACTTAGGAGTGGAATTGCTGAGTCAAATGGTAACTCTAGGTTAAACTTTTGAGAAACTACCAGATTGCTTTCCAAAGTGTCTGCGTCATTTAATATTCTCACTAGCAATGTATAAAGGTTCTGATTCCTCCACATTTCACCAACACTTATTTCCTTTTTTAAAAATTATAACCACTCTTTTGTGTGTGAGGTGATATCTCATTGTGGTTTTGACACACTGTAGTTTTGATAGGTGTTTCCTTGATGACCAATGAGGTTGAGCACCTTCTCATATGTTTGTTGGCCACTAGGACACGCTCTTTTGTGAAGGGCCCACTCAAGCTCTTTAACCAGTTTTTCTGTTGGATTATCTTCTCTCTTCTTGTTGATTTCTAGAAGCTCTTTATATATTCTGGACATAAGTCTTTTATCAAATATGTGTGTCACATATACATTCTCCCAGTTTGGTTTTTCTTTTTATTCTCTTAATAAATCTCTTGAAATTAGTTATTCATTTTAATATGGTCCACTTTATCCATTTTCTTCCTCTCCTCTTTCTCATTCTATTCTTCTTCCTCGTCTTTATCTTTATTGTCCTATTTGGAATCCCTTCAGTGACCTCAGAAGCCATCCACCCATAGTCCCTGTGGACATCAATTTTGCCATAAGGGTCAAGTATGGTGGCAACTTGCTGTCCCCAAGTCTTCTTTTTTTTTTTTTTTTTTTTTTTGACATGGAGTCTCACTCTGTTGCCTAGGCTGGAGTGCAGTGGTGCAATCTCGGCTCACTGCAATCTCTGCCTCCTGGGTTGACACCATTCTCCTGTCTCAGCCTCCCGAGTAGCTGGGACTATAGGCGCCCGCCACCACACCCGGCTAATTTTTGGATTTTTAATAGAGACGGGGTTTCACCATGTTAGCCAGGATGGTCTCGATCTCCTGACCTCATGATCCACCTGCCTTGGCCTCCCAAAGTGCTAGGATTACAGGCGTGAGCCACCATGCCCGGCCGCTGTCCCCAAGTCTTATCTTCAGTAGATGCTCCCTTCCAAGCAACCACAGGTGACAACTAAGTAATTGCAGTGCCACAGGTCACCAATGTCCTATTTTCCATGGGTAATGAGTTTATCTCTGCTTTCATATTCTCATACTCACACAGGTCAACAACCCAACCACAAAGACCCAGCTTGGAGGGTCTGTTTCCTGAAGCAGTACTGACTCAGCCTGGGAGACAGAAACCATGCTAGGTATTTCACATATTATGCAGAGAACCGATTACAAAGGTGTTGGAAGGATAAAGGAGTAGAAGGGAGGAGCAGGCCAGGGAACAAGAGGAAGAAGGGGAGGTACCCACAGATAAGAATCACTAGTACCCTTTGTCTTGGTCCATTCTGGCTGCTATAACAAAATATCATAAACTGAGTGGTCTATGAACAATAGGAATTTATTTCTCATAGTTTTAGAGGCTAGGAAGCCCAAAATCAAGGTACCAGCAGAATCAGTGTCTGGTGAGGGCTTCCTGGTTCACAGTCGGTGACTTCTTGCTGCGTGCTTACATAGTAGAAGGGACAAGGGGTCTCTCTTGGGCCTCTTGCATAAGGGCACTCATCCCCTTCATGAGGGCTTCACTCTCAGGGCCTAATCACCCCCAGCAAAGGCTTCACCTCCCAACACCATCACCACAGGAGTTAGGATTTCAATATATGAAACTGGGAGGGACACAAACACTCAACCCATTGCACCACTGGGCTAGAGCCCAGAGTCAGCACCTGCTGCTGCCCTGGTAGAGAAGCAGGGGCTGTGGGAGGAGCTGGCACTGCTGTTCTGTATCGAGGAGGATGCATCTTCTTTGCCAGAGCTGTGACTGCTGATAAAGGTGCCGCCTGTGCTCAGGCTTCTGGGGTCCCTAATCATCCAGCTCCTGCTGCTACAACTGCCATGCTGTGATACGGACATTCCTCTCTTCCTCCTGCCTTTGGAGCTCCTGCCACACCTCCTATGTTAGGTGCTACCACAGGGCCTAACCAGAAGCCAGTGGGTGAGGTGCCTGGCACATGCAGAAACCCCGGAGCCCCAGAGCAGAGCACAGACGGCGGGTGTGGGCAGCGACCCTGGCAGCCACCAGCACAGCCCCAACCAGGCTCCAGCCCCACTTGCCTGCTCTTGGCTCCTTGAAGCCCCGGGCTCCCCAGGGCAGCTGGCACGCCCTCCACACTTCTCCCCTGGGCTGAGTGCAGCTCACACTCTGGGTGTGGCACATAGGCCATTTCTGGAAGAGGCTTTCCTAAGCCCACAGGGGCTGCACTGTCTCCTGCTGCTGTTTTCTGCACATCTTCCTCACTAGAGGTGAGTTTCCTGAGGGCAGACAACAAACCTCACTTAGGCCCAGGCCATAAACACGGTGTATGTTTAGTGAATTTGTGAATTAAGAATGAAGGAATGTGGCTCACGCCTGTAATTCCAGCACTTTGGGAGGCTGAGGCGGGCAGATCACTTGAGGTCAGGAGTTCAAGACCAGCTTGGTCAACATGGTGAAACCCTGTCTGTATTTACAACACAAAAAATTAGCTGGGCTTGGTGGCAGGTGCCTGTAATCCCAGTTACTCAGGAGGCTGAGTGGGGAGAATCACTTGAACCCAGGAGGTGGAGGTTGCAGAGAGCATAGATTGCGCCACTGCACTCCAGCCTGGGTGGCAGCGTGAAAACTCACAGGCCTGCCGTTGGGAAAATTATAGAGTAGGTTGGGGGATTTTCTCTCTGGAGATCCCCTTTCCACACTCTCAATTTCTCTATTGCTTCAAGTTCCCGTCCTGACATCTGGCCACACCACACCGCCCTCCCTCAGGTCCTTCCTTCTGGCCCTGCACCTGGTGTCCAAGGGTGTGTAACTGGAACTATGTTGTCAATGGCCCAGACCCGAGCTTTGTGGCATAAAACACACAACTAGCTATTTATAGTCAGGGCTATTTATACAGAGTTTATGAAAAAATAGTTATGTGGTAGAACAAACTTGGAAAATTCAGGTTTAAGCAGATTAAACATGATCCTCTACTACAGAATTTCTCAGCTCCTGAAGACATTAAGGTGTCACTCCATAAAGGGGGCTCATTAGCTCAGTTCCCCAAACTTATGGAACCACAAACTCCTTCTTTTTAGGAACACCTAAGCAGAGTGTAGTAATTGATTAGTTATAACTTTAAATATATGTAATTGATCTATCTTTAAAGAGGTAACACATGCCCATAGAACAACACTCAATAGACAAAGTCAGGTACACAGAATAAAAAATGTGTCTTCCTTCCCGGCCAGCCACCCAGTCCCCCGCCCCAGAGGCAACCGCTGTCAGTAGCAGCATGCGTTTCTTCTCAGAAATGAGGCACAGCTTGTCACCCAAGATGGAGGCTTCCAGGAGGGCTGTGGATGCTTCTGGCTGCCCCTGCTCCTGGCTGCCCCTGCTCCTGGCTGCCCCTGCTCCTCCCATAGATGAGCCTGCTATGGTGGCCGCCACTGTTCTGCTCTGTCTAGCCTTGGGCCCACATTTATCCCTTTTTGTCCACTTTTTCAGAACCTGGAGGTGCTGCTGTTGCTCCTCACAGGTGGCTCCTGTGCCCCAGGCAACAAGCCAGAGGCACCAGTACCCTGGGCATGGCTCCCTTTCATTTACGACTCACTGTAGTTACTTTAGAGCCTTGGAGTGTTCTCTGGGATGAAAAAGATCAGGAATAGCTCTAGGCTGTGGCCTGGAGGAGCCTTGGGATCTCTTCATCCTTTGGAAGAAGGTGAGTTTCTTGGAAAATATTCCAGAAACGGCTCGAGCAGTTGTACCATGCTATTGTGCAAAAGAACGTCCAAAAACATCCTCACTTCTTCATGGCATGGACTTTCTCTGGAGTGGAGTGGGAGTGGTGCCAAGCACATGATGACAGAAGATCATAAAAACGGGAAATGGAATGGGTTTATTAGCTATTTGCTGCCGTGTAACCAGTTACTCCCAAGCCTTGCAGCTGAAATAACAAACTTTTATTATCTCATGAAGTTTCTGAGGGTCAGGAATTTGGGAGTTACTCAGCTCTGCAGTTCAGTCTCAGCATTGCATCGAGTTGCAGTCCAGACACACTGGCCAGGGCTGCAGGCATCTGAAGGCTTGACTGGGGCTGGAGGTCTGCTTCCAGCATTACCCAGGTGGCTGTTGACTAGAGGTCTCCATGGGCCATTGAGCATGCTCAAGACATGGTAGCTGGCTTCCTCCAGAGCAAGAGAGACAAGAGAGGGCAAGCAAGGAGGAAGCCACAGTGCCTTTCAGGACCTGGTCTCCAGAGTCACACTCAGTCACTTCTACCATGTTCTTTTTTTTTAAGTTGTTTTATTGAACTTTATTGTTTATAAATAAAATATCATAACACAGTTTGTGTAGTGTCACTGACACCAACTTCATAGTGAATTTTCTGCCTGAGATAATTCAATTTCAATGAAGGATCAGTGACACAGACATATTATGTATATATGATGTACATATGCATATATTCTCCACAAAATGTAATTTTCTGCATATAGTATGAAAGTGCTATAATGATTCATTTTGTTTAATGAACTCAAAATATAGCTAAATATATTATTGTGCATTAATTATAAGAATTAGTTTTCATGCTTTGCATAAGAAGTTTTTGGATTAGCATAATTTTATTATATATATTTTATTATACAATTTTAAAGTTAGTATGTTTGCTTAAAATATTTAATATATAACACTCATTGGCAAATGACAAAAGAAATCCCCCTGCAAAATAGCATTTTATTAAATGCTTTATTTATTTATTTATTTATTTTTTGAGACAGAGTCTTGCTGTGTCGCCCAGGCTGGAGTGCAGTGCCGTGATCTTGGCTCACTGCAACCTCTGTCTCCCAGGTTCAAGTGATTCTCCTGCCTCAGCCTCCTGAGTAGCTGGGACTATAGAAGCGAGCCACCATGACTGGCTAATTTTTGTATTTTTAGTAGAGACAAGGTTTCACCATGCTGGCCAGGCTGGTTTTGAACTCCTGACCTCATGATCTGCTCACCTTGGCCTCCCAAAGTGCTGGGATTACAGGCATGAGACACTGCATCCGGCCTAAATGCTTTATTATTTATTAAAACATTGGAGGATAAGTGCAGTGGCTCATGCCTGTAATCCCAGCACTTTGGAAGGCTGAGGTGGATAGCTTAAAGCCAGAAGTTTAAGACCATCCTGGGCAACATAGTGAGACCCCCCATCACCCCCCGCAAAAAAAAAGCCTGGGTGTTGTGGCTCACACCTGTAATTCCAGCACTTTGGGAGGTTGAGGCAGGCAGATCACCTGTCAGGAATTCGAGGCCAGCCTGGCTAACATGGCAAAACCCTGTCTCTACTAAAAATACAAAAATTAACCAGGTGTGGTGGTACATGCCTATAATCCCAGCTACTTGGGAGACTGAGGCACGAGAATCGCTTGAACCTGGGAGGTGGAGGTTTCAGTGAGCCGACATTGCACCATTGCACTCCAGCCTGGGCAACAAGAGTAAAACTCAGTGTAAAAAAAAAAAAAAGGAAAAAAAGAAAAATAAAAATTTTGGAATAGCTCTTCATAGGAAAGTTATCTCTTACTCTGAGTTCATAGTACTTGTGAGTCTAAAAATTTTTTGATTTTCCTGAAAAAGAAGAAAATAATTCTGGCTTAAGTTAGCATCTGGACTCTTCACAGATTTAGGTGGAAAAGCTAGAGGATTCACATTGAACATTGTATTTTGTAAGCCCCCAGCTTTGACCCTACCATGGTAGAGAGTTGCTAATGATTTCTCTTGGTGAAATCTAAGCTTTAACAACATTTCTAAGTCGCTGATGTATCTGAACCCATAAATATCTTTGGAGAAATGACAATGACAACATTTTGCATGATTTCTTTCATTCATTTGTGTATTAAAATAATTATCAAGCAGCTATTATATGCTAGGCAGAGCGCAAGGTACTGGGAATAAAAGAAATGACTATGACAAGATTACTGTCCTCCAGGAGCTGTGAGTTATTTGCAGATAGACACACGCTGTGCGAGAGAACAACCCCTAAACGTAAGTAACTATTTTTTCCACACTATCATTTCTCTACATACTATTCATTAGAAGTGAGTCACTAAGTACAGCCCACACTCATGGAGAGGAGATTTGATGGGAAGAATAGCAAAGCATTTGTGGACTATTTTAAAACCATCACAATGGGGATGGGGGACCAAACACGGGGCCAGCTAACAGCTGGTGGGTCCTGATCCATCACTAATAAGCTCTGTGATCCTAATTGATTAGCTAACTCCCCGGGCTCAGTCTCTCTCGTGCAGTCTGGAGATGATGCTACTATATCTGTCACAGGGCCAGTTGTTCAACACAGCAGGGAGGCAGATAGCAATTGAGTCAAGGGCGTGAGCTTTGGAATCAAATCCCTGCCCCCACCACTTCAAGTCTCTGAGCCTCAGTTTCCTCATCTGTATCATTACCTACATGCCAGGTTTGTGGAGAAATAACTTGAGGCAAGTATGTGTAGAGAATTGGTCTTGAGTGAGTCTAAACTGAGCCAGCCCAGAGACATCTATTTGCTGGAGAAGACAAGGGGTGTTGAGAAGGCATTTTGCATGTAACGCGACCAGTGGAAGAACATGCTGGAGGAGACCTTCGCCCCATCACCTGCAGGTTCTTGTGACCCCACAGGAAGCCAGCCTCCGCCTTCATCATTTTCCCCAGCTGGGCTGCCTTCTGGGAACATGACCAAAATTTTGGATCTGGGGGAAGAATTCAGCTGCTCCTAGGACTAAAAGCATTATCCCCAGACTGAAGCCAAAGGCACCCTTCACTATGATCTCTCACTGTTTGGAGATACATGCAAACAAATGTGGTCATATGGCCCTGCTCAAACCCTGGTGGCTTGGAACACTCTGGAAGCCACCTTTCGGAGTGCACATGGGGCACATGGAGACTGGAGTCCCAGCTTTGAGGAGAATGCTCAGCTCAGGACTGGGTGCTCCAGGCTCAGAATCAAACTTTTGTGAAGTCCAAAATCAGTTTTAACCCATGATTTCTGGGCACCTATCTCTGAGGATCTTCAAGTTTTTCTGGAAGGCGAGTAGCATGTCAGTGGCAGGATGTTCTATTAGGGGCTCTAATAAGTTCTAGCGATCCTGTTCCTCTGGGAGCCAGCTCTGGGTCTAGGGGCTTACTCTGAAGCAGGCTCTGTAATGCAGGGTGCTGCTGGAAACTGGAAATATGCAAGAAACTGCCTGCAAGGATGTGCAGTTGCACGCACAGCGACTTGGGCAAGTCCCCACTGGAGAGGCTCGACCCTCTGGTAACCCACGGGACCTGATTTTACCTTCCTATGGGGAGTGTTTGACAGAAGGGCTGCTTGTCCATTGCGCTGAGCAAGTCCTCCAAGGTCTGCAGGCCCCTTCCCAGGCAAGGCTGCATGCCTGAGACAAGGGAAAAGAACATGGAACAGCCAAAGACTTCCTCTCCGCCTTGAAATCATGCATTTTTGCTTTTTTTGTTTCTAAAACAGAATGGAGAGAAGCCCACGTCTCAAGACCCGAAGTGAGCCTAGGATTTGAGGTTGTCTGTCACCTCAGGGCCCAACCTCTGCCCCAAGGGGGCAATAAGAGGTTGGGACACTCCTCTCTCTCAGGACCCCAGAAGTCAAGTGTGGGTACAGGCAGCCCTTCTGCCATTGGCCCCAGGCTGGGTCAGTGACTCCAGTCTTGGGCATGGAGTAGTGCTAAGGGTTAGAGAGTCTCACCTTCATGCTGGACAGCACAGCTCACATCTAGGCGGCACTTGGCACACTAGTCTTTACATGAAAATTGGAGTGAGTCGTGGATGGTGCTGGCCTCTTGGCATCCCCTAAACTCTGTCTTGCCACTGGAATGTGCAGAGAAGAAGACCACTCTGGTTTTTTTTGTTTGTTTGTTTTTAATTATACTTTAAGTTCTAGGGTACATGTGCACAACATACAGGTTTGTTACGTATGCATACATGTGCCATGTTGGTGTGTTGCACCCATTAACTCGTCATTTACATTAGGTATATCTCCTAATGCTATCCCTCCCCCCCTCTCCTCACCCCACGACAGGCCCTGGTGTGTGATGTTCCCCTTCCTGTGTCCAAGTGTGGAGACCACTCTGTTATGTTAGATCCAAGAGTCGTCCTGAAGTAATCAGGGCTGGAAAGGAGGCAGCCTAAACAAAGATAGCTGTGTGTTCTGTGTGTCTTTTCTGCCTCTCTGTCTGTGACTGTCACACTGTGCCGTGACTGGACCATGAGGCTGCTGGCTTTCACGCAGGCTGCACATGGAGACAGCAGAAAGCACAGGCTGCCTCCCTCCCTGCCCCTCAACAGGGGGACCACCTTTGCCCTGGCAGGGACTGGAATCAGGCAGAAACCCGGACATGCAGAGGTGACTGGCCTCAGATCAGAGGGGGACCACAGCCCAAAGGCTACACAGAGGGGCAGGCTGTGAGCTGTGGGAACCGTCAGGCACCCGGGGTTCCCAGGCGGAGGACCATGTCCTTATGCTCATGAAGTGACCGACTGGAGGAGAATGCTTGGAAAAATATCCGCCCGACCATGGAGGGTTCAGGCTCTGGTGTTCCTCTGCATGGGTGTGAGTCCCAGCTCCACCACTCACCAGCTGCAGGGCTCAGGTGAGGGATCTCAAGTTCGCTGAGCCTCAGTTTCCTGAGACAGAGTAATGCCCAGCAGAGGGTAAGTGCTACCTAGGGTCTCATGTTGTCACTATTAGATGAGTCCTAGCGTCACCATTGTGATGCAGCCCATGGAATGAACATGAGGGATGAAAAAGGAGCATAGCGTCCCTTCAACTCCTTTATTTAAAAAATACACTTCTCGGATCACTTGAGGTCAGGAGTTCGAGACCAGCCTGGCCAACATGACAAAACCCCATCTCTACTAAAAATACAAAAATTAACCAGGTGTGGTGGCGGGCGCCTGTAATCCCAGCTACTCTGGAGGCTGAGGGAGGAGAATTGCTTGAACCCGGGAGGTGGAGCTTGCAGTGAGCCGAGAGGTGCAACTGCACTCCAGCCTGGGCAACAGAGCGAGACTCCATCTCAAAAAAATAAAAATAAAAATACATAAAAAATACACTTCTCTGCACGGAGCCGCAGTGGAGGGCACTTACTCAGAGGCCTGCAGGGGTGTGGTGGGTGAGTGAGGCCAGCTGTAGGGGCTAAACCTGGACCTGAGCCCACCCCTCCCACCAATGGCAGCCTGTGGGAATGCCAAATCATCAAGTTTTTCCTGGCAGGATAAAAAACTGGTTTTCTGCTATGTGAAATCCTCAAATGTTTAATTCAAAATCTGCAGGGGCTACCTGAGAGTGGCCCAGGGGAAGCCTGTGCCTGCCTGGCCTCTGAAGGTCAACCTGGAATGGCCTGGGGCAGGTAAAGTGTTCTTGAAGCTTTCTGCTGGGCACACCCTCTGAGTGTGCCCAGGCGCAGGCATGGTGAACAGTGCAGTGTTAGAGGCACAGGCAGGAGGCCCTCCAGAGAGGCACAGGCCAGGCTCTGGCGGCAGACAGCCTCCCATCCGCCCTCGCTGGCTGCAGGGAGGGGTGGAGGCTGTTGGGGCACAGAACGCTTTCTGCAGCCCCTCTCTCCTTATTTTACCCCAGGGACCTGCTCTTTGCCATCTTCCCCAGCAAAGCACACCTCCAGGAAACTCCCTGAGCCCAGCCCAATGAGATAAGTCCCCATCCCAGGGAGAGTTGTCCCTTAGCGGGAGCAAAAGGCTGTGGAGCCCAAGCACGAAGATTTTGTCATCATATCTCAAGCGTGGGCTGGCAGTTGGGTGTCAGGGGGTATGTGAGGTGACAGTCTCCCCCTAGTCCATGGATTTGAGTGTTATCATCGTCACCATCACCACCACCCTACCACAATAACGGCCCTCTGGCCCTGCAAAGCGCTGAGCTTCTGGTGGAAGGAGGGCATTCCTCCTTCTGCTGTCTCTATGGTCTTCTCTGGCCCTGGAGAATGTTCATGGACTCCAATGGCCTCTGAGGGCCTCTGCAGGGCCCACCTGCTCAGAGGCTCAGAGAGAGACCCCAGAGAGAGGCTGAGCCTATCCACACCAGCCCTGAGTTGACAGCATGGCATCTGCTGTGTGCCAGGCCTGGGCCAGGCTCTGCCCTTCCTCCCCCAGCCCCCAATTCCCATGCTGGGCTGGCCCTGCCTCCTGGAGGACTCGGTCCCCCGACTCTGCCTTGCTCTGCTTCTCCTCCCGCCTCTCAGGTTCCCTCTCCGCTGCTGATTTAGTCAGCCCAAAGCATTGTCATTAGACAAGTGGGTGTCCGTGGGACATGTGCAGCCACTGGGCTCCCAGTCTTCCTCTGTCAGCCCATTGGTGCCACCATTGGTCCCCTTGGCTATGGAAAGGCCCAAGGGGACATCTGACACAGACAAGGCAACTCCATGAAGGCTGCTATTCAGAGCAGACCCCGGCACAAGGCCCCATCCAGTTCAACTGGACCTGGGAAGGCTGTGTTCTCAAACTCAGAATGGCTTGTTTCAACTGTTAAATGCAGCTATGTGTTTAAAATTTGTATTTATCATTCACAAAGATCTAGATGAGCCGACCTCTTTTTTTAGTAGAGACAAGGTTTCGCCATGTTGGCCAGGCTGGTCTCAAACTCCTGACCTCAGGTGATCTGACCACTTCAGCCTCCCAAACTGCTGGAATTACAGGCATGAGCCACCGCACCCAGCCAACCTCATAGTTTCTTTCTCAGTGAAGTGGGGAGGGAAACCGAGGCTCTGGAGGGAGTCCAGGGGCCTGTGTTCACATTCTTATTTTCTCCATGCTTCACAGAAAGCAGCTCTGGGGTTCTCCAAAGTGCAGGGTTCTCAGCTGTAAAATGAGGGGATTTCACGGAAAGCATCTAACATTCCTCCAAGATCCAGGACTGCGCCACCATCCTGCCGACACTTTCCCTACAAAGCCTGGTTCATGACCTCTTGAGCGCTCAGCAGCACAGAGGTGCCTTCGCTGAACTGCAGGGGACGCAGCCCCCAACATGAGCAGGTGCCTTCAGAGGCCATCCCGAGATGAGGGAGCAAAAGGCAAGTGGTCGTGGAAGCCCTCATCAGTGATCCCTGGCCAGTCAGGGTATTGCGGCATCTGTGTGACAAGCACTGATCTGTCACGTGAAACATCACACACATCGATGAGAACACAGAGGGTAGATACGAAGGCAGCATTTGCTTCACTGGTGAAGGAAACGATGTTCAGAACAATTAAAGGACCACAGGCAGTCGGCGCTGTAGTGGGACCCTGACTCAGTTTCCAGGTTTCGGTGATACAAGCAGTCCCCCAAGGGCTTGGAGGGAACCGGCGACTGGAAGACAGTCTTTCCCTCCTTAGTCTGACCTAGCTCTTGTCCAAAAACCATGTTCTCTACCTTGCTCCCTCACTCTTCCCAAAGCGTATCATTCAGGAAGGGAGAGCACGTCAGGAACTATAAGCCCCTCACACTCTACTGAGAATAAACTCTCCACGCTGCGTTCAGCTGTGACTAGGCAGTGAGGTTGTACGGAAAGGAGAAGGATGCTGCTGAAGCAGGAATCGTCATCCAACAAGGGCCCGTGAGCAGTGCGCTGCAGTCCACAGATGGGCAGAGCCAGGAGGAGACACAGGACCAACTGCCCATCAATGTTCCTTGTCAGGGTGCAAGTAAATTTCATGCTGTTAGGGGCCAAACTGCATTCCCTCCAAATTCATATGCTGAAGTCATAACCCCTAGTATCTCAGAATTTGAATGTATTTGGAGATGGGGCCTTTGAAGAGGTAGTTAAGTTAAAATGAGATTATTAGAGTGGGGTCTTAATTCCATCTGAGTGGTATCTGTAGAAGAAAAAGAGGTTAGGACGCACAGAGAAACACCATGTGCAGACACAGGCAGAAGATGACCATCTGCAAGCCAAGGAGAGAGACCTCACTAGAAACCACTAGAAACCTGCCAGCATCTTGTTCACAGACTCCAGCCTCCAGAACTGTGAGAAAATACCTTTCTGTTGTTTAAGCTCCCCCTAGTCTGTGGTTTTTTTTATGGAAGCTCTAGTAAACTAATACATGCACCAGCAAAGTTTGTCACCTGATTATGCCAGCTACATAAGTCACTGGGTTTCCATTGTTGCCAGGGATGCCAGAGAGCTCAGAGCAAAATGATCAGTTAGGGTGACCCTATTGTCTGGAGCAAGTCCGTATGTTTTGGGGACATGATCCCTCCCCAGCACAACCAGCTGAGCAGCACCCAGCAATGAGGGGGCATGAAGAGGCTGCTGTGGGCTGGGCTCCTCTTCTCAATTGAGCACGGACTGTACAGTAACTCAGCACCCTTTTGGGTTATTTTATTGAGGCTGTGCTTCATTTTACTGACCTGAAGAGACATGTCTATCGACCCAGTACAGAGCTCTGGTCCCAGGCCACTTCCCACATGCCAATGCCTGGCTGACTTCATCTGTTACCCAAAGCAAAGAGGTTGAATCTGGAAGCCCCACATGGCACATTCTTGTACCCCCTGCTGCAGGAAGTCCCTGGGGATGGCCTGTATCTGCTCCACATTCCAAGCCAACACCATGGCCATCGGGCAGGACCAACCTCAAGCTCAAACATGGTGAGAAGCCACTGCCCCCAACCCATGTGGTGATTCCAAGGAGGCTGAGAAGGTTTTGGCATCTTTCCTCATCCTTCTGTACCCCATGGCACCATTCCCACATTCCAGCAGGTCTTCAGTCCTGTAGATGAAGTCTGGAATGCTCTCACTGAATAGAAAAGTCCTCAGGAAAATCCCACATTGCAGAGACGCATGTGGTCTGATGGCAAAGCTGAAGGAATAGCCTAGCACCCCCACCCATGTGCCTCTCACCGAGTGACAGGTAAAAGATACAAAGAAAACTTTTCAACTTGACCAAGACTCTCATCTCTTTCTGCATTGGAAGGGAACTTGCCATGGTGGGAATTGGGTGGGAGGTGACTTCTGAAGCCCAAGTACCAAAAGCATCGTCTTCACCTGCCCACCCACCCCAGCAGGGCATGGGCCAGTGACCTGGGCTTAGGCTCAGGCTCCAGGATGCTCCTGCATGGGGCTTAGACTCATTATGAGAGATGCGGTCAGGAAGAGATGGTTAGAATCTGTACACAGAAAGGGGAGTGTGTTGCCTCAGAAATTAACAGCAACAGCATCCTACCTGGCCCCTTCCAGTGACGTGGCCTCGAACATGGTGTCTGCTCCAAAGTTCCCTGGGTTCCTGGTCCTGATCCCAGCTTGGTTCTGCAGGCTGGCTGCCCAATACCCTCCTAAGAAAGGTCCTTTCTGCTGAGCCAGCCCAGTTGGTTTGTGATGCCTGCCTCCAGCTCTAGCTATTGGTCTGGTGCTCAGGAGGGGAGCTGGGGCTAGTCCCAGAGGGAGCCAGCATGGTCTTAAAAGGCTACCTTTGAGGCCTTTGCATTGTCTTCAAATGGTGAATAAGACTTGATCTTCCAGCAAGTGAGACAAAACCCTAGGGAGCCCCAGAGAGTTGCAAGGGAACCTGGGGGCTCAAGGTTCTCAAATCCACAGATCACCATCCCAAGTGTCAGGGTCCTAGCTGGCCCCTGGCTTGTGCTGGGCCTGCCCAGGAAGGAGAGGGATACGCACAGAAAGAGCTACAGGATCTGGCTAATGCTCACCAGCACAGACTTGGTGCTGAAGGGGCTGGGTCAAGGGCAACAGAAGAGTGAGCCAGAGAAGAGAGCTTTGTTGATAGGAGGGCATTCGACCATAGCACAAAATTTAACATCTAGGGAAGGGCCCTAGAATGATTCCAGTATGCTTTTGGAATGACTCTGGAAGCTTGGGCAAAAGCAATGGCCCACTTTCTAAAGAGAAAAGCAACAGAGAAGTCACGCTTGAACTTTCAAGGCTGACTGTGGAGGAAGGGATCAGGGACCAAAAGGCTCAGAGATGCAGCTGGAAGAATCGGTCTGCTCTAGGAGACTGGAAACCCCACCATCTGCCAGTGTTCCTTGGAAGGGCTGGAGGACACTTACCATGGTGACAAGGAGCTTGCTGGTGAGGGTAGCACCAGTATTGCTAAAAAGCTCAGTGGTAGCCATCCTCAACAAGCCAGGTCTGGTGGTCGGAGATGCTACCACGGAGCAGGGCTCTCCAGGAGCAGGAGGGATGCTAGAATCTTGACTAGCAAGGACCAGGCAGCAGCACTTCACTGCAGCACTTGCTTCTTCAAGGTGGGTATAATTACTGTAATAGAATGAGCCACAAGGTCAGAACAAAGAGAAAGGGGGTAAGTGTTCTAATTTTCAGAGATACATGGACTGAAGATGGCCAATAGGACAGGATGTCCCTAGAGGCAGAGTAGATGGGCAACTATCCAGAGTACTGCTCAATATACATAAATAAAAGGGTTAAGAATGGATTCACACTCAAATGTCCAACCGTGGATGAATGGGCAAACAAAATGTCCCATATTCATACCATGGAATATCAATCAGCCATAAATGGGAAGTTGCCTGACACATGCTACAACCCAGATGAAGCTGTTCTCAACATCATGCCAAGTGAAAGAAGCCAGGCACAGAAGGACACACATCGTAGGATTCCATTTGTATGAAATGTCCAGTATCTGGCAAATCCATACAAAGAGAAGTAGACTAAACACCACTGAATTACACACTCTAAAATGATGAATTTTATGTTATAAAAAGAAAAAACCAAGAGGAGTTCACAGAAAGTCGTGGTCCTTTGCCCATTTTCCAGTCTTGAACCTGTTTTTGGACCAAGAACCCATTGACATTGACTAAAGCAGGGCCTGGTTTCTGTTAGAAAGAACCCCGTAACACTATGGTGAGTATATACAGTAGCGAGGCCTCCAGTCTTTCTCCATAAAGACCCATGGCATTCTACTTGAGTAACCACCACACTCTGGAAAAAGTAACCAGGTTTTTGAGGGCAGTTGGCTATGGTCTGAGCCAATACTCATATCTGAAGTGCCATCATGCCTCTCCTGTTAGGACGGGGACTGTGGGAATCAGGTAACAAATGACCCAATCCGTCTCACAGTGTGTCCACTGGGCCCATGAAACCACCAGTGGTTATGTCCTGAATTAGTTTAATTAGTATGGACTTACTTGGCAGTTGGCAGAACCCACAAATTGCTTCTTTGACCTGTGGAGCCTATTGGAGAAGGCCAAGTGGAAGCCCCTGAATTTCCCCCGTCAGCCAAGACAGAGAGTAAATCAAAAATGATGGGGCCAGGCGCAGTGGCTCCCACCTGTAATCCCAGCACTTTGGGAGGTGGAAGCAGGAGGATTGCTTGAGGCCAGCAGTTCAAGACCAGCCTGGGCAACACAGACTCTATCTTTCAGGCCAGGCATGGTAGCTCACACCTGTAATCCCAGAACTTTGGGAGGCCAAGGTGGGCAGATCACTTGAGCTCAGGAGTTCGAGACCAGCCTAGGCAACATGGTAAGACCCTGTCTCTCCAAAAAGTACAAAAATTGCTGGGCACAGTGGCTCATGCCTATAATCCCAGCACTTTGGGAGGCCGAGACGGGCAGATCACCTTAGGTCGGGAATTCGACACCAGCCTGACCAAAATGGAGAAACCCCATCTCTACTAAAAATACAAAATTAGTCAGGCGTGGTGGCACATGCCCATAATCTCAGCTACTTGGGAGGCTGAGGCAGGAGAATCGCTTGAACCTGGGAGGCAGAGGTTGCAGTGAGCCAAGATCACACCATTGTATTCCAGCCTGGGCAACAAGAGCAAAACTCCGTCTCAAAAAAAGAAAGGAAAAAAAGTACAAAAATTATCTAGGTGTGATAGCACATACCTATAGTCCCAGCTAATTGGGAGTGCTGAGGCAGGAGAATCCCTTGAGCCTGGGAGGCCGAGGCTGCAGTGAGCCAAGATTGCACCACTGCACTCTGGCCTGGGTGACAAAGTAAGACCCTATCTCAAAAAAAAAAAAAAAAAATCAACAAAAAACAAAACAACAAAAAAAGAAAGACTCCATCTCTACAAAAATAAAGTAAAAAACTTTAAAAATTATATTATGCCCAGGGAAGGTGTAATGGAGGACTATCAGCTAGTTGGACCACCATCAAAGATTTTAAGAGTGCCAAGGTGGTGGTCCCCATCCTATCCCCATTTAATTCACTAGAATTTGAATCATTAGTATCTTCCCTGCAGAGACCGCATGGATTATGGTGGATGAGAGTGGACTACCATAAACTTTCCCATGCAGTAGCTCAGTTGCAGCTGCTGCGCCACATGGAGCTTCTTCATCGGAGCAGATGAACACAGACTTTGGTATGGGTATGTAGCTGTTGATCTGGTGAACGCCATCTGTTCCATACCCATCAGAAGGAGGGTCAGAAGCAGCTTGTATTCACGTGTGGTAGACAAAGCAAACATTCAGAGTTTTGCCCATGGGGTAGGTTGATTCTCCTGTCCTCTGATATAATATGGTCTTCAGGAAGGGAATGGGGCTCTATGAACTTTCCGCAGAGCAGCTCACTGGTCCATTGTGTTGGTGATACCATGGTAACTAGACCTGAAGGGCAGGAAGTGACAAGTTCTCTTGATACCACGGAAGATACGATCTCTTGAGGGTAGGAGATAAACCTAGAAGGATTCAGGGGCCTGTCCCATTTGTAGTGTTTCTAGGAGCCCAGGAGTCTAGGGAATGATGTATTACACTTGCAAATAAAGGGTGAGTTGTTCCACCTTGGACTTCTAGGTCTGAGAGGAAAAAAAGCAATGAGTAGTGGGGTTTTTCGGTTTTGGAGGCATAATACTCTGCATGTGGCAACTGGTCTACCCATTTTCCAGTTGACACAGAATGTTGCTAGTTTGGGCTAGTTTTGAGTGGCTCCCAGATCCAGAAGGGGTTCTGCAGGAGCCAGACTACAGAACAGGCAGCTTTGATTCTTGGGCTAGATGAACCACAGGCAGACTCCAGATCTCATCATCCAACTCTGGGCATTGCCATCTCTTCCTTCACCTCTAACTTCATGCCTCACACCTCATGGGCCTTTCCATGATCAGGTAACAGTGGAGGAAAAAGCCCGAGCTCAGTTCATGGATGGATCAACCCAGTATGTCAGGGCAAGACAAAGACAGACAGTACCTGCACCACAGCACCACGCAGGGTTGCTGCAGTAGTCACCATCTGCCGACGATGAACATCTTCCTAATGGGCAGAGCATTCTGTGGCGCACCTGGTCATTCACTTCATGTTTCCAAGGCCCAAGGTAAAAACATCCGTGGATTTATGGGCAGTGGGGAGTGGCTGGGCTTATGGTCAGGAGCCTGGGAGGAGACCAGAAGTTCAGGGACAGAAAGGCCCCAGGGAAGAGGTAGTGGATAGACGTATGAGGGTGCGCACGGGGTGTAAGGATGTTTGAATCCACCCGGGAGAGGCACTAAGTAATCAAATGGACAAGGTTACTTGGCCAGTAGATGCCAGTCCTCCTCTGCGTTTGCCACCCAAGTGTTAGTGCGATGGAGGACAGAGCCATGGCGGGCTGTGCATGTCTGAGCCTCGTTTTTTTTTTTTTTTTTTTTTAGACGGAGTCTCGCTGTGTCGCCCAGGCTGGAGTGCAGTGGTGTGATCTCGGCTCACTGCAAACTCCGCCTCTCAGGTTCACGCCATTCTCCTGCCTCAGCCTCCTGAGTGGCTGGGACTACAGATGCCCACCACCATGCCCGGCTAATTTTTTGCATTTTTAGTAGAGACGGGGTTTCACCCTGTTAGCCAGGATGGTCTCAATCTCCTGACCTTGTGATCCGCTCACCTCAGCCTCCCAAAGTACTGGGATTACAGGTGTGAGCCACCGCGCCTGGCTAAGCCTCGATTTTAACAGGGTCTTTTATTGTTATTACTTGATGCTCTTTGCCTCTAATAAAATGCTTATGCCAAAATAGTCTTTTGTCTGATATTAATGTAATGACATCCCCTTTCTTTGAACCCCTATGTTTTTTCCAACCTTTCACTTTCAACAGTCCTGTAACCTTGTGTTTTACAAGTCTCTCATAGCTGGCCAGGCGAGGTGGCTCATGCCTGTAATCCCAGCACTTTGGGAGGCCAAGGCAGGAGGATCATTTGAGGTCAAGAGTTCGAGACCAGCCTGGCCAACATGGTGAAACCCCATCTCTACTAAAAATACAAAAATTAGCCAGACGTGATTGGGAGCGCCTGTAATCCCAGCTGTGTGGGAGGCTGAGGTGGGAGAATCACTTGAACCCAGTAGGTAGAGGTTGCAGTGAGCCGAGATCACACCACTGCATTCCGGCCTGGGCTACAGAGTGACTCTGTCTAAAAAAAAAAAAAAGAAAAAAAAACTGTATAGCTGTAATTTTTAAAATCTAGTTTGAGCAACTTAGTCTTTTAGCTGGAATATTCAGTCCATATATATAAAGTAATTGTTTATATATTTGGATTTTAATCTAACCTGTAATTGTATACTTGCTTTGTTTCCTTATCTTTTCTCCCTTCTTTAAGTATACTTATTTTTTTCTTCTCCATACCCTTGCTCCAATCTTTTAATGAATACCCTAGAATTCCAAATATAAAATTAAGAATTAGAATAATGTATTAACATATACTATGAATTCTTAATATATAAGACTCTGAACTCAATACCTTTTTGCCCTCCACTCAGATAATAGAAGGGCCTTGGAACCCATGAGCTCCATGTAACTTGTGCTTGGAATATAAGTTTTCTTATCTAGATCTTTAATTCTGTTTTGGTTTTCTTAATTCCACTAGACATTATTAATACTGCTTGCTATAGTTTGAATACTTGTCCCCTCCAAAATTCATGTTAGAATTTAACCCCCAGTGTGGCAATATTGAGAGGTAGGGCCTTTAAGAGGTGCCTGGGTCATGCAGGTTCTGCTCTGATAAAAGAATTAGTCTATTCATGAATTAATGGGTTATCATGGGAGTGGGACTGGTGGCTTTATAAGAGGAAGAGAGACCTGAGCTAGTGCGCTTAGTCCCCTCCCCTTGTGATGCCCTGAGCTGCTTTGGGACTCTGCCACGGGTCCCCACCAGCAAGAAGGTCCTCGCCAGATGCGGCCCCCAACCTTGGACTTTTCAGCCTCCATAGCTGAAAAAAATAAATTACTTTTCTATATAAATTACCTAGTTTCAAGTATTCTGTTCTAAGCAATAGAAAACAGATTAAGACATTGCTTTATGAAATCAATGGTTGTTTTTATTCACCCTCTCAGTACTTCCTGTTCTTCACTCCTTCTTCCTCCTCAAACCTTCCTCTGAGACCACTTTCCTTCTCACTGAAATGCATCTTTCAGAAATCCCTTCAGGAAGAGTCAGCTGGTGATGAACTCCCTCAGTCTTTATACTGCCCCTATTCTTGAAAAAACTTTTCCCTGGGTAGAAAATTCAGCCCTATGAAACCTGCCTCCCACTTCCCTGTCTTCAGTCACCTTTGATTGAAGTACCTGGTGCAGGTGCCCCGACTGCTGCCTGAGGTGGCTGCCTGCTGCTTCACCCTTACCCCAAAGGTGTTGGCCTTCAGTGTGGGAAGGGCCTCCACCCTGACTCCCCACCTTGGGTGGCCCCTGAGCCTCAACTCTGTCCCTTAAGGCCAAAGAGCCTTCAAAGGCCCCAGTATTCTTATCCCTCTTAATGCATGCTTTCCCCAGAAGCTGGCCTGGCAGTTCTTCATTATCTTGCTGGTTCTTTGGCACTTTTAAGATAGTATATTTATAGCAAACGCTGGTGAGGCTATGGAGAAAAGGAAACTCTTATACACTATTCGTGGGAATGTAAACTAGTACAGCCACTATAGAGAACAGTACAGAGGTTCCTCAGAAACTACAAACAGCATTACCATATATCCAGCAATTCCACTACTGAGCATTTACCCAAAGGAAAGGAAATCAGAATATTGAAGGTACATCTGCACCCCCATATTTATTGCGGCACTATTCACGACAGCCAAGGTATCAAATCAACCTATCTGTCCAACAACAGATGAATGGATGAGGAAAATGTGATATATACACACAATGGAATACTATTCAGCCATAAAAAAGAAGCAAATCCTGTCATTCATGGCAACATGGATGGAACTGGAGGACATGATGTTAAGTAAAATAAGCCAGGCACAGGAAGTTAAACACCACATGCTCTCACTCATATGTGGAAGCTTAAAAAAGTTGATCTCATAGAAGTAAAAAGTGGAACAGAGCACACTGGAGGCTGGGAAGGGTAGGGGAAGGAGGGGCTAGGAAGAGATTTGTTAAAGGATTAAAAACTACATCTGGGCTGGGCTCAGTGGCTCACGCCTGTAATCCCAGCACTTTGGGAGGCCAAGGTGGGCAGATCACTCGAGGTCAGGAGTTTGAGACCAGCCTGGCCAATATGGTAAAACCTCCTCTCTACTTAAAATACAAAAATTAGCCAGCATGGTGGCATGCACCTGTAGTCCCAGCTACATGGGAGGCTGAGACAGGAGAATTGCTTGAACCTGGGCGGCAGAGATTGCTGTGAGCTGAGATTATGCCACTGCACACCAGCTTGGGCGGCGACAGAGTGAGACTCAGTCTCAAAAAAAAAAAAAAAAAAAAAAGCTACATCTGGATAGGAGGAATAAATTATAAATTCTAATGGCCTCTAGCACTGTAAGATGACCATCGTTAACAATAATATAATATATAGTTTCAAGTAGTTAGAAGGAAGATATTGAATGTTCCCAAGACAAAGAAATGATAAATGTTTGAGATGATGGGTATGCTAATTACCCTGATTTGATCACCATACATGTATTAAAACATCACTATGTATCCCCAAAATATTTAAAATTATTATACATCAATTAAAAGATAAATAAAATACAAAATTTTTAAAGAATATTTTAAATATGTTCTAACATTTCCAGTTGTTTCCAGCAGGCAGGTTTGTCTGAATTACCCAGCTCCTTTTCCCAGACTGGGGTCCAGATGATGTCACCTTGTATTTCCTGTTACTTTTCTCTGGACACATCTGGACACATGATTTAGTCCCTATCTCATGATGAACATTTTTGGATGCGGCCCTTTAAGGGCAGTTTTTCTGTTGCATCTTTTCTTCCAAAGTAACTCTTACTTAGCAGTCCAACAAGTAAGGCAGAAAGAAAAAATGAGCTCTCCCGGGTGAAGCAGGGGTGAGGGTCCAGAACTCTCTTTGCTCAGCCTACCTCTCCTACCCCTATCAGCCTTGAGCTCCTCCTGGAAACATTCCTGGGACTCGAAAATCATTACCCTAAGAACTTAGTAATTAGTTGATTAGTTGATTAGTAAATCAACATGAATTCACTATTGCCCATACCCTGAGGAAATCCGAAGGGCAGTGTTGAATGCGTCCATCCTGCTCTGCTCAGGGAAAAGAGTTGCTGAGTCTGAGGCAGGGGCTCTTCTTGCTTGGGGAAGAGGCCCTTGGTGCTGTGGGGCATACAGGAGTTCTCATGACTATGGCAACCACAGGGCGCCATGAACAGCTGTACAGGTTGCACACTACTCAAAGACTCCTTTGAGTCAGGGGGCAAGCAGGTTCTGAAATCTAGTGCATGCCCTGCACTAGATTAGGTTAGGTCTCTTTTTTTTTTTTTATCGCATGAATATTCCATAGAGGCAACAGTGGCCCTATGACCAGGATGAAATGTCATCATCACTCCACCCGCCTTTTTGAGCTCAGTCCCTATGCTTACTGCGCCTCTTTGTGACCCTGCAGACTCCACGGCAATTCTGACTTCAGGAAGGGGGGCTCTGGATTGGGGACCTAAGTATTCTAATCTGGAAGGAAACCTCTGCATGGAGCACAAGGGAACTCGTATCTGGCTTCTGTATTTTCATCCCTTATGCTGGGGGTTGGGGGTATGACTCATTCCCTCTGGACCAAGCGGGATTCCAGGAACTGATGATCTGGCCATGGGCCCTGAAACCACCAGGAGGCTCTTGGGAAATGCACCCAGCCTTCTTCAATCAAGCTGGTGTCTGCGTGGCCCTCCCGAGCTGGCTGGAATCCAGCCTTAACTTTCCCTCCACCCATCTCCCACTGCTCCAGTGACAATGCTCACAATGAAAGCCAGCCAACAGGGGACAAGGTTGCCAGCGGGGCTGAACAGCCCCCTCGGCCCCCTGGCCCGGCCCGTGGGGAGCTGGCAGCCGCGGTGACGGGAAAACACACATTGTTTGGGGGCGTTGCGGATACAGTACAGATTATTTTTAGCAAATTGTTCTGACTTAGTGAAAAACCTGAAAGATAGTGTTGATAATCATTCTTATTTTAGTGCCGCAGATGGCACTGCTATAATTACACCCTTGTTTCTGGGTGACTCTGCTGTTCCCATAAGAAGACACCTTGCCTGATGCAGAAATACATCATTGAAGGTTGTCTTCATTTTTTAATTTCGGGCTCAATCTTTTCCTTTTTACCCTTAAGTATTAACCACATTTGTTGAGAAAGAGTAAATTATTCACATGTCTCTCATGCTAATATTAGCCTGAAGATAACTGAAAGGTTTGGGGCCTCTTTGTTCTCTGATCCGAGTGTCAGGCGGGAATGACCCGCGGCTCTAGGCCTCCTCCTCAGAGGTGCTTCCCGGGCCCTGAGCCAAGTCAGGCTCTGTGCAATCTCATTTCATCCTGCACTTGCTTTCAAATCGGTGTTTTCCATTTGTAATTATGTACTTATCTGTGAAATACTTGGACCAACGCCTGTCCCGCTCCTGGGCCATAAGCTCCACAGAGAAGGGGCTGGAGTTTTTTTTGTTCATGACATGTCCCCAGTGCCTAGAAC
This sequence comes from Homo sapiens, assembly GCF_000001405.40. Classification (NCBI taxonomy): domain Eukaryota; kingdom Metazoa; phylum Chordata; class Mammalia; order Primates; family Hominidae; genus Homo; species Homo sapiens. The sequence continues at coordinate 31,235,823 of NC_000015.10, read as the reverse complement.
AGAGACATCTGTGAAACGTAAGAAGGAATGGGAAAGCCACCACTGCAGGTGGGCGTCTAAGGAACCTGCAGCCTCTAGCTCTCTTCCCGGTCCTCCCATCCTTGGGCTCATCACCACTGAAAGCCTTTGGCCGATACTTGGCCTATCTCTGTAACTTCAGTTTTCCCATCTGACGAACAGAATTAATAAAATATGCCCAACTTACAGCAAAGAGATAGCACGAGACTAATAAGGAACATGTAAGTGTGATAAGACTGAAAAGGGGAAACAGATAGGAGCCAACTATTCTATTCTTAAAATTAGAATTGAAGGCCATGTGCGGTGGCTCACACATATAATCTCATCCCACTTAGAGAGGCCGAAGTGGGCCGATTGCTTGATCTTGGGAGTTCGAGACCGGCCTGGGCAACATGGTGAAACCCCATCTTTACCAAAAATACAAAAATTAGCCATAAGTGATGGCACGTGCCTGTAGTCCCAGCTATTTAGGAGGCTAAGGTGGGAGGATCACTTGAGCCCAGGAGGTCAAGGGTGCAATGAGCTGTGATGGCACCACCGCACTCCAGCCCGGGTGACAGAGTGAGACCCTGTCTCAAAAATAAAATAAATAGATAACAATTTTAAAAAGTAATATATAGATATAGATATAGATAGATATAGATTGATTGGAGTGAGGGATACAGACAGAAGAACTGGAATTCCACTGAGAGCCTAAGTCCCTTGGGAGCAGGTGTTTCTTCAAGACCTTATCACAGCCGCAGCCTGAAGCTCAGAGTCTCTCACACAGTAGGTGCCCAGTTGATGAGCTGCGCTCAGTCAGCCTTCAAGATGACCCCCAGCATGACCCCCAGTGATCTCGCTTCCCAGCCTTCACAGCCTCACGTGGAATCCTCCCACACTGCATCTAGGACCCAGAGAATACAGCAGAAGTGATGACATGCCGCTTTCAAGGCTGGGTTCTGAAAGGCACCATGGCTTCTCTCTTGGTTATGTTCTCTGTCTGTGTTTCTCTGTCTCTCTGTTTCTATCTCTGTATGATCACTTGCTCCAGGAAAAGCCACCTCCTGAGCAGCCATTTGGAGATGCCCATGTGGAGAGGAACAGAGGCCTCCAGCCCACAGTCACATAAGTATGCATAAAAGCAGTTCCTCCACCCCAGTCCAGTCTTCAGAGACCACTGCCCCAGTCAACAGCTCAACTATAATCTCACACGTGTCCTCGACACTCAGAATAATGAGCTAAGCCGCTCCCAAATCTCTGACCTTCAGAAACTATGTGATATATACATGTGTGTTGTTTTAAGCTGTTAAGTTCTGGGGCCATTTGTTATGCAGCAATAGAAAACTAATACACCACCCACCCACATCTCTGCCTCCTGGCTCTGCTGAATTGGGGCTGGGGCTCAGCCTCCCCCTAAGCTGCCTCCAGCAGTCAAGCCCCTTCTCTGCCTCCCACCTCTCTGGTTCCCACTTCCTCCCTCCCTTGCAGACCACCCTTCTGCCCCTTCCTCAGCAAGGGCCACTGACAGGGGCCAGCACAGACCCCAGCGGAGGAAAGGGAAGGGCCACGAGAACCAGGATCTCACCTGGTCCTTGAACTCGGGGGACTCATGGCTCTGTCTCCTGGCATGAGATGGAACCTCGACCTTGCTCCCACCACATTGACTCAGCCTTGTTTCCTGAGAGGCAGAGGCCCTCACCCAGCCTCCTTTCCCCTCCATCCTTCCAATCCCACCACAAAGGAGCCATGCTATCCCTTGCTTTCTCCAAGCTGCCTAGAGACCATCACTCTCCTAGTCCCACCACAGTCTCTCCCATGCACCTCAGCACTGGGGGCTGGATTCTTCTGCGGGCCATTTCCCACCAACAAATGCAACTGCCACAGCTTGGCAGGAGTTCCTGCAGAAGAGAGAAAAGCCCCGCTGGCTTCTCACACCCAGGATGTCTGCCTCTAGTTGCCCACTGGATGGAAACGTCTTCCATTTCTTAAAGACTCAAACTCCCCAGAGTCTCCTGGTCCCCCTGATGCTGACTGCCCTCAGTCCTGCACCCGCATCCCATTCTCCAAAGAGCTCACAATGGCAGCCAGCAACTGGCAGGGCTGCCTCTTCCTTTCCTCATTAATTTTGTATTTTTAGAAAAGTGATGCACACATGTAGTATACAGTCCAAACAATTATGCAGCATTCTCTCCCTGGCGCTCTCATTCCAGAGTCCAGAGGCCACCACTTTTCTTCTTTAAATCTGCTTCTGAAAACATAAGGAAATATGGCTATTTTTATTTATTATATCTTGACATTATTTGCTGACTTTCTACCACAATAGTGGTGATTCGACACTTGCTTTCCACTGTATTCCCACTTTCCTCCCCCACCCATCATCCCAATATATCTTTAGATCATAATTTTGGGTTAATAATCAGTGTTTACATTACTAGGACTATCAAATTGTGTTAATTGCAGAGCCCAATAGTGTGCAATGAACTTGTTCCTTTCTCATTATCCACTCCTGCCGCCTGCCCCAGAGGAAAATGCTTCCTTCTATCATTCACTTAGTTGTCAATGTCCTTAAGGCTAACTCTCCCCCAAATACTTCCATATTTCTGCCAAACACCTATCAACAACTGCTTCAAACTCTAACACATCCCATAGGCTGGCAGTTCCGCCTTCCCTGGAGGCCTTCTTCCCAGGGCCCTCTGACTTCCTGTTCTGTTGCTACAAACTGCCACCTTGGGGTCTCTCTTGGTCTCCCCGTTGGGCTAGGTCCTGCTTCCTGCACCCCAGGTCCTCCTGTCTCTTGGTTTACTTGATTGTTTGGGTGGGACGCATCCTCCACTATCTCCTGAGGAAGGATACACAGAAGGCAAAGGTTTTAAAGATGTTGTATGCCTAGAAATGCAGTTATACTATTTTATACTTGAAAAATAATTTGGAAAGATATAGAAATTTAGGTGGAAAATGATTTTCCATCAAAGTTTCAAAGGCATTATTCTATTGTCACCTGTCTTCCAGTGCTGCCATCGTGAAGTCTAATGACATTTCATCCTTAAATCTTTGTGTGTATTGTTCTTCTCCCCTGCAACCTCCAGCTTGCGAGGCTTTCTCTTCATCCTGAATGCTTTCAGATTGTATGGTGACATGCCTTGGTGTAGAATTCTAAAATGGTGGTCCTTAACAGGCTCTTTCCGTTCAGAGGCTCCCATCCTTCACTTGGTAATTTTCTTGTATTATTTATTTGAAAATGTCTCCCCCTTGTATCTGGTCTCACCTTTTGTAACTCTAATTAGTGGAACCCCAAATCATCTGATTGACATGCTAGTTGTCTTTGGTGTCTTATTGTCAATCTTTTTGTCTTTTTTCTAGCAATTTTCTTGACTCCACCTTCTATCTTATTTATTAAATGTCCTCTTTCTTGTGCTTTGATGATCCCTTTCTCCTAGAATGCCAATCTTTTTTTTGTGTGTGTGTGTCTGTGGTCTTGCTCTGTTGCCCAGTTTGGAGTGCAGTGGCGTGATCTCAGCTCACTGCAACCTCCACCTCCTGGGTTCAAGTGATTCTCCTGTCTCAGCCTCCCGAGTAGCTGGACTACAGGCATGCGCCACCATGCCCAGCTAATTTTTGTATTTTAAGTAGAGACAGGGTTTCACCATGTTGGCCAGGCTGGTCTCGAACTCCTGACCTCTGGTGATCTGCCCGCCTCAGCCTCCCAAAGTGTTGGGATTACAGGTGTGAGCCACCACACCCAGCCTAGAATGCCATTCTTGTTTCCTGGATGCAATCTCCTCTATCAGCTCCCAAGAATGTGACTGACAGGGGCTTCATGTTGAGCTTTGCTCTGCCCCTTCCCTCTGCTTCCTCTGAGTGCCTCTTCCCTATGTGTTGCTGGTTGTGCTCCATGTTGGCTGCTTCACTCCTGTGTTCAGTGACCGTGGGCAGTTGGTTCATCTCCAAGGGCACAGCCCTGAAGAGCTCACTGAAGACTTCTTGCTGGCAGGGGATGGTTATAGACTGGTGGCTATAGCAGATTCTTTGTTGGGCAACCCTTACCTGCAAACATGTTTAGGTCTCCTCTCTAGGAACATATGTCCTGCCTGGTACTTGTAGGTCATGCTGCCAACTTCCTGGGAGTAGAGTCGGGAGGGGGTCTTGGGGATCTCCTCAGTGTAGGTGAAGTCTTTCTTCTTATACCTCGACCCCTTTTTAGTCCAGAACCCCACCCCTGCCTTCTGCTGTCCTTCAGCCCCTGAGCCTAGAGCCTCCTTTCTACAATTTCCCCAAAGAACAAACTTCCAGGCTTGTCTGAGGCATGCTGTGGAAGGAACCTGGGATCTCAATGGCTTCCCAGACAGAGTGCTGATCAAGCCCCCTGGTTTGGCCTCCACTGCCCCTGCCCCATGGCCTCTGTAGTGCCAGCTGTCTCCACTTGCCCAGGCTTCTGGGTGGGACCAAATGAATGGCCTTGATTATTAGCAGCATCGTCCCTCCTTGCCTTCACCTGTCCTTGGGTCCTAGCTTTGTCCCATCTGTTCCCCTCACTCACATCTCAGTCTACCTATCAAGAAAATGGGGATAACAGTGGTTCCCATCTCCTGGGATTGCTGTGAAGAAGAAATGAGCTCAGGGTGGTGTCATCATCACCAAGATGGAAATAACCTGGGCAGCCCCTCGGGCAAGCTCTGTCCCCAGTGTGTGTTCTGTTCTGCTCACACAGACCCAGAAAGAGGAGCCAGCCAGGTGACAGTATGAAACACACATGTTGAGTGTGCAGAGCCGGGAACTCTGTTCCTTGCACGTGCTCCAGGCCCTGCCAATGGTGCATGACCAGTCACCAGCCAAGCATGGCGCTGAGAACGTATGTGGCCTCCCTGAGGCTTTGCTCAGTCCCCTCCCTCCACACCCACAGAAAGAGGTGTGCACACATGCAAAATAGCAATAATAATAGTATGAGATGGCAGCTGAGACCTGTGCAGCTGATGACAGTTTGAAAGAAGGATGAGCAGGCTCTCTGCCATCTGCCCACCAACTTTTCAAGTTACTTTTACCCACCTTCAAAATTACATCTGCTTTTAGCAAGAATTACTGATGTGATAAAGATGGGAGTGTTCACCATGCAAGGGCAGGTAAGTTGCTCTGTGCCACTGGGGGTTTAACCCTTAAAAGGAGAGGGGTCTCCCTTCAGCTGCTGCAGGATCCTGGTAGAAGGGGGCACAGATGACATGAAAACCCAGGGAGCCATGCCTGCTGCTGGGATCCGGGCTCACCCACCTCGTGCCCCTACCCAAAACTGTCGGGACACGAAGCCTTGCCGGGAGCCTCGAATGCCCAGGGGCTTGGCCAGGCCACAGACTGTGCGGGGAATGTGTGCACACTGCCCACTTTATCCCATGGCTGTGCCCGCCATAGGTTATGCAGCAGCAGTGGGCACGCGCAATTCAGTTGAATTCAGGGAAGCCAGCAAGTGCTAGGGAATTTCGATGGATGACCTAAGCATGGTCAGGTGTCTATTTAGAAAAATATACACGGCCAGGCGCGGTGGCTCATGCCTGTAATCCCAGCACTTTGGGAGGCCGAGGTGGGTGGATCACAAGGTCAAGAGATCTAGACCATCCTGGGCAACATGGTGAAACCCCGTCTCTACTAAAAATACAAAAATTAGCTGGGTTTGGTGGCGCACGTGTGTAATCCCAGCTACTCATGAGGCTGAGAAAGGAGAATCGCTTGAACCCGGGAGGCAGAGGTTGCAGTGAGCTGAGATGGCACCACTGCACTCCAGCCTAGTGACAGAGCGAGACTCCGTCTCAAAAAAAAAAAAAAGAAAAGAAAAATATACACTTAGGAGGGCGAGGCAGGCAGATCACTTGAGGTCAGGAGTTCGAGACCAGCCTGGCCAACATGGTGAAACCCTGCCTGTCTCTACTAAATATACAAAAATTAGCTGGGTGTGGTGGCGCACACCTGTAGTTCCAGCTACTCAGGAGGCTGAGGCAGGAGAATCGCTTGAACCCGGGAGACGGAGGGTCCAGTGAGCAAAGATTGCACCGCTGCACTCCAGCCTGGGCAACAGAGCAAGACTCTGTATCCAAAAAAACAAAAACAAAAACAAAACAAAAAAACAAAAAAGCAAAACAAAAAAAAAAAACCACTTAATGTACATGATGTGGTAGAAGAAAAGCACTTATTAGTGAGAATTGCCGCCTCCTCCTAAGAAGAGTGTCCCCTACTGCAGGGTGCTTTGCTTCTTAATCAGGCTCAGGAGGGAGGGTCTGAGGCCATTGAGACCATGCCTGGAACAAGGAGGCAGACAGCCAGGCTGGTGACTACAGAGTGCCACGCACACACAGGGGGTGGAGCCAGCACCTCTGTGCTCCACCTATGAAGTGGCCGGCAGTCCTTCCCAGGAGGGTGTGAGCTGAGGTCTCCTGGGTACACCAGCCAGCCCACGGCACAGAGCCTGCCTGTTGGTCTCTACCCACAGGGGATCCCCTGCTGCTCCACCATCAGATTTGGGACACCACCCCCCCCCCGGCCCCACCAGAGGGCATCAGCTATGCCTAGGTAAGTGCTCATCTTAGGGACAAGTAAGAACATAATCAACTGCAGAAATGTCTGCAGGTCTGGCAGGCTCTGCCTCTGCTGCCCCATGCAGACTTCAGCCCAGGGCACCCTTCCTGGTGCTGCACTGGCTGTGTTGTGGATCTGCCTTTCCAGGGCTGGCCTTGTAGACCCTGACCCAAGGAGCAGCTGGGCTGGTCCCACTTCCAACCAGCAGCAGGCAAGGGTGGGACAGAGCCAGACTGCAGCCTCCCCAAGGCATGGCTTTGAGTGTTTTAAAAAACTTAAAATGGCCGGGCATGGTGGCTCACGCCTGTAATCCCAGCACTTTGTGACGCCAAGGTGGGTGGATCACCTGAGGTCAGGAGTTCAAAACCAGCCTGGCCAACTTGGTGAAACCCCATCTCTACAAAAAATTCAAAAATTAGCTGAGCATGGTGGCAGGCGCCTGTAATCCTGGCTACTCGGGAGGCTGAGGCAGGAAAATTGCTTGAACCCAGGAGGCAGAGGTTGCAGTGGAGATTGTACCATTGCACCCTAGCGTGGGTGACAGAGTGAGACTCCCTCTCAAAAAAAAACCCAAAAAAACAAAAGAACTAAAAATGTCCTTTATGCTTGGAGTCAAACATTCCAACAGAATAAAGGAGACAATAGGAATGCTACCACCCCAGACCCCAGGCCACTTACCTGACGGTCTCAGTCAGCTCAGGCTGCTATGACAAAGGACTATAGACTGGGTGGCTTATAAATAGCAGGCATTTATTTCTCATAGTTCAGGAGGCTGGAAGTCCCATATCAAGGTGCCAGTATGGTCAGGTCATGGGGAGGGCTCTCTTCAGGTTGCAGATGGCCACGTGGCAGGGAAAGAGGAAGAGAGCTTGGGGTCTCCATCCTCTTGACCTAAACTCCCAAGGGTTCCACCTCCTAATGCCATCGCACTGGGGCCGAAAATTTCTACATATGAATTTGGGGGGAGGAGTACACAAACATTCAGTTCATAGCACCAGAGAAAACACACTAACGTCCATATTTTATGCATCCTACCAGGAGTTTCTGTGTGCACACACACATACACTCATTCGAACAAATGAGATAAATCTATACACATACCCTCTAGCTTCCTCTTTTTCATGAAACAATATACTCTGAAGATTGCTGTGTTTCATAGACCTAAATATACCTCCTTCTTTTTTTTTTTTTTTTTTTTTAGACGGAGTTTCACTCTGAAGTTTCACTCGGAGTTATCCAGGCTGGAGTGCAGGGGCGTGATGTTGGCTCACTATAAACTCCGCCTTCCGGGTTCAAGTGATTCTCCTGCCTCAGCCTCCCAAGTAGCCAGGATTACAGGTGCCCGCCACCACACCTGGCTAGTTTTTGTATTTTTAGCACAGATGGGGTTTCACCATGTTGGTCAGGCTGGTCTCGAACTCCTGACTTCAAGTGATCCATCTGCCTCAGCCTCCCAAAGTGCTGGGATTACACCTTGAGAGCCACCACACATGGCCACCTCCCTCTTTTTTAATGACTGCATGGTAATGCAGACCTAGGGATGTGATGTAATTAATCTTGATAGTGCTTAAGTTGTTCCTATCCTTTTCCAATCACTACAATGCTTTGATGAGCCTCTGTATTACATGTCTTGACAAGACTCTGAAGTGGGCTTGCTGGGCCAGAGCACATATGTGTGTAGTTCTGGTAAATGTGACTACATTCCCCCATGGAGCATGTTCCTTCAGCTCACTTGAAAGGCGATTGTCAAAGTTTGGAACTTGCTGATCTGATAGCAGAAAGTAGGATTTCATTGATATTTCAGTTTGCGTTTCTGTTATTGTGATGACAGTCAGCATATTTTTGAATGTTTAGAGGCATTTTTCTTTTCTGGGAAGGATTTCTTCCCATTGCCCATTTTCCAATTCAGTTGTTGGATTTCTTTCTCTTTGATTTTTAGTGGCCCTTTGCCTGTGACATAAGTTGCATATATTATTATGCATATGATTCTGTTTTCACATAGACATAAGTATACCTTATTCTTTTTCATGACTGCAGGGTAAATTCCATCTTACAAATGTGCCATAATTTTTTTCTGTTTATCTTTTTTTTTTTTAACTTTAAGCAGGATGTTTTCTGCCATGCAGATATATTTTTTTTCTTATCGGGTAGAATAAATCAATTATGTTGTTTATGGCCACAGGGTTTTGCAAGATCATTAAAGAGTTCACCCCTTTGCAAGATTACAGGGGTGTGTGTGTGTGTGTGTGTGTGTGTGTGTGTGTGTGTGTGTGTGTTTGAGACAGAGTCTTGTTCTGTCACCCAGGCTGGACTGCAGTGGCACAATCTTGGCTCACTGCAGCCTCCACCTTCTGGGTTCAAGTGATCCTCCTGCCTCAGCCTCCTGAGTAGCTGGGACTACAAGCACGCCACCATGCCCAGCTGACTTTTGTGTTTTTAGTAGAGTCAGAATTTCATCATGTTTGTTGGGGTGATCTCAAACTTCTGACCTCAAATGATCTGACTGCCTTGGCCTCCCAAAGTGCTGGGATTACAGGCTTAAGCCACCGCAACTGGCCAACAGTTTTGTTTTGTTCGTTTTTTGTTTTTAATCATTTTCTTCCGGTATTTTTTTGGTTTCCATCTTTGATCCATCAGGCTCCTTCTGGAGGGAGTGGGCCAGCATAGCTCCATAAAGCCACATCCCCAGTATAGTAAAAGTCACCACCTGGAAGGCTGTCTGGCCGCCAGCTTTGCACCCCATGATCAGGCCACTATGCCTGAGTGGAATTGTCTCCTAAACACAGCCCCACTGAAAGGTGAAGCCAGCGGGACTTCCTGGGTCCACTGGGAAGTTGGAGAACTTTTCTGTCTTACAAGAGGATTGTAAAACGAACCAATCAGCACTCCGTAGCTAGGATTGTAAAACGCACCAATCAGTGCTCTGTAGCTAGCAAGGGATTGTAAAATGCACCAATCAGTGCTGTGTAAAAACTCACCGATCAGTGCTCTGTAGCTAGCAAGAGATTTGTAAAACACACCAATCAGCGCTCTGTGAAATGGACCAATCAGCAGGATTCTAAAAGTAACCAATCGCAGGGAGGATTGAGAAAAGGGCATTCTGATAGGACAGGAACAGGACATGGGCGGGGACAAATAAGAGAATAAAAGCTGCCTCCCCCCCAACCCTTCTCCACACGGAGCCAGCAGAGGCAACCTGCTGGGGTCCTCTTCCGTGGTGGGGAAGCTTTGTTCTTTTGCTCTTCACAATAGCTCTTACTGCTGCTCACCCTTTGGGTCCTTGTCTTCTTTGAGAGCTGTAACACCAGGAAGGTCTGGGGCTCCATTCTCAAAATCAGCAAGACCACAATCCCACTGGAAGGAACCAACTCCGGACCCACCACTCCCTCCTATTACAGGCCCACTGCAGGTGCTTTGCTGAGTCTAGTAGAGAATCCTGCCTGAGCCCCGGCCAAGAGTGGGAGCCAGCCAGGAGCGGGGGAGGGAAGGCAAGTGCGAGGGGGAATGGCCCGTGCAAAAAGATCCCCAGCAGGGCACAGCAGGCAACTGAGGACCAAGTCCAGCTGTGCCTACCGAGATCCACTGTGGAGACCATGATGCAGTACACAGAGCACATGGTCCCAGGCAAAACCGAGCAAAATAGAGGACTCCCTGTGCATACCCACCGGCGAGCTGCACCTCACACCGGAAGAGGGAGAGCTTGGCGACCTTTTGCGGCGTGCCAGCCCCTCAGGGAAGGCCGGGTTGTGTCACCTGTCGGGCTCAGGCTCCAGTTCTGACTTAAAAACTCTGATGCTCATGCCTGTAATCCCAGCAGTTTGGGAGGCAGAGGCCCACGGATCACGAGGTCAGGAGTTTGAGAGGCACCTAGCCAACAGGGTAAAACCCCGTCTCTACCAAAAATACAAAAATTAGCCGGGCGTGGCGGGCACCTGTAATCCCAGCTACTCCGGGAGGCTGAGGCAGGAGAATCGCTTGAAACCAGAAAGCGGAGGTTACAGTGAACCAAGATCACGCCACTGCACTCCAGCCTGGGGGAAAGAGTGAGACTCCATCTCAAACAACAACAACAAAAAACTCTGAGGCTGTTTTCTCATCTGTAGAATGGGGTGACACTACGGCAGCCCCTGACACTGTGAACCCTAACATCAGCAAGCACTTCTCAGTGGGTGTGTTAGAGGAAAGTGGTCCCGATCCAGACCCCAAGAGATGGTTCTTGGATTTTAGGCAAGAAAGAATTCAGGGCGAGTCCACAGAATAAAGTGAAAGTAAGTTTATTAGGAAAGTAAAGGGGTAAAAGAACGGCTACTCCATAGACAGAGCAGCCCCAAGGGCTGTGGGTTGCCCATTTTTATGGTTATTTCTTGATGATATGCTAAACAGGAGGTGGATTATTCATGCTTCCTCTTTTCAGACCATATAGGGTAACTTCCTGATGTTGCCATGGCATTTGTAAACTGTCATGGTGCTGGTGGGAGTGTAGCAGTGAGGACCACCAGAGGACACATCTTGTTGCCATTTTGGGTTTTAGCCAGCTTATTTACTGCAGCCTGTTTCATCAGCAAGGTCTTTATGACCTGTATCTTGTGCCGACCTCGTATCTCATCCTGTGACTTAGAATGCCTTAACCATCTGGGAATGCAGCCCAGTAGGTCTTAGCCTTATTTTACCGGCCCCTATTCGAAATGGAGTTGCTCTGGTTCAAATGCCTCGGACAGGTGCGGAGGGAGGGTGGTGAGTGGAGCCCACCCACCACCAAGTCACACGCACCCACATTCCTTCTGAATCGTATTTTCTAGGCATCTTACTAATATAATCCCCACAACAACGAGCTGCAGAAGGTTGTTTCTCTCACAGATTTCTGCATATTCTCTGTACTTGTAGAATTTGGGGGAACAAGTCAAGTTACACAAGCTAATCCCTGAAACGTGAGCCCCACGGCTCCTCAGCCCTCTCCCAGAGCCGGTGGCCTGCGTGCCAGGTCCCCGACAAATGCTGGCTCCATGGCAGCTGCGATGACTTCCCTCGAGAAGTGCCAGTCCGCAGGGCAATCTCGAGGTCCTCGTGCGGGTGACCAGCTGCGGCACGGCCAGCACGGCACAGGGAGGGAGGGGCTGTGCTGACCCTCAGGTGTCTCGCGGGGGCCCTTGGCGGTCCCAGCAGAGGGTTTGCCCGTGAGAAGGTCTGGAAGTGCTGCTTCTTACAGGGCTGCCTTCAATTATTTCAGCTGCTCCGAGGTATTTCAAAGTCAGACCAAATAAACATTTGTATCTAAAAAAGGCGAAACAGGGTCATTTGAAATGGAGAAGAAAGCCTTTCCCGTATCCGGAGGGTGTGGCCCGACATTCCGGAGCAGCGGCAAGGGTTCTCTCTGGTTCTGTGCCTGTGCCAGGGCACCTACCCCAGCCCCTGCTTCAGGAGGGAAGTTATTTTCTTTTAAATCAAATGTGTGGCGACCTAAGTTTCCTTTCCCTGATTTGCTCCGTGGTCACCCTGGGCCCCCTGCTGCTGTCAGGTCAACATCTTTAAAGGGCTCTCTGTGCTTTTCCTAAGAAGGGGACCACAACAGACTCGACAGGATCCACCGGTTGGGCCCAAGGCAGGAGGAAGGGCGGCGCCCCCAAACTCCCAGGACGCCTGCAGCACCCCCCACGCGCCGCTCTCCGCCTCTGGGGAGCATCCTGCCACCCCCCGACACACACACCCCGGCTACATCCCGCCTTCTCACGCTTGGTCAGGCGCTCTGGAGATGTCGGAGATCCAGGCTTTTCCTAAAGAGTCAGGATTGGAAGGCGGTGAGGGCATCAGGTTTTTTTTCTTCTCTTTTCTTCTAGCAATTACGCCCCCGTGGCTAAATTAAACTCCCATTGGCTAAATTAGGCTCGAAGAGAGGGGCACCTGCTGCTAAGCTGTGTATGTTGTCCCCTAGGACTCCCACCGTTTGCTGAGCTCCACATGACAACAGCAGACGACAGGCCGCACTGATCCCACCTGGCTTACAGGTGCTGTCACACAGGTACGCCTTCTTGTGAATCATCAGTCACCATTTGCCCCTCGCAGCAACCCTGTCTTGGAGGAAGGTCCTTGCCGACACCCGCCTCTCCCCACCCTTAGGCTCCCTTGCTCCTTCATTCAACCATTGTTTACATGTCGTTCAGGACTGCTGACTAAACACTTTCAAGCACAGTGGACCCTTGAACAACGCAGGTTCAAACTGTGCAGGTCCACCCACAGGGATGTTTTTCAATCAGAGTTATACCAAGTGTCCCTGCCTCTCCTGCCTCCCTTCCCACTTCCTCCATGTCTTCCTCTCTGCCACCCTGAGGCAGCAAGACCAGCCCCTCCTCCTCAGCCACTCAACATGAAGACAACGAGGATGAAGACTTCTATGATAATCCACTTCCACTTAGTAAATGCTTTCTCTTATGATATTCTTAATGACATTTTATTTTCCCAAGCTTAGTTTATTGTAAGAATACAGTATAAATACACATACAAAGTACGTGTTAACTGATTTTTTAATGTTACCAGTAAGGCTTCCAGTTAACAGTAGGCTATTTATTAGTTAAGTTTGGAGGGAGCCTGAAGTTATACAAGCTCTGACTGCGTGAGGGGTTGGCTCTCCAACCCTCACATTGTTCAAGGCTCAACTGCACCTCTCCTACCTATCTCCCCCACCCTCTGATGTAGTAGGATAAATATAAAAACACTTAGAAATCCTTGAAAACCAGGAAAAATGCCACCAACAGACTAGAACATTGGAGAATTTCTGGAAGATATAAAGCGGAGGAGATCAGATTCGTGGTGAAACGCAATAGAGCCAATGGCCTGCAGGTGGGAGACCATTTCAAGTCTGGAAATGGGGTAGGGTGGGGGCAGTGGAGAAGGAATGAGTCATGGAGCTTGGATACGGTAATCACACAAACGGCTACCCAGGTGGCTGAGGCAGTGTCCTGCCTGTCCCCAGGGTAAAGTCTGAGTGCAGCATTCAGACTGAAGACAAAGATGCACCGGGAGCCTCCAGAGCCAACACTGGCCCAAAGAGAGAAGCAGGGGCCCGCCCAGGTGACTGCCAGGCACTGTCAGCCACACTGACAGGGAGAGCGGCCCAGATGAGAGGCCCAGGAAGGCACTCTGCCTTTGCAACGTCCTGGCCTGTCTCCATGACCACAGGTGCCCAGTGGTGCCAGGGTTGCCAGACAGTGGTGGTTTAGTTGTGTGCAAGAACTACTCTGCACAGCAAGAATGATTGGTTGAGACTGACAGATCGCAAACACACTGCATTCAGGAACCCTTCACCCTCTCTTAGAAATGGCTGAGGGTCTCAGCGGGCTTTCATTCATATGAGTTTATCTATCAATATTTACGGTAGTAGAAGTTCAAGTGAAAAATAAATAAATATTCATTTATCTTAAAATAATAATGGCATGTTAACATAAATAACACTTATACATGCTGGGTGTGGTGGCTCACGCCTGTAATCCCAGCACTTTGGGAGGCCGAGGCGGGCGAGTCACCTGAGGTCGGGAGTTTGAGACCAGCCTGACCAACATGGTGAAACCCCATCTTTACCAAAAATACAAAAAATTAGCCAGGTGTGGTGGTGCGTGGCTGTAATCCCAGCTACTCAGGAGGCTGAGACAGGAGAACCGCTTGAACCCGGGAGGCAGAGGTTGCAGTGAGTTGAGATGGTGCCACTGCATTGCAGCCCGGGCAACAAGAGTGAAACTCTGTCTCAAAACAAAACAAACAAAACAAAAAAACTCCCCAATGTCTGGCTTAATAGCTGGATTTTCTTTTTTGTTGTTGTATTTTTTTATTTTTATGTATTTATGCATTTAATTTTTATGTATTCATATGTATTTAATTTTTTAAATTTATTTATTGAGACAGAGTCTCACTCTGACACCCAGGCTGCAATGCAGTGGCACAATCTTGGCTCACTGCAACCTCTGCCTCCCAGTTCAAGCAATCCTCCTGCCTCGGCCTCCCAAGTAGCTGGGATTACAGGAATGCACCACCACGCCTAGCTTTTTTTTTTTTTTTTTTTGTATTTTTAGTAGAGATGGCGTTTCACCATGTTGGCCAGGCTGGTCTCAAACTCCTGACCTCAAGTGGTCTGTCTGCCTCAGCCTCCCAAAGTGTTGAGATTACAGGCAGGAGCCGCCATGCCCAGCCAACAGCTGGATTTTCATACCTCCTTCTTTCAAGCTATAGTGATAACACACATCATGTAGACTCTGGAAAACTCCACTGAACACCCATTTGTATATGTGCTGCTGAAGTGAGCACCTGAACACCCATTAGGAAAAACAAGTCTTTTTTATTCCTATTAAATAGTTTTGGCTTTGCAGACACCCAGAAAGAGTCTTAAGAACCCTTAGGGGTCCATGGATCTCACTTTGAAAACCACTCTCTGGACGTTCATTTACAAATGGGATCAGACAATCAAAAATCCCCAGACATTTGAAGGAAACCAACAGCCTGCAGAAGAAGTAGACAGAACGCTGGAGAAAACAGGATAATAATGCAGGAATCAGAAGAAGACATTAAAATCAGCATAATTCATATCCTTTGAAAGGTTCAATAAAATATAACAACCAGTTAGATGGCAAGTGGGCACAGAGCAAATACACAAAAATCAATACTTTCCATAGATACCATTAAATAATCAATAGGAGAGGACATTTGCAATACCAACAACAATCATAAATAATCTAGGCATAGGCATAACCAAAATTCTGGAGAACCTACATGAAGAAAAATGTTTAATCGTATTAAAGGACATAAATTGAGAGATGTATTATGTTTCCCGTAGGAAGCTTCAATATTGTAAAAGTGGCAATTATTTGAGTTGCTCCGTGAACTGTCCTCTGCATTATACTAGGTTGAGTGGGATTTCTGTCAAGAGTATGCACCAAGAGTCATAACTAATATATCTTGTAGGTCAGCAGTCCCCAGCCTTTTTGGCACCAGGGACCAGTTTCATGGAAGACAATTTTTCCACAGACACAGGCTGAGCGGGGGATGGTTTCAGGGTGAACCTGTTCCACCTCAGATCATCAGGCATTAAGAGTCTTTTAAGGAATGTGCAACCTAGATCCCTCATACGCACAGTTCACAGTAGGGTTTGTGCTCCTATGAGAATCTAATGTCGCTGCTGGTCTGACAGGAGGCGGAGCTCAGGTGGTCATGCTCCCGCGCCTGCTACTCATCTTCTGCTATGTAGCCTGGTTCTTAACAAACCACAGACAGGGAATAGTCTGCAGCCCCGGGTTTGGGGACCACTGCTCTAGGTTGAAAGCCGCTCCAAATAAAATAAAGAGACAAGTGACTGATTACAAGATGTTTGCAAGATATATAATAGTCAAAAGGTTAATATACTTAATATATAACATTCCTGGAGTCATAACATTTTAAGACAAAGAACCTTAAAATACAGGCAGATAATAGAAGCTAAATGACAAGTATCTACATGCATGAAAACGAATCAACCTCTGAATTAGTTAGGGTAAAGCTCACCTGCTCTAACAAAGAGGCCTGATGATACAGAGGCTAGAAGAATAAACAGATTTGTTTCTGTATTAGGTTCTCCAGAGAACAGAACCAATAGGAGAAACACACACACACACACACATATATATATGATAAGTATGTGTATATTTATCTAATATATATTATAGATCTATATTAGACATTACATAGGCTATATATATACACAGACACACATGCACACACATTTATTTTAAGGAATTTTGAAGAATTTATTTTAGGGAACTGTTGTAAGGGATTCATTTTAAGGAATTGGCTTCTGCGGTTGTGGAGGCTTGGCAAATCCAAAATCTGCAGAGTAAGCCGGTAGGCTGGAGACCGATATTACAAGTTGGAGTTCACAAGCAGTTGGCCAGCAGAATTCCTCCTTGCTCAGAGCAGGTCAGTCTCTTTTCTCTTAAGGTCTTCAACTGATGGGATGAGATCTGCCCACATTGTGGAGAATAATCTGCTTTACTCAAAATCTTCTGATTTAAATGCTAATCTTATCTTAAAAAGTACTTTCACCGGTTGTGGTAGCTCAGGCCTGTAATCCCAGCACTTTGGGAAGCCAAGGTGGGCAGATCACTTCAGGTCAGGAGACCAGCCTGGCCAACATGGTGAAACCCCATCTCTACTAAAAATACAAAAATTAGCCAGGCATGGTGGCACATGCCTGTAATCCCAGCTACTTGGGAGGCTGAGGCACGAGAATCACTTGAACCTGGGAGGTGGAGGTTGCAGTGAGCCAAGATTGTGCCACCGCACTCCAGCCTGGGCAACAGAGTGAGACTGTCTCAATCAATCAATCAATTAATCAATACCTTCATAAAAACATCTAGAATAGTGTCTAATCAAATATCTGAGCGATGTAGCCAGATATTTAAGTTAACACATAAAATGTGCCATCCCTCTTTCTTTCTCAGGTTATGGATCTGAGCTGAGCAGCAGCTCTGCTCCTCCTGGTCCCCCCAAACCCCAGGACCCTTCTCTCCTGCTGCTCGCCTCCCCTTGGGCACTGCCACAGCCAGATTCTAGGCAGCTTGGAGGCCGAGGTACAGAAGAGGCTCCTATCACAGGCCTGCTCTTACTCTGTCACTGAGAACTTGGTCCTGTGGACAAGCCTAACTGTAAAGCAGGCTGGAATTGTAGTTGAGCTCAGCAGCTGCTGCCCAGCCACAGATCTGTTGGGTTGGAAGAAAAGGAACATGGATTGTTTTTTCCCTTTAGTGGAGGTGAGGTCTTGCTATGTTGCCCAGGTTGGCTTGAATTCCTGAGTTCAAGCGATCTTCCTACCTTAGCCTCCCAAAGTGCTAGGATTACAGGCATGAGCAAACCAAGAAGTCTCTACCCAACCTCCCTGTTAAAAAGGAAATGTAAACTAAATCCATGAACTACTTTCTTTTTTTTTGCTTATCAGATTGGCAAAAATTAAAAGTTTGTAATCAGTTGTATGTATCAGACAGGAGGGTTCTTAACCCATAGTAACAACTACAGAAAAAGATCTTATTTTGGAGGGCACTCCG
Source organism: Homo sapiens (assembly GCF_000001405.40). Taxonomy (NCBI): domain Eukaryota; kingdom Metazoa; phylum Chordata; class Mammalia; order Primates; family Hominidae; genus Homo; species Homo sapiens. The sequence goes on along the minus strand of NC_000015.10, from coordinate 31,218,208 downwards.
AATCTTGAGGATGCAGGAGGAACAGGCTTGGAAAATGAGCAGGTGTCAAGAGGCCTCCCTAGGTCAATGGCAGAAGCAGGCTTGCTTGGACACTTTGGCCATGGGACATGATGCCACAGCTGGACAGAGTCATGGCCAGGCAATGCCACTAGCACCCCCATTGGACATTCTCTGCCTGTCCCAGGTCTGCAGATGCAGGGCCCTGGGGTTCTCTGCCCAAATGTCACCGTGCCCATTACCAGGGCCATCTGGGCCTGTTGAAGCTTCCCTCTTCCTCACTCTATGACCTGAAGGGGATGGAGGGTCCTTTTCTGGTGGGGTGGGGGTGGGGGTTGGGGAGGTGGAGGTCCAGTATGGAGCTTGAACCGGCAGGCTGGTGTAAGGTCCCCACTCTTTTGGAGGGTTTTACTAATGTCTCTAGGAATCTCAAACACACGGCCAGGCGCGGTGGCTCACGCTTGTAATCCCAGAACTTTGGGAGGCCGAGGCGGGTGGATCACAATGTGAGGAGTTCAAGACCAGCCTGGCCAACACAGTGAAACCCTATCTCTACTTAAAATACAAAAATCAGCTGGGCATAGTGGCAGGCCTGTAATCCCAGATATTTGGGAGGCTGAGGCAGGAGAACCGCTTGAACCCAGGAGGCGGAGGTTGCAGTGAGCTGAGATCGTGCCACTGCACTCCAGCCTGGGCGACAGAGCTAGACTCCATCTCAGAAAAAAAAAGAAAAAAGAAAAATCTCAATGCCACATAGCCAGTAGTTCCTCTTCTAGGAATCTTCCATTGGTTGCAGAAAAGAACATATTCTTAGTGTAAACAGTAATTCATGGAATAATACGCATATAAAAGTGGGAGGCCTCGTTGTTAACCTTATGAGCTCTGGAGTCAGGCTCAAATTCTGACTTCTGTACTTAGTAGCTGTGTGATCCTGGGCAGGCTACTTAACCTCTCTGTGCCTTAGGCGCCTCATCTGAAAAATGCGAGTAATAGTAATAAACTTTACTGAGGTTCGTGGTGATTAAATTAATATTTGCAAAGTGCTCAGAACTAGATCTTGGCATTTGATGAATACTGATTACCCATTAATTCTTTTTATGATATCCTGACCCCGTTTCTTCCATACAAAGCAGGTTAACATGCATCCGTGCATGTTGGTATGTGCCCAGAACTGTACACACGCACCCATTAACAATGGCTGCCTGGAAGTAGGGGTAAGAAGGAAGTGTGAGTATCCATGTCCCTTTGTGATAGATTTATTTGTGAATTACTGTAACTTCCTACATCAGGCACTGACACTTGTGGACAGGTGGGTAGGTAATAGGTAGTAGCTATACACAGGGGTGAACAAGGACCAAGCAGGCAAAGCCCCTGCCCTGGCACAGGGGACTCTTCCAGGTCTAACTCAGGCAGTGTAAGAACGCCCCAAGGGGCCTGGGATGCCCAGGAGCAGGGAAAGGGACTGAGGACCGGCGCTTCCCAGTGCCAGGCCACGGCACTCAGCATTAGCCACCCTGCTCCTGGAGGTTCTGGGGCCAGATGTCCCCCCAAGTACGCACGGTCATTCAGTGAACAAGTGCTCTCATCTGGAAGCGCACACGCCTCCGGCGGGCTGAACTGTGGAGAGGGTCCAGGCTCCACAGCGAACCGCCTCCCAGCAACCGGGCTCGCCCATCGGAGGCAGAGGTCTGGCAGGAAGGGCTGGGAAGGGCGGGGTCGGTGCGGCCTGACCCCTACACCCCTTAGGCCTGGAGGCGGATGTGCACTTCGCCCATTTCAACATTTCCTCCCCGGCTGGCCTCGGCCCAGGAAAGAGGCAGGGGTGCGGTTTCCCTCCGCCTCTCCCTCAGCCCTTCTCTCCCGCACCCCTCCTCCTCCTCCCACCGCTCCTTCCTCTCCTCCTTTCCCGCACCCCTCCTTTCTTTCTCGCTCATCTCTCTGCCCTCCTTGCCCCCTTCTTCTGCCCCTCCCCCTCCGCCTCCCCCTTCCCCTCCGCCTCCCCCTCCCCCTCCCCGGGTCCTCTCCCTCCCGTTCCCCCGCCTTGCCCTCCTCCTCCTCCTCGCGGCCCCCGCCCCGGAAACCTGGCTCGCCCCGGGAGGCTGAGGTGGGGCGCGCGGGGTGGTTCAGGGGCCCATCCTCTCCGCCTCCCGCGCGCCCCGCCCGACGGCTCGCACCTGCTTGGCGGCGGCCGCTGGATTCTCGGCCTCGGGCTGAGGAGGCAGGAGGGAAAGTGGGTCAGCGCGGGGCCGCGGCAGGGCTGCTGTTGTGCTTGGAAAGGGGCCCGGGGTGCCGGAGGCCTCTCCCAGGCGCGGCGGCAGGAGCGCCCGCGCGTGACACTCCAGGCACAAAGGGGCCGGGCCGCCGCCTGCACTGGGGCTCGGGCGTGCGGGGAGAGGCTGTCGGGCGCCGCACGCATGGACTGTGTTCCCCTTCCCGGCCACGGCTCGGGGCGGCGGGGGCCCGGGGCTCTCCTGTCCCCGAGCGATGTCCCCAAGGCCTAACACCGCGAGCCGGAGCTAGCAGGCGCCCACCACGCCCGCTCTTCGTTCGCCCCACCCGGGCTAGGTCTGGGCGGCTCCCTCCTCCGGACGCTGTCCCCGCCGCCCCGCCCTGCCCCCTGGTGTCAGCCACAGGCCTCAGCAGCCTGGCGTCCTCCTCCTGGGAGCATTTTTCTGACACCTCTGGGGGACCCGGTCCCCTGACCCCTACGCTCATGCGGTCTGCCCAGGTCTTGGGGGGGCGTTGGCTCTGTTTCCGGGAAACCTCCGAGGCTGATACCTGGCAGCAGCCCTGCGGAGGACTGCCCAGCCACTCACCTCCCGACCACCGTGCACCCCAGCAGCTCTGGGACGCCGGGCTCTGTGGGTGGGCTGGGTCGGGCTGCAGACATGGGTCACTGTCCTAGAGCAAGGACTGGCTGCGAGAGCAAGGAGGGGACCAGGCCTTTGAGATGTCAGTCCCCAAGCTCCCCTCTGCTGTCCCCTGCACAGGAGCAGAAGGGCATGGCCTGAGGGTCAGGGTGCCTCAGCTGGCTTCCTGCACTGCCGCACACCTTGTCCTGTGCCCCCCGCCCCCCGCGTGCTAGGACCTCACCGTCCTAACATGCCCAGAACTCTGGCTACTGCTGGAGCTGGGCCTCCTTCCTGGAGAGCCTATCCCCTGGGTCACCTGATGAATGTTTCACCCTGTTCCAGAAGCTTTCCAAATCTCTCGCCAGAATGCCTCTCCAGCCCTTGGCTCCTGTTGCACAATCTGCATCCTTCTGTGCCCACGCCTGGTGCAGGCCTCTTCTCAGGCTCTGGGAGGCTGGCCTCTGTGAACGCTGGGCTGAGCCAGCTTCTGACCCAGGAGGGGCCCAGGGCTGCAACATTCTCACCCTGCTCCAGGTTTGAGAAGGTATTTCCATGGGAAGCTTGTGTCAAATGCGTACCCTTCCTGTGTGTCCTCACGTGTGTGCAGCAGTAACTGCACAAGGCTATAGTCGGCACTGCTGAGCCTGGGGTAGCCCCTGAGCTTGTCTGAACCCAGCTGAGTGGAGCTCGATTGACAGGCAAGTGTTTGGTGTCCCCCTGGCTTGTAGAAGGGCCGATGTTAGCTCCTGAGACCACCATGTGTCTACTGCGAAAGGACAGCTGGACACCTGCAAGCCTCCTACAGATAGGGGAAGGAGGGAATGGGGAGAAGGGGAAAATCAGTAAAATACGACCTTTTCCAGCACCTGGGAGAGAAGGTGCTCTTGCACCAAGAGCCAGACACTGCTCTCCTGGGGGAGGGGGCCATCTTTCCCGGCTTCATCCCTCTCCCTGGCCTGGGAGGGAGGAGGAGACCCCCACTGGGCCATTCCAGGCAGGTGCTCAGCCAGTGGGCACCCTGGTCAAGCAAGCCTGGGTGCTCCAAGGTGAAAGGAACCTTAAACCCATTGGACTAGGACCCCAACCTTCTTACCACCCTCATCCAGGGACCCTTGTTTTGAAAACTTCTATATATTAAATAAATGGCAATTAAAACAGAAAAATCTGTGACTTTTTTTTTTTTTTTTTTTTTGAGACTGAGTCTCTCTTTGTTGCCCAGGCTGGAGTGCAGTGGCTCGATCTAGGCTCACTGCAAGCCCTGCCCCCCGGGTTCATGCCATTCTCCTGCCTCAGCCTCTGGAGTAGCTGGGACTACAGGTGCCCGCCACCACGCCCAGCTAATTTTTTGTATTTTTAGTAGAGACGGGGTTTCACCATGTTAGCCAGGATGGTCTCCATCTTCTGACCTCATGATCCATCTGCCTCGGCCTCCCAAAATGCTGAGATTACAGGCGTGAGCCACCGCGCTCGGCCCAGAAAAATCTCTTTTGAGTGTGACCCTCAGAAACTCAGCACCCTCAGGGAATTGGGCAGGGGTCGTGGAGGCCCCTCAGAGAAAGGGAGAACTGCTGGGGGTCCCCATCATACACATCCACGTTACACTTTCCTGCAGGACTGGAATTTTTTTTTTTTTTTAGACAGAGTTTCTCTCTCGTTGCCGAGGCTGGAGTGCAATGGCACGATTTTGGCTCATGGCAACCTCCACCTCCCAGGTTCAAGTGATTCTCCTGCCTCAGCCTCCCGAGTAGCTGGGTTTTCAGGCATTCGCCACCACACCGGCTAATTTTGTATTTTTAGTAGAGACAGGGTTTCTCCATGTTGGTCAGGCTGGTCTTGAACTCCTGACCTCAGGTGATCTGCCCGCTTTGGCCTCCCAAAATGCTGGGATTACAGGCGTGAGCCACCGCGCCTGGCCTAGGACTGGATTTGAGCTAAAGCAAGGAGTGCCAATTCCTGCCCTTGATGACACATGGGCCTCACCAAGCTCTGCCCACTAGCTCTAAGCCTCTAGGATTTCAGACAAATCCTCAAATATAAACACAGAGCCCTATGGATCCTCTCAAAAAAAGCAAGGCGGGGGCCCTGCCAGTTTGGTTATGAGAAAGATTTCATTAGCTTTGTTGTATTTGGCTTTTGTGTCAGGGGCCCAGTTATCACCTTCTGGAATCTCCCTTCCTCCTTGTAAACTCCAGCTGAGTTTTAAGGCTCAGAAGTTTTCAGGCAAAGCAACATTGGATATTAAGACCTGGAAGTTGGTTTTGTTCTTTTTTTGATCAACTAGCCCTTCTTTTATGTCTGTTCGTGGCCAGACGTAGTCTGCGGCTTCACGTAGTAACATCTGATTAAATGATGCACAGCCTATCCTGGGGCCATAGACAGATAATTGCAGGGCTTAATTTTTTCATTTGATGAATAATGAAAGCTTTGCTCATTTTGTATGTGTGGGAAAGAGACAACTTTAATATATTTGAACTTGCAAATGGCTTTTTAGTATTGCTGTCCTGACACACTATAACACAGCCCTGATTGGTTATCTACGAACCTTTCAAAACAGAACAGGCGTTTGGTGCCAAACAGGGCAGGGTGTGGAAAGGAGGGATTCCCTGCCTGTCCTTTTATGTAATGTAATGCACATACATGGCAGAACAAATATTTCTTCCCTAAACACTACATAAACAGTATATCCCACAAATGATCATCATTTGTCATGAACGGTCTCATCATATTCTAATGTCTTAGGGCTGCTACCAGGCTTTTCTCAAGCAACAGAAGAAATTATTCCTACTCGTATTGCTTCTTTTTTCCAACTTCCCTGCCTATGAGCATGGGGGGGAATAGAAAGGGCTTGGCCCAGGAGCCAGCGGGGAAGCTCTAGTTCAGCAATGAACTCTGCTGTGACTTGGCTGTGTTACATCACAGGACTCACTTTCCTTCTTTGGGTTTCGATTGCTTTATCTGTCAGTGGGCAGAAGAGTAATTCCTCTTCCCTTCCTCTCTCCCCTTCTCTCCCTCCCTTCCTTCCTTTCTTTCTCTTTATTTCTTCCTTTCTTTCTCTTCTTTCTTTTTCTCTCTTTCTTTCTTTTCTTTCTTTCCTTCTCCTTCCTTCCTTCCTCCCTCCCTCCCTGTCTTCCCTCCCTCCCTCCCTTTCTCTCTCTTTTTCTCTCTCCTTCTCTCCTTTCTCTCTCTCTTTCTCTCTTTCTTTCTTTCTACAAGATCTTGCTCTGTCACCCAGGCTGGAGTACAGCAGCGTGATCACGGCTCACTGCAGCCTCAACCTCCAGGGCTCAAGCGATCCTCCCACCTCAGCCACTCAAGTAGCTGGTACTACAGGCGTGAACCACCATGCCTGGCTAATTTTTTGTATTTTTAGTAGACACAGGGATTTGCCATGTTGGCCAGGCTGGTGTCGAATTCCTGGCCTCAAGTGATCTGCCTGCCTTGGCCTCCTGAAGTGTTGGGATTACAGGCATGAGCTACCACACCCAGCCTGTTTTATCTTTTCATTATGGAAATTTTCCCTCTCAAACAAAACCAAAGGCAGAGAGAGTTGTAAAATTAGCCCTCCCATACTCCTCACCAGCTTCAACAATTATCAGCAAATAATCAATCTTGTTTCGTGTGTGTGTATTTCCACTCACTTTACCCCTGGCTTTATTTTAAGCAAATCCCCAGACATCTGTAGTTTCATTTGTACATATTACAGAATTACATTTCTTATCTAGTGGCTTTGTCTAGTGGCTTGAAATAGCAATCATTTATTGGATCGTAATTCTGTGGGTCAACAATTTGGGCTGGGATCAGCAGGATGGTTCTTCTGTTGGTTTTGTCTGGGCTCTGCCATTTGGATGCAGTCAGCTGGTGACTTGGTTGGAGCTGGACAGTCTTTGATGGCCTCACTCACATGTTTGGGTAGTTAGCTAAGGTGCCTCAGTTCTCCAAGTGGCCTCTCCAGCAGGCTAGCTTCGGCAAGCTTTCATGGTGGCAGCTTTCCGAGAGAGGGCAAGCCCAAATGTGCAAGCACTTTTCAAGTCTCTGCCTGCATCATGTTTGCTAATATCCTATTAGCCAAAACAAGTCACATAACCAAGCCCAGCATTAATGTGGGAAGGAGAATCATAAGGGCATAGAAATGAGGAGTAATCCACTGGGGGCCATTACTGTAGCAATGTATCAAGAGAATATGCTTCTAAAATATAAAAACTCCCTCCCATACACCCTTTTTAAAAACATAACCACAATTCCATTATCACAGCATACTAAATTAACCATAAATCTTTAAATATTGACAATATCCACTTGGTGTTTACATTTCCCTAATTGACACATAAATGTTTCTGTTTTGTTATTTTTTATAGTTGTTTGAATCAGGGTTCAAATAAACCTACACACTGCATTTGGATATGTCCCTTAAGTCTCTTTAAATCTACAGATCCTCTGTTCTCTCTCTCTATTATTTTATTTTATTGTTTTTGAGACAGGGTCTCACTCTGTTGCCCAGGCTGGAGTGCAGTGGTGAGATTTAAGCTCATTGCAACCTCCACCTCCTGGATTCAAGCAGTGCTCTAGCCTCAGCCTCCTGAGTAGCTGGAACTACAGGCATGCACCACTATGTCAGGCTAATTTTTATTTTTTTTATTAGAGACAGGGTTTTGTCATGTTGGCTAGGCTGGTCTTGAACTCCTGACCTCAGGTGATCTGCCTACCTCAGCCTCCCAAAGTGCTGGGATTACAGGCGTGAACCACCTCACCCGGGCCTCTCTCTCTTTTGAATGTTATGGTACTTTATTGAAGAACCTAGGTTGTTTTTCCTGAAGAATGTCTCACATTCTGGATTATGTTGTTTGCACCCCCGTTTCTGTTTAACATGTTCTTCCATCTCTGCATTTCCTGATATATTTAGGGGATTAGATGTGGAGGACCCATCAGATTTCAGTGTAGGTTTTTGGAAATGTTTCATAGATGATGTTAGGCATTTCCACCAGCACACACATAATGTCTGGTTGTATCTCTTTTAGTGATGGTAGGATATACTATAGGGTTCGGGTGTTTTCAGCCTGACCCATCAGCTTTTTTTTTTTTTTTTTTTTTTTTTTTTTGAGATGGAATCTCACTGTGTCACCCAGGCTGGAATGCAATCGCATGATTTTGGCTCACTGCAACCTCCGCCTCCAGATTCATGTGATTCTCCTGCCTCAGCCTCCCAAGTAGCTGGGATTACAGGCACCTGCCACCATACCCAGCTAATTTTTGTATTTTTAGTAGAGATGGGGTTTCATCATGTTGGTCAGGCTGGTCTTGAACTCCTGACCTCAGGTGATCCACCCGCCTCAGCCTCCCAAAGTGCTGGGATTACAGGCTTGAGCCACCGCGCCCGGCCGACCCATCAGCTTTTTGTTGAGGGGTTTTAGCCCTTGATAATCATGACCTTCATCCGATATTCCAGTGGGGAATTCAATGTGGAATTTTCTAATTCTATCATTCCTCTGCATGGATTAGCTCATCCACAGTTTGGCTCTCCTGGGGTACTGTTTATATACAAAAGGCAAGAAAAGTCCCCATTCTTCCCCGTTATATACCAGTTTTCAGAAAATATTTTGACTTTCCAGCATTCTCCAAAAGTGATCAATTAAGATTGCTTCCTTTTGTTTCGTTTGAGCATTATGATGAAGCCATATTTGGTTTTGGTTTTCTTTTGTTTTCACATTTGAAATGTTTCTGAATACTTCAGGTTTTATTCTTTTTAATGTTCAAACTCTCCCATCTTTGGCCAATGAGGCTCTTCAAGCTGGCTCTTGAGTCCTTTTTACTCACTCTAAGGAGTCTTTCCAAGGCTCACGTTGTCCATTTCTTGCCCTGCACTGGGAGTTAGTTAGGCATTTCTCTGAGAGCATGGCTTCTTTCAGTGGAAAATGCAATTTAGAGACCACAGTCTGGGCACTGGGTGGGGTTGGAGGGTTGAGGAGAGTTATTTGTGACTAAATTAGTCATTGTTTCTATGTCTTGGAGAATTACAGCTTCAGAACTAACAGAATAATAATTTCAGGACAATAATATGAAAATTAGTACCAACAATGTGATTACTAAAGACAGTTTAAGATTTTTTGGTCTTTGCAGTTCTTTTTGCCCTTAGGATACATCTCACTAGGGATGAAGCACCCAATTACACAAAGCCTTGTGTTAAAGGGCCCTGGAAACCATTTTTCTCCGTGGGTTAAGCTACCAAGTAGATTCATACCTTTATGTCTGTCATGTTACTTTTGACCTTGAAATTGCTTTCTTTTTCCTTTTGGCTTAATTTTGTTTTATAGTTATGTAAAACATTTACATGATTTCAAAGTCCAATCTATAAGACAAAGTGTGATCAGAGGAACCTGGCTTCTATCCCAGGCCCCCACGCTTCCCTACTCCCCTTTTCTGTACCCTCCTTTTCTCACTTGAAACTGCATTGCAAGAGCACTTCCTTAGGCATCAGGAGCACTTCTTTCTTACGGACATCCAGTGGTCTGTTGTGGGGATCACCAGGGTGGGAAGAGGAGTGTCCACATTGTGCGTTGCTACCCACCATGGGTTTGAAATTGTTTTAATGGTGCTTAAAGTGTAAATGAAATAGAATAAAAGAGTAAGTATTGTTTGTGTGTAACCATTGTTTAGTTTTATATACCTGTGTATGTACTTTTTTTTTTTTTTTAACAGAGTTTTGCTCTGTCGCCCAGGCTGGAGTGCAGTGGCGTGATCTTGGCTCACTGCAACCTCTGCCTCCTGGGTTCAAGCGATTCTCCTGCCTCAGCCTCCTGAGTAGCTGGGATTACAGGCATGAGCCACCAGGCCCAGCTAATTTTGTATTTTTAGTAGAGATGGGGTTTCACCATGTTGGTCAGGCTGGTCTCAAACTCCTGACCTTAGATGATCCACCTGCCTCGGCCTCCCAAAGTGCTGGGATTATAGGCGTGAGCCACCATGCCCGGTGTATGTACTCTTTTACAGTGCATCTTGATGTGTTTTGTGCTGCTATAACATAATAATATCACAGGTGGGGTTACTTATTTATTTATTCATTGAGACAGAGTCTCGCTCTGTTGCCCAGGTTGGAATGCAATGGTGCAATCTCAGTTAACTGCAACCTCCGCCTCCTGGAGGTTCAAGCACTTCTCCTGCCTCAGCCTCCTGAGTAGCTGGGACAACAGGCATCTGCCACCAGGCCCAGCTAATTTTGTATTTTTAGTAGAGACAGGGTTTCACCATGTTGGTCAGGCTGGTCTCAAACTCCTGACCTCAGGTAATCTGCCTGCCTCAGCCTCCAGAAGTGCTGGGATTACAGGCATGAGCCACTGCACCCAGCCTGGTGGGGTAATTTGTAATGAACAAAAATTTATTGGCTCATGATTCTGGAGGCTGGGAAGTCCAAGATCAAAGGACTGACATCTGGTGAGGGCCTTCTTGCTGCATCACCCCCTAGAGGAAGGGCAAAGAAAGAGCCAGAATGAGAGCAAGGACTGAACTCCTCCTTTCTGTGGCATTTAATCCATTTATAAGAGCAAAGTCCTCATGACCTAATCACCCCTCAATGGTCCCACTTCTTAATACTGTTACAATGGCAATGAAATTTCAACATGAGTTTTGGAGGAGACATTCGAACCATAGCATAGTGCAATCTATTTGTTCGTCATCAAAAAAACTTGACAAACCCTGGATTAGTTAATTCTGAAGGTTCCTTTGGCACCAAGATTCTGTAATTCTGCCTGCTGTTTAGAGAATCATGCCCTAGGCTTCCTGGGACAAGCCCACCTTTTCCTTTGATAGATTTCTCAGGCATCAGCAGCTAACCTCTCCTGGCATTCACCTGTCTCTAAGGCAGGTGACAGTGGAAGTCAGAAGATCTAAACAGTGCCACTCTCTGCTGTGGTAGGTTCTCTGTGGTCTGGGGTTTGATCTTAGCATCTAGGTCTATATGCTTCCGGAAGCTCCCTCATCTTCTGCTGACTTGCAGGTGCTGCTGGAGATACTATCTGAGCATCCCCAAAGAGCCTTGGGAGCCATCCAGGTCCACACTCAGAAACCCACCCAGAGCTGGGGCAGTGACCTCCGTGTCCTATGGACCAGCTTGAGATATTTTCAAGATTCCCCAGGGTTACGCTGACTGGGCCAAATCCTTTGTAGAGGCTTAGTCTTTCCATGGGAATGGTTTGTACCTGGAGCCTACGAAACATGACACTGAGGGTTACCTGTTTCCACACCATTGCCTTTTTCTTTAATGATGTGTGCCCAGGACGCCCGGGGAATCGGGATTGGCTTGGTGTTGGGCTTTCCTGTGACTGGCTCAGGGTGGGCATGTGATGCAGTGAGCAGGAAGGGGAGTGTTACAGTGAGAGCTTTTCCAGGTGGTGAGGAAAAAGCACACTTTCCCTCCTGCTGGGGCCCTGTGCGGTGTGAAGTGCTGGGGGTGGGAGCAGCCCTCCGTGATTTATGAGGGAGAAACCCCAAACCCCAGACATGCTGAATAGGCCCGGCAGCCCGTGGGAGCATTCCTGAGCCTTGGCAAAGGGGCGTCCCTCAGAGTCATTATCACAGATACCACTGATGACCAGACATTCTGTGGCTTGCAGTCAGTGGCATCCTGTCAGAGAGGATCACGCTCTTCCTTTGAGGTCCACGGGAAGGGACCATGCTGGGGGTACCTTATAGGCCCCTCACTGTTTGGAGTTCTGGAGCTCCAAGAATCAAGGAATTTGGTTCTTGCCCTGCACAAATGTGAAGCGAGGATGCCCCCTTGGCATTGCCATGCCCATTGCAACGGGAATGAGAGAGGGCAGGGCAGGCTGCTCATTTTGTAATTGGCAAAGGGAGGGGGCTTTTTATAATAGAAACTAGGGCAGTTTTGACAGTCCCACGGACCCCCTTGCTTTGGTGTGAGCAGCCACACCCTGTTGTGATTTTATTGTCATCATACTGTCACTTGATCAGCTCCTTTAAGGCTTCGCTGACTTTTATTCTCTTAGATACTGTTGTTTGTGCAATAAGACTCTGAAGTCTTTGCAAGCAAGTTAAATTGAGATACACCAATTTCTTGCATGCAGTATAGGAATTATTCTCTAAAATGCAAATGTAGTATATTAGTTCTTAATGGCTAGGTGTGGATCCAAGTTTTGTGAGGTCTGGAGATTATACAGTCATAAGACTCCTTTAAGAATTAAAAATTTGGAAAATAAAAAATTAGGTATAAAAGCAAATATTTAGAATGAGAAAATAATAAACCTTACAAATTTTAAAGAGCTGAAAACCATCACAAACATCATAAAGTACAGAAATATAACATAACATCTTTTTATAGCTAACTGCCTGACATAATTATATAATACGTGTTTTCCTACATTTTTGGCTACAAATTCTTTAGTCATCCTTTATATGGCAGGTTTTTTTGGTCATATTTCCTATACAACACATAAAAGGGTAATTTAATCTTTTATCTGGCACAGGGGGCCAGAAGCTTCTTCTGTAAAGGACCAAAGCAAATATTTCAGGCTTTGGGGACCAAGCCTATGTATTAAGTACCCATATCCGCCATTGTAGCAGGAAAGTGGCCATAGACAATTTGTAAATGAATGAGCATGGCTGTGTTCCAACAAAACTGTATTTACAAAAACAAGTGACAGCCTCCAGGACGTAGTTCAATTGATAGTCTAGCATCAAAATAATAAATTTAATTAAAAGTTTAGAAAACTTTCAGCTTCACAATCCATTATTAGTAATATCATGTACATTTTTAAGACTCAAATTTGGGACCTTTTCTTTTCTTTTTTGAGACAGAGTCTCACTCTGTCACCCAGGCTGGAGTGCAGTGGCACTATCTCAGCTCACTGCAAGCTCCACCTTCTGGGTTTACGCCATTCTCCTGCCTCAGCCTCCCAAGTAGCTGGGACTACAGGTGCCTGCCACCACGCCCAGCTAATTTTTTGTATTTTTAGTAGAGACGGGGTTTCACCGTGTTAGCCCGGATGGTCTCAATCTCCTGACCTTGTGATCCGCCCTCCTCGGCCTCCCTAAGTGCTGGGATTACAGGTGTGAGCCACTGCACCTGGCTGGGACCTTTTCTAATATGTTTTTTTCTCTATATGAGCTGTAAGGTTTCCAGGCATTTTCAGGTTTTCTTGTACAGAGATTCATCTTAATTAAACACACTTTGAAGTGATAATGCCTCTTAATCCGTTTGTCACTGTTATCTGCATTTCACTGCTTTGGTGGCAGTTTTGCATGCTTTTAACTGGAGCCATCAGACATCAGGACCAGATGTATCTGAGACACTAAAACATAATGTGATAAGATGAAATGTATGAAGAACACAACTGCACACACAAATGCTTTTGCTGTGGTAGTGCTACAAGTTTATGCCCCACAAACAGAAATTCTGACAAACCCTACTTCTTTTGATTACCAGCAGCAGACCTGGCTTGGAGGGAGGGTGGCTGACAGGAGGCAGAAGTCATGGTGGACACTACCTTGTGTGACTGAGATCCTTGCTTACCTACTCCATCTGGCCCAAGGGCTCATGCAGGAAGGCTCAAGGCATCTGCTCTGAGCCTCACAGCCTTGGCCATCAACCCAGCCCTGAGCTCCCACTTGCCCTGACTGGCTGGGCAGCCCTTCCCCGCTGCCCACCTGGAAGGAGCCACCAGGGACACAATGCCAGCTCCCTGTCCTGCTCCTTCTCGTCCACTCAGAGGGGTGGAAAGAGGATCCTACAGCGGCAAGCCCCCCACAAATCACCAGTCAGGGGTTCAAGTCCCCACTTGTGAATATCACAGGGAGAGTGGCCCAGCAGACCCCTGAGTGGCATCGTCATCAAGGGTTGGAGGATCCCAGGTTAGCAGCAGTGGGAGGGAGACCAGCGAGTGCCAACAACCCAGCGTGAAGAGCACAACTCACTTGCTACACTGGCAAACCCTTGGATGAGCCCACAGTTCCTTCCAACAAGTCCGGTTTTCCCCAAACACCTTTCTGATGCATACTGTAGGATGATTTATCCTCCTTAGTGAACTTGACATAGACGACACCGTGTGATGGTTAACGTCAGGTGTCCATTTGGCTGGATTAAAGAATACCTAGAGAACTGGTTAAGCATTATTTTGGGGCATGCCTGTGAGGGTGTTTGCAGAGGAGATTGGCATGAGTTTGAGTGGACGAGGGGGGGAAGATCTGCCCTCGATGTGTGTGGGTGCCATCCAATTGGATGAAGGCCCGAATAGAACAAACAGAAAAGATAAATTGGTTGCTGTCTCTCCTAGAGCTGGAATACACTGTTCTCCTGCCCTTGGACATAAAAACTCAAGGCTTTCCTGACGTAGGACTCCAGGACTTACACCAGCAGCCCACCAAGGTTCTTAGGTCTTCAGATTTGCACTGAGCCACGCCACTAGCGTCCCAGGGTCTCCAGCATGTCGATGGTCTGTCATGGGACTTCTTAGCCTCCATAATTGTGTGAGCCAATTCCCCTAATACATTCTGTCTCTTTTTTCTACAGATCTACGTCTATATATCTATATTCCATTAGCCCTGTCTCTCTGGAGAACCCTGACTAGTACAGAGAGGATCACGAGTAAGCAAGCAGGGCACTGACCTTGGATGGGCCACTTGACCTCACAGGGGTCTGGTTTTCTGGAGACAAACAGTGAGTGCCCTCTCCGCTGTGTTAGGGTGACGCTGAGACAATAGGCAGGGAAGCCTACATCCCCCTTGGCCTTTGCCTCGGTTTGAATGGCACCATAGGGCCATTTCCATGTCCCTGCTTCCTGAATCTGAGTCCTCTCCATCCCTGCAAGGGATGCTCCATTCCCCAGACTCCAGCGAAAACCCACTGAGGCAGAAAAGCTCATTGCCCAGCAGATCCCTCGAGTCTGCTGATCTTCCATCTGTTTCGTGGGGAACAGGGGTGGAGGTGGGCAATGAAAGAGTATCCTTTCTCTCACCCATGCCCAGCCCATATTTTGGGGTCCCGAGCCAGAGGAAGGTGGGGTTGCATCCCCCTAAGGCCTGCGCCAGCATTCAGAACACAGGGTTCTCAGTGTGCAGCCTCAGTCTATGGCAGCCCCTGACAAATAGCAGGGCTTTCTGTCTGTGCAGCTGTCTGCCTTACAGAGAGCTGTTTTCTGCCACATCAAAGGCTGGGGAGAACCCGGGCATGTCAAAGGTTTGGGAGAACCCAGGCATGGCTGCTTTCTCTCCCTCCTTCTGTCCTGCCTAGCCACACAGTGATGGAGAGAACCTCGTGACAGAGCCTTGCCCAGGTGCACGTGGGGCGGAGTTCATCACAGCGCTGGCTGGTTTGTTGAAAAGGAGGCCCGGCGGCTGTTCACTGTCTTGACAAACAGCCAGAGAGGCAGGGGAACCCTACACTGTATACTTTTCTCAGTAATAAACCAAGCTATTCATGAATAATGTCCAGAGTGTGTCCTCAAAACAGCGTGGCCCTCATGGTGCTCAATGCCCTGTTAGACTCCAAGCAACCCGAGGACAGGGTTTTGTGTCTCTCTTGCTCACCTTTGCTTCTCCAATGCCCAGTGGGCCTTCAGGGCGCATTTGCTGAGTGACTCCACATTATTCCATATTCACGGTAGAATCTGTTGCATAAGGTCAGGATAAGTCCGCACAGTTACTTGCAACGTGGCTCTTTCAACTGTTAGCAGGTTCTGGACTCCAAAGCCTACATAATGTTATGTGAGGTTGAGAGGAAAATCATAAGCATACTTGCAACCTATAGGACTCAGGTAGTAAGCTTATCCTGGGGGTGGAAACCCCCACTGCCAAGAGTCCAGGTGACATCTCCACCCCAGGCCAGGACGTAGACCCTCCAGGCTACTTCCCCTCACCCATCCTAAGGAGAAGTCAGGCAAGGACCTTGCCAGGGGCCCAAGAATAAGGTTTTCCCCAAGCACTTTACAGTATATGGTATATGGGCATATCGTGGGCACTGGATGTGTGGAAGGCTGGAGAACCAAGCAGTCCCCACAGGTGGGCTGCTTATGCCCACATGAACAGGCAGATAGTGCCTGTTCCACCTGGAACAGGTGTCTTTTTCCAGGTTCTTTGAAAGCCACATGGTCATGTGGATGGATGGCCATCCTGAGAGGCAGATAGAAGACAAGACTCAGGCCAGCCAGTTGGGTGGCCCAGTTCTGCTGATCTCTGGATGGATGGGTAACCCTGGCAAGTTAGACAGTTGCACTGAGCCTATGTTTTCTCATCTGTAGAATGGGAATGATAGTGGCATCCATTTTGTAGCATGATTGCATGGATTAATATATGTAAAGTGCTTAAGTAGAGGCCAGCATGCGTTAAGCACATTTCAGTTATTATAATTAATACCTGGAAGGGAAGAGGCAACCCCCAGCCAGAAGTTCTGTGCTTCTCATGGACAGCAGCGGCCCCTGTCATGGCTCTGCTCATGGCTGTGGACCTGGAGCAACTGGGACAGACAGATGCGTGGGAAGAAAACACCTGCTCCCAGAATGACAGGGCCAATACCTGAACCTCAGGGCATCAGCTCTGACCCAAGGGTGAGCCCCAGAGGCAGTCAGCTCTTGGGGGCAGCAGGAGGAACCAAGAAAAGAGGCAGGCGTAGCTCATATCCAGCCTTCCAGAAGGTTCCACCGTGTAGGAGGAGTGGCTGAGGGGCCGTACTGTGGTGTCAGCCGCCGTTATTTCTAACAAATTCATGCTTCAGCAACCAAACAGAAAGTGCTCACAGCTCACTGCTGGGTGGATTTTGTTCTTGGTCGGATATGATAACCTGGCACCTAGGGGTTCCAAGAGCATGGGGGAGACAACCAAACCAGCCGCCAGCCTAGAACCTGTGTGTGTGAGGGAGGATCTGGGGCAGGGTGGAGAGGGTGAGAGGACAGCTAAAAGTAGGGGATAGCAGGGGGTGGAGGCGCGCAAGCTGGAGCAGGGACAGAGCAGGCAGGCAGGGGAAGGGGATTGGGCCCAGGAATGCTGTCCTGCCGCCATCCAGAGTCAGACCCATAGTCAGGACCCCTGCACCTCACCACACCCGGTTCCTGGACCCTCGGAGGCTCAACAGCACTGGTCCCAAAAGAGAAGGGGCCTGGGGCAGTCAGAACGTGAGAGAAGTGGCAGTGCTTGGTGCCCAGAAGAGCAGCCAGGTCTGAGGCCCGGGGTCCCGCTGGGTTCTGAAAAGTCCCAGTAATAGGACCCGGGGCAAGTCATCTAATCCCCGCGGCTCAGGGGTCAGGCGGCACAGCCAGCACCTCCTGTATGTGGAAGCCGAGGCCCAGGACAAGCACCCCGTGGAGCCCGACTCGCCAGGGCTGAGCCAGGGCTTCAGGGCCTTCTCCCGCCCTGCAAGCCTACTACTTCGCTGCCTGAAGTCAGCTCCCAGGCTCCTTCTTCCCCAGCAGGCCCTGGAGGGAAGGCTGTCCTGGAGAGGTACTGGCTCCTTCTTTCAACTTGCCGTGCTGACTTGCTGAGATTTGCCAGAAAGTGGCTGACGGTCCCCACCTGCTGGTGACGGCGTGGGTGGATGGGAGGCCCTCCGTGATTCAGGAGCACCAGCCGGCTCCTTGACAAGCTGGGCCATGGCCACCGCTACCTCCTCCTCTTCCTCCTCCTCTTTCTGAGCTCTGGTGGAGTCACTACTCTCTCCTCTTTGAATCTTTTTGATTCACTGATTACAACACACACACACACACACACACACACACATACACACACACTTGCTCTCTCTATCCCTAAAAAAGAAACCAATGGCAATTTCTGCTCAGTGTGCACTGCTGGTCAGTGACCAGCTCCTTACTGGAAAGAAAACTCCAAGAAGCCTGATCCTGTTTTGCTTCTGGGTGTTCCAGGATGAGCTGACACGTGGGAAGAGGTCTCAAGGGCAGGGTGCCCTGGCCCTGAGGACCAGCCACAGCGTGGAGGGGATGAGACTTGCTGCTGCACCCCGTCCTTGGAGTCTCTGCCAGGAAAGTGAGGGGCCATGGGGAGCTAATGATATTCCCTCCACATCGTTTCCCCCCCCAGGACACCCTCCCCACCAGAGGCTCCTTGCAGCCAGTTAGGAAAGTCCATCACAAGTTCAGTAACGTCTCCAGTTCGGGGACTCCTGGGTCCCTGACACAAGGACAAGAAGTTGAAACAAGGGTGTCACAGACACGGGTTTGGAGTCAATGGGTGGGGGATGAGGCTGTGAGAGGTCAAGAAAGGAGGAAGACCAGTGGGAAGACCAAGGTCTCCTGGAAGGCCCTGGCTAGAATTTGAGCTCAGTCCACACTCACAAGGCCACTCCCTCTCCCTCTTCCCTGAGCTCTGCCTCCCTTGCCTGTCTCCATTTTCCACCCCTTGATTTGGCCCCAGGGCTTATTCATGACCTTGACAAAGGGCAGTTTCTAGGGACAGGAGACTTCAGAAGCTCACACAAAGCAGTGGAGAAAAGAAGGACGGGAAGGCAGCAGGGCAGGGCAAGCGAGCAGGAAGGGGTGGAGGAGTGGGCCAACTTGGGAGGATGGCCTGGCTTCCAGAGAGCCTGGGCACCACTGCTGTTTTGTTTGAAACGTTGAAGACTTGGAGCAAGTTTGGAAGTGAGCGGAGGCCAGGCACAGTGGCTCATGCCTGTAATCCCAGCACTCTGGGAGGCCAAGGCAGGTGGATCACCAGAGGTCAGGAGTTCAAGACCAGCCTGTCCAACATAGTGAAACTCCATCTGTACTAAAAATACAAAAAAAAAAAAAAAAAAAAAAAAATTAGCCAGGCATGGAGGCACATGCCTGTAATCCCAGCTACTCGGGAGTCTGAGGCAGGATAATCGCTTGAACCAGGGAAGCAGAAACTTCAGTGAGCCGAGATCGTGCCACTGCACTTCAGCCTGGGTGACAGAGTGAGACTGTCAAAAAAAGAAAGAAAAAAGAAAGAAAGAAAGAAGAAAGAAAGAGGAAGGAAGGAGAGAAAGAAAGAAAGAAAGAAAGAGGAAGGAAGGAGAGAGAGAAAGAAAGAAAGAAAGAAAGGAAAAGAAAAGAAAAGAAAAGAAAAGAAAAGAAAAGAAAAGAAGGAGTCTCATGTGTCCATGTGAAGAGACCAGCAAACAGGCTTTGCGTGAGCAACAAGGCTGTTTATTTCACCTGGGTGCAGGGAGGCTGAGTCCGAAAAGAGAGTCAGCAAAGGGTGATGGGATTGTCACTAGTTCTTATAGGTTTTGGGATAGGCGGTGGAGTTAGGAGCAATGTTTTGTGAGCAAGGGGTGGATCTCACAAAGTAAATTCTCAAGGGTGGGGAGAATTACAAAGAAACTTCTTAAGGGTGGGGGAAATTACAAAGTACATTGATCAGTTAGGGTGCGCAGAAACAAATCACAATGGTGGAATGTCATCAGTTAAGGCTATTTCACTTCTTTTGTGGCTCTTCAGTTGCTTCAGGCCATCTGGATATGTATGTGCAGGTCACAAGGGATATGATGGCTTAGCTTGGGCTCAGAGGCCTGACAGAAATAAAGAAGGAAGGAAGGAAGGAAGGAAAGGAAGGAAGGAAGAAAGAAAGAAAGAAAGAAAGAAAGAAAGAAAGAAAGAAAGAAAGAAAGAAAGAAAGAAAGGAAGGAAGGAGAGAGGGAAGGAGAGAGGAAAAAGAAAGAAAGGAGAGAGGGAGGGAGAGAGGAAAAAGGAAGAAAGAAAAAGAAAGAAAGAAAGAGAAGGAAAGAGAGAAAGAAAGAAGAAAAGAAAGAGAAAAGAAAGAGAGAAAGAAAAAGAAAGAAAGAAAGAGAAAGAAAAGAAAAGAAAGAGTGGAGATATGTAACATGACTTGGTAACCCAACTGTGAGAGGAGGGTAATTGCAGGAGTGAAGTTCTTAGACATGGTGAGCTGAAGGGACAAGGCAGGGCTGGCCCCATGGAAGCAGAGGAGAAGGGATGCTGGCTGACAGCAAGATGGGGGAAGGAAGGCAAGTGCCCGATTCCTCTGTTTTCTCTGTAAACTGAGACAGGAGGCCCTCAGCTGGGGAACAGTGTGCTGGGTACTCAAAGACAGAAAAGTCCAACACACTTGACTAAGGAGGGGAAGGCGGAGTGTGGTAGGAATCCAGGCAATTCGAGGATGATTGGAGAAACCGATCAAGTCCATCGCCCTTGGTGGCTTGCATCCAAATTCATTAACTCACCCAACAAGCACTCAAGGATTGCCATCTACGAGGGAGGAGGAGGAGGGGGAGGTTAGGGATAGAAGAAGGAGAAGGGAAAGAGAGCTACATTGGTAGAGCCCGTACTGAGTGCAGGAGCCAAGCAAAGTTTGTCTCAATCAATCACAGCATCTCTGGGGCTTTGAGGCTGCCCACGACTCCCATTGACTTGGGGGAAGACAGACTTGGAGAGACCACAGAACTTGCCTGGCATCACACGACTAACCAGTAATGGAGCCAGCACATAAGCACAGGTCTGGTCCAGGTTCCCTGGTTTAACCTCTATGCCACCTGCTCCCAGCTGCTGTGCACAAAACAATCTACTTCTTGGTGTGTCGCTCCACAAACTCAGAATGCAAATTATCTTTGAAATTAATCATTCTGGTATTCACTGGCCTTAAAAATAGAAAGCCCCATATCTTCCCCTGGCAGTCCCCTCTTGCCTTGAATTCTCAAGAAATCAATCAATCAATCCAAAAAAATCCCTGGGGACTTGGTGCAAAGTTTTCTTGGTGTGGGAAGAGCAGGTTCCTGACATTGCTCCACGCTGCCACGTGGCGGCGCCATTGAGGCCTGGTCCAACAGAACCTGGAGATGTGTGTCTTTGCTGCTGGCCTGGCCCTCCCTGCAAGGGCACCGTGACCTCAGAGGGGAGCCCAGTCCCTCAGACCCAGCTGCTCCAGGTGTGTCCTCTGCTGTGATCCCCAGGCTTGGCCTTTTTCCCAGCGACCCTCTTAGAGTGACAGTGTCCAGGGCCCTCTGACCACATGTCTAAACATGTAAAAATCATAGTCAGGTGTGGTGGCTCACACCTGCAGTAATACCACCACTCGGCCAGGCGCAGAGGCTGACGCCAGTAATCCCAGCACTTTGGGAGGCCGAGGCGGGCGGATCACGAGGTCAGGAAATCGAGACCATCTTGGCTAACACGGTGAAACCCTGCCTCTACTAAAAATACAAAAAATTAGCCGGGCGTGGTGGCGGGCACCTGTAGTCCCAGCTACTCGGGAGGCTGAGGCAGGAGAATGGTGTGAACCCGGGAAGCAGAGCTTGCAGTGAGCCAAGATTGCGCCACTGCACTCCAGCCTGGGGGACAGAGGGAGACTCTGTCTCAAAAAAAAAAAAAAAAAAAAAAGAAAAAAAGAAAGGTAATCCCACCACTCTGGGAGGCTGAAGAGGGCGGATCACTTGAAGTCAGGAGTTCTAGACCAGTCTGGCCAACATGAGGAGACCCCATCTCTACCAAAAAAAAAAAAAAAAAAAGTAAAGGTCATAAATCAAACTAATATGTATAAAGTTACAGTTTTTATATGATTGAAACGTGGCAAAATATCATAGATGGCTGAATTTAATTATTGTTCATGTCTGGGTGTGATGTTGATGGGTTGGTGTTGTTTGCATGAATAATAAAGTCATACTTCATAAACTGTTATTTATTCTGTAAAATTTATTTTTCCTGCCTTTGCTTTAGCAAAATCACTGATTATGTTGAGATAATGAGATTTTCATAGATTTATGTTCAAATGATAGGAAAGCCAAGTTACACCTTTCCTGAATCAACAAAATAGTTGTTATATATATATTTAAATATATTTAAATTCAATTTAGAGAAACTTTGCTCTGATGAGGTGGTAGCAACTGGAATCATTACTCGAATTCTTTTCTTTTCTTTTCTTTTTTTTCCAGAAAAAAAAAAAAATGCCCAGCCCAGCCTGGAGTGCAGTGGCATGACCCTGGTTCACTGCAACCTCTGCCTACCAAGTTCAAATGATTCTCCCAGCCTCCTGAGTAGCTGGGATTACAGGTGTGTGCCACCACACCTGGCTGGCTAATTTTTGTATTTTTAGTAGGAACAGGGTTTCACCATATTGGCCAGGCTGCTCTCGAACTCCTGGCCTCAAGTGTGATCCTCCCGCCTCAGCCTCCCAAAGTGCTGGGATTACAGATGTGAGCCACTGTGCCCGGCCTCATTACTCAAATTCTTAAAGCAATACTTAGGTTTGAAAATTAATCCCAAATTGTACATAATATGATCAAATAGTGCAATGGGTCACATATGATAAAGTTTCATTCATGTGGAAAACATTACAAAATATCTTAAAACTTAATGAAATACAAAATTTCATAATGAAAATTTTCATCATCTTTGTAGGTGGTGGTTTTCATGCAATCTCACTGTCCTTTTAAGCAATATCTAGATCAACAGCCAAGTACACGGTAGGAAACCTATATTACACACACCTGTTGAGGAGGAGAGGTCTGCAGGTCCTGGGATGGATCCCAATGCTCCTATTCATTTTGCCTGCTGACTTGCTTATGCAGGGAATGGAGTTTCCGTGTGTCTGTTCAATTTTTTTATTGTGATGTTATCTTCAGTGATTATATATATAATTTATATATATAATATATATATTATATATAATTTATATATTATATATATAATTTATATATATAATATATATAATATATATTATATATATAATTTATATATATAATATATATAATATATATAATATATATAATTTTTATATATATAATATATATAATATATATAATTTATATATATATAATATATATATATATATAATTTTTTTTTCCTGTGAGAATTTTTCTTTCTTTTTTTTTTTGAGCTGGAGTCTTCGCTCTGTCGCCCAGGCTGGAGTGCAGTGGCACAATCTCGGCTCACTGCAAGCTCCACCTCCCAGGTTCACACCATTCTCCTGCCTCAGCCTCCTGAGTAGCTGGGACTACAGGCGCCTGCCACCACGCCCGGCTAATTTTTTTGTATTTTTTAGTTGAGACAGGGTTTCACCGTGTTAGCCAGGATGGTCTCGATCTCCTGACGTCGTGATCCACCCGCCTCATCCTCCCAAAGTGCTGGGATTACAGGCGTGAGACACCACGACCAGCCTTCTGTGAGAATTTTTCTATTTGCCTCTGTCATGCACTGCAAAGATATCTCCTGCCTGGGACCTAATGGATGTTAATCATGGAGATTTCCACAATTCGACAGGTGTAAATTCAGACTCCAAACCCATATGTGGCAAGCGGGATTCTAGCATGGCCCCAAGAGTCCTGCCCCTGGTATGAACTCCCTATAGAATTCCTTCCTCTTTAGTGTGTGCAGAATCAGTGACTATGATAGGATGTCACTCCTGTGATTGTCACAAGTCAGTTGACATTGAATTAATCAAGAGGGAGACTATCCAGGTTATCCTGGGTGGGCCTGGCCCAACCAGAGGAGCCTTTGAAAGAAGGTGAAGCTTCATGGAGACGTGGCCCAGAAGACAGCAGACTGTCGTGTTGCAGACTGCTTGTGGGTCTGATATGGTTTGGATCTGTGTTCCCACCCAAATCTCATGTGGAATTGTAATCCCCAGTGTTGGAGGTGGGGCCTGGTGGGAAGTGATTGGATCATGGGGGCAGTTTCTCATGGTTTGACACCATCCCTTTGTTGCTGTCTTCATGATAGTGGGTCCTCACCAGATCTAGTTGTTTAAAAGTGGATAGCACCTCCCCTCTCACCTCTTTTGCTCCTGCTCCAGCCATGTAAGACGACGTATCTGCTTCCCCTTCACCTTCTGCCCTGATTGTAAGTTTCCTGAGGCCTCCCCAAAGCCGAGCAGATGCCAGCATCATGCTTCCTGTACAGCCTGCAGTACCATGAGCCAATTAAACCCCTTTTCTTTATAAATGACCCAGCCTCCGGTATTTCTTTATAGCAGTCCCAGAGTAGATGCACACAGAGTCCATGTCGCGAGGACCAAGCATGGTCTCCAGAAGCTGAGACAAGTCCCAGGGTGGCCTACAGCCAGCAACAAAGTGGGGACCCGAGTCTTGGAACTGCAAGATAGAACTGAATCTTGCAACTTACAAACTGGGCAACCTGAATGAGCTTAGAGAGAACATGGAGCTCCAAATAAATGAACGGAAACTTGATTACAGCCTGGTGAGACCCTAAGCAGAGAGTTTTTTTTTTTTTTTTTTTACTGTGGAGTTTCGCTCTTATTGCCCAGGCTGGAGTACAATGGTGTGATCTTGGCTCACCACAACCTCCACCTCCTGGGTTCAAGCGATTCTCCTGCCTCAGCCTCCCAAGTAGCTGGAATTACAGGTGCATGCCACCACACCCTGCTAATTTTGTATTTTTAGTAGAGATGGGGTTTCTTCATGTTGTTCAGGCTGGTCTCGAACTCCCGACCTCAGGTGATCCACCCACCTCAGCCTCCCAAAGTGCTGGGATTACAGGCGTGAGCCACCGTGCCCAGCTGAGAGTCTTTTTAAGCTGTGCTTGGACTCCTGACCCACAGAAACTCTGAGATAATAAATTCGTCTGGCCTATGTCACCAAATTGTGGTGATTCACTGTGCTGCAATAGAAAACTGTACAGTGTGGGGCATAGGCTGGGCTTTGTTGCTTTCCCCTAGTCCTCAGGTGGAGACTTACTTCCTGGCCATCTCTCTGTGACAGTGGAGGGAGTTTCCACCACCCCGTTCCCTGAGGCTGCAGCCTCCAACCAGGGACTTCAGCGAGGACCCGCAGCCTTGTGAGGGCCTCAGCCACATCCCCTCGTCCAAGCCCCACTCTCAGTTGCAGTGCCTTTCCCTCACCACAGTCTTGGAGCTCCAGCACCCACCTTTCCAGCCTTGGAGGGTCTCCCTCCTGCCTCTGCCCTTCCAGCCCCGACACAGATCAGCTCAGTCCTGAGTACAGGCACTTAGAGTGTGGTGGCCACAATGGGGGCTTCCAAGTGTCCGCTTGGCCTTGCGCTGATCTGTGCTGGTCTCCCGCTCCCATCATCCCGGATCCTGGCGAGCAGGTCCCAGAGTGTTGGATGGGTGGATGGAGGGATGGATCCCATCTGTCAACCGCTGAAAAATCTTCCCTAGGCCATTTTTCCTGAGGGAAAGCAGATGGAAGAGGGAAGTCCTCTGATCTGAAGAAGTCCTGGTCTACCCCACTCCCAAATGGCCTGGGATGGGGCCTCATACCTGCCCGACGCCCTTCCTCTGAGTTCCCTGTGCTGAGGCCCCTTGGTTCCAGGGCCACAGTCTGGAGGTGTCTGCAATGGCAGCATCTGGGGCTCCAGCTTAGTCTGTACCGGCCCTCACCTGAGCCTCCTCCTGACCACGTGCTGGTAACGGTGGCTCCACTGGGTCATGTTGGGCCCAACGAATCATCCAGCCATGCAGAAAAGGAAGGGAAGCGGAGGAAGGGGACTGCCTCCAGACACTGCCCCAGCTTTTTGGGGCTCCTAGGCCAAGGGACCCAGGTTCAAATCACAGCTCATTAGTCTCTCAGAGTGCATTTCAAGGAGGATCTGAGTGTTGAGGCCTGGACTTTCTACACTTTGGAAGACCTTCTTTGAGGAAGCTGACTCTTTACAAAAGTGGCCATGACAATATTTATCCTTCTAGAACCTTGCCTAATCCCGTGAAGAAGTAAGAATTCCCTCCCCCTGTGTCTGGGGGAGACTTTGTGACTGCGGATTTGCCGGGTGACTCCTGAGGCTCAGTCAAAAATGATGACACTGCTTCCCATTGGCTTGGTTTTTTTAACTGGGACACTTGAACTTGAAGCCAGCCACCATGCTGTGAGGAAGCCCAGGCAACACAGAGAAGCCATGTGTGGGTGTCCTGGTTGACAGTCAAGTTCGGGTCCCAGCCAGCAGCCAGCAGCCAGCACCAACTTACTGATAGATAGGTCGGGAAGAGGCCTCCAGTTGGTCCCACCCCTGCCTTAGCATTTTTCACTTAAGACCCCAGACACACAGGAGCAAAGACAACCTGTAGCTGCCATGCTCACAGAAAACAGGGAGAGATAATAATCTATTATTATTGCTTTTTTAAAATTAAACTTTTTTATTTTGAGATAATTGTAGATTCAAATGCAGATATTAGTAGTAATACAGAGATTTTCATGTACCCTTCACCAGTTTCCCCCAATAATCACATCTTGCAAAACTGTAGTACAACATCACAATCAAGATATTGACATAGATTCATCAAGGCACAGCTATTTCCATCCCCATAAGGATCCCTTTTAATAGCCGCTCCATCTCCCTTTCCTCCCACCCTTTCCCTAACCCTGGCAACCACTAATCTGCTCTCCATTTTTATAATTTTATCATTTCAAAGATGTTACATAAATGGATTTAGACAGTATGTACCCGTTTGGAATTGACTTTTTTCACTCAGCATAATTCTCTTGAAATTTCATCCAAGTTGTTGTGTGTGTGTGAATGGTTTGTTCTTTTCATGACTGAGTATCCATAACATGGATGCTCCATAGTTTGTTTAGGCTTTCACTTATTGAAGAATATCTGGGCTGTTTCTACTTTGGGTCTATTACAAATAAAGCTGTTATGAACACTCATGCACAGGGCTGTGTGTAAAAATAAATTTTCATTTCTCCGAGATAAATGCCCAAGAGTGCAATTGCTGGGTCATATGGTAGCTGCATGTTTGGTTTTATAGGTAACTGCCAAACCGCATCCCAGAATGGCTGTGCCACTTTATATTCCCGCAGCAATAGATGAGTGATCCATTTTTCTATACATCTTCACCAGCATTTTTAAAATGTTGAATTGTGGTAAAATATATATAACATAAAATTTACCATCTTAGCCATTTATAAATGTACAGCTCAGTCATGTTAAGTACATTCACATTATTGTGCAGCCAGTTTCCAGAACTCTTTCCAAGTTGCATATCTGAAATTCTGTATCCATTAAACAACAACTCCTCATTCCCTCCTGCCCCCAGCCCCTGGCAACCGTCATTCTACTTCCTGTTGCTATGGATTTGACTACTCGAGGTACCTCATATAATTGGAATCTTACAGTGTTGTCCTGTTGTGACTGGCTAATTTCACTTATAGCATAATGTCTTCAAGATTCATTCCTCTTGTAGCATGTGTCAGAATTTTCTTCCTTTATTCCATCATATGGACATAGCACATTTTGTTTGTCCATTCATCTTGGACACTTGAGTTTCTTCCTCATTTTGGCTATTGTGAATAATACTGCTATGAGCATTGGTATACAAATAGTTCTTCAAAAAAAAAAAAATATATATATATATATATATATTTTAGACTGAGTTTCACTCTTGTCGCCCAGGCTGGAGTGCAACGGCACCATCTCAGCTCACTGCAACCTCCGCCTCCCGGGTTCAAGCAATTCTTCTGCCTTAGCCTCCCAAGTAGCTGGGATTACAGGTGCCCACCAGCATGCGCAGCTAATCATTGTAGTTTTAGTAGAGATGGGGTTTCACCATGTTGGCCAGGCTGGTCTTGAGCCCCTGACCTCAGGTGATCCACCCACCTTGGGGCCTCCCAAAGTGCTGGGATTACAGGTGTGAGCCACTGCGCCCAGCCCAAACAGGTATATTTTTACTTCTTCTTTTCCAATTTGGACATCTTTTCTTTTTCTTGTCTAATTTATCTGGCTAAGATTTCTAGTATTATGTTCAATAGAAATCCTGTTCCTGATCTTAGTGCAAAAGCTTTTAGTCTTTCACCATTGAGTATTATGTTTGCCTATGAGTATTTCATATATGCTTTTTTAAAAAATTTAATCTAATTTTATTTTTTTTGAGAGAGTCTTACTGTATCACCCAGGCTGGAGTGCAGTGGCATGATCTTGACTCACTGCAACCTCCACCTCCTGGGTTCAGGTGAGTCTCGTGTTTTATCCTACCAAGTAGCTGGGATTACAGGCGTGTGCTACCACGCCTGGCTAATTTTTGTATTTTTAGTAGAGACAGGGTTTTGCCATATTGGCCAGGCTGGTCTCGAACTCCTGGCCTCAAGTGATCCACCTGCCTCAGCCTCCCAGAGTGCTGGGATTACAGGCATGATATATATATATATGGCTTTTATTATGTTGAGGTAGTTCCCTTATATTCCTACTTTGTTGAGTGTTTTTCTCATGAAAGGGTGCTGACTTTTGTCAAATTCAACAAAAATTGAGATGTTTTCTGGATCAATTGCAATAATCCTGTGGTTATTTCCTTCATTCTATTGATGTGATGTAAAATGAAAAAACATTGATTGATTTTTATATATTGAACTATCTTTGCATTCCAGGAATAAATCCCACTTGAACAAGATGTATAATTCTTTTAATATGCTGTTGAATTCTGTTGACTAGTATTTTGTTAAGGATTTTAGCATTAGTATTCATTGGAGATATTGATCTGTTGTTTTCTTTCCTTTTAGTGTCTCTGTCTGGTTTTGGTATCAAAGTAATACCACTTAGAATGAGTTAAAGTGTGTTTCTTCCTTTTTAATTTATTGGGGAGTATGTGCGGAGGATTGGTGTTAATTCATTACTTAAATTCTTGGTAGAATACATCTGGTCCAGGGCTCTTTTTTTGTTAGAAGCTTTTTTGTTATTAATTCATTCTCCTTGATGGATATAGGTTTGTTCAGCTTTTCTATTTCTTCATGAATCAGTCTTGCAGATCATGTGTTTCTAGGAATTTACCCATTTCATCTAGGTTATCCAATTTGTTGAGAGTCGTTCATAGTATTCTCTTACAATCCTTTTTTATTTCTGCAAAATCAGTTTTAATGTACCCTCTGTCATTTCTGATTTTAGTTATTTAAGTCTTCTCTTTTTTTCTTATGCAATCCAGCTAAATATTTGCTGATTTTGTTGATCTTTTCCAATAACCAACTTTAGTTTCATTGATTTTCTCTATTGTTTTTCTATTCTCTATTTATCTCTTCACTAATCTTTATTATTTCCTTCCTTCTACTACCTTTGAGTTTAGTTTGTTTTTCCTCTCCTAGTTCCTTAAGGTATAAGTTAGATTGTTGATTTGAGATCTTTCTTCTTTTCTACTCTAAGCATTTACAGCTATAATTTTTCCTCTTACCACTGCTTTTGCTGCACCCACAGTTTTGACATGTCATGTTTTGTTTTTATTTTTCTCAAGATATTTTCTAATTTCAGTTGTGGTTTCTTCTTTGACCCATTGGTTATTTAAAGTGTGTTATTTATTTCTCACATACAAATTTCCACATTTGTGTTTTTTTCAGTTTTCCTTCTGCTATTGATCTCTAGTTTCATTCAATTGTGATCAGAAAAGTTAAGTTGTATGATTTCAAACTTTTAAAATTTATTAAGACTTGTTTTGTGTCCTAATATATGATCTACCCTAGAGAATGTTCCATGTGCACTAGAGAAAAATGTGTATTCTGCTCTTGTTAGGTGTAGTGTTCTATATATATCTGTCAGATCAATTGGTCTATACTGTTGTTCAAGTCCTCTGTTTTCTCAATGATTTTATATGCAGTTGTTCTATTCATGTATTAGTCTGTTCTTGCATTGCTATAAAGAAATACCTGGAATTGGATAATTTATATATGAAAGAGGTTTAATTGGCTCATGGTTCTGCAGGCTGTACAGGAAGTATGACAGCTTCTGGGGAGGCCTCAGGAAACTTTCACTCATGGTGGAAGATGAAGAAGAAGCAGGCACATCTTACATGGCTGGAACAGGGGAAAGAAAAGAGTGGGGAGGTGCTACACACTTTTAAACAACCAGATCTCATGAGAACTCTATCATGAGATAGCACTAGGGTGATGATGTTAAACCATGAGAAGTCACCTTCATGATCCAATCACTTCCCACCAGGCCCCACCCACAACACTGAGAATTGCAATTCAACATGAAATTTGGGTGGGGACACAGATCCAAACCATACCAATCCATAAGTGAAAAATAGTACTAAAATATCCAACTATTATTGTAGAGCTGTCTATTTCTCCCTTCAATTCATCAATATTTCCTTCATAGATTTAGGAGATCTGATATTTGGTGCATATATGTTCATAATTGTTACATCTTCTTGAAGAATTGATCTTTTTATCATTATACAATGTCCTTAGACCTTAAACTATAAATATCCCATAAGAGACTCTAGAAAATATCCTTCTAGACATTGGCCTAGGCAAAGACTTTATTACTAAGTCCTCAAAAGCAAATACAACAAAAACAAAAATTGACAATTGGGACCTAGTTAAACTAAAAATCTTCTGCACATCAAAATAAACTGTCAACAGAGTAAATAGACAACCTACAGAATGAGAGAAAGTATTTACAAACTATGTACCCAACAAAGGACTGATATCCAGAATCTGCAAGAGAGTTAAACAAATTAACAAAAATAAATAAATAGCACCATTTAAAAGTGGGCAAAAAACATGAAAGACAGTTTCAAAAAAAGACAGAGAAGCATCTGAGAAACATATGGAAAAAATGCTCAACATCACTAATTATGAGAGAGATGCAAGTCAAAACCACAGTGAGATATCATCCCATACCAGTCAGAATGGCTATTATTAAAAAGTCAAAAAATAACAGATGTTGGTGAGATACTGGAGAAAAGTGTATGCTTATACACTGTTGATGGAAATGCAAATTAGTTCAGCACCTGTGGAAAGCAGTTTGTAGATTTCCTAAAGAACTAAAAGTAGAATTACCATTCAACCCAGCAATCCCATTACCCAGGTATATATCCAAAGGAAAATAAATCATTCTACCAAAAAGACACCCGCACTCATATGTTTATCACAGTACTATTTATTCACAATAGCAAAGACATGGAATTAATCCAGGTGCCCATCAATAGTGGATTGAATAAAGAAAATGTGGTACATATACATCACGGAATACTATGCAGCCATAAAAAATAACAAAATTATGCCCTTTGCAGCAACATGGATGCAGCTGGAGGCCATTAATCTAAGCAAATTAACGTAGAAGCAGAAAACCAAATACCTCATGTTCTCACTTGTAAGTGGGAACTAAACATTGGGTACACATGGACACAAAGATAGGAACGATAAACACTGGGGATTCCAAAACGGGGAGAGAGAGGGAAGGAGACGGGAAAGGGTTGAAAAACTACCTGTTGAGTACTATGTTCACCACTTAAGTGATGAAATCATTAGAAGCCCAAACCTAGATTAGAGCATCACGCAATATACTGATGTAACAAACCTGTACATGTTCCTCAACCCCAAAATTTTAAAAAAAATGTAAAAATCTGTCCTTGTGTACAATATGATCAGTGATGTGTGCAGGTGCAGGTAAACGTACATCTTTCATGCCTATAGTATTCGCATATGACTTTATACAAATGTTTGGATCTGCGTTGCAAGTGGAATAAACCCCTTCAAAAATTTTTTTTAGTTGGTTGCTGCAGTTTCTTAACTGGTTTCTAGAGTTCTCACAAAGCTATTTTTGTGCAGTGTTGTTATTTATTCAGTGTTTCCTTGGGGGATCCTGGAGCTTCCTAAACTGCCATCCCGCTTGTCATTAGTTTTTATTTTAAATATTCTGATAGCTGTATAGTGCTATCTCAAAGTGGATTTAATTTGCATTTCTCAAATGGTTACTGATGTTGAATGATGTTTTTATATGCTTATCTGCCATCCCTTTGCTCTCTTTCAGTGAATTGTCTGTTCATGTCTTTTGCCCATTATCTAATTGGATTTTTGCTTGGTTTTGCTTTATACTGTCAAATATAATATTTCTTTATGTATTCTAAATACAATTTTTTGGGTCAAATACATATTAGCAAAGATTTACTCCAAGTCTATAAATTGCCTTTTTATCTGAACTGTGTATTTTGTCAAACAAAAGTTTTTTCTTTTCATGAGGTCTAATTTTTCAGTTTTTCCTTTTGTCAATTGTGTTTTTGGTTTAAAATCTGTAACTCTATCCATAGCCCTAGCCCATAATCCATTTTGAGATAATTTTTTAACGAATTGTGAGGTTTAGGTTAAGGTGTTTCTTTGTTTTATCTTTGTTTGATTTTGACAGACATGGTCTCACTCTGTTACCCTGGCTGGAGTTCAGTGGTGCAATCATAGCTCACTGCAACCTCAACCTCCTGGGCTCAAGGGATCCTCCTGCCTCAGCCTCCCAAGTAGCTAGGACTACAGGTATGCACCAACATGCCTGGCTAACTTTTATTTTTATTTTTTGTAGAGATGAAGTCTTGCTATATTGCCTAGGCTGGTCTGGAACTCCTGGCCTCAAGTGAGCCTCCTGCCCTGGCCTCTCAGAGGACTGGGATTATAGGCATAAGCCACCATGCCCAGGCAACACTATTTGTTGAAAAGGCTTTCCTTCCATTGAGTTACTTTTGCACCTTTAAAAATATCAGCTAGGCATATTTGTGTAGGTCTACTTCCGGGTTCTCTAGTATTTTCCACTTATCTATGTGTCTATTCCTCCAACAATACCACACTCTCTTGATTGCCTTAGCTATGTGATATTCATTGTTTTATACGTGTGTGTGATTGTATGTGTGTGTGTATTAAGAGGCAGGGTCTTGCTCTGTTTTCCAGGCTGTAGTGCAGTGATGGGATCATAGCTCACTGCAGCCTCAAACTTCTGGGCTCAAGAAAACCTCCCACCTCAGCCTTTCGGGTAGCTAGGACTACAGGCATGTACCACCAGTAATTTTATATATATAAAATTTTGTAGAGACAAGGTCTCACTATATTGCCCAGGCTGGTCTTATACTCCTGGCCTCAAGCGATCCTCCCATCTCGGCCTCCCAAAGCACTAGGATTACTGGCATGATCCACAACATTTGGCAGGCCTGTGTTTTTTCATATAACTTTTCGAATAAATTTGTCTATGTCTACAAAAAAAAATTTTTTGGAATTTTTGTAGAAATTGCATTAAACTTGGTTGGTGCAAATGTAATTGCAGTTTTGCCATTACTTTTATTTTTTATTTTTTTTTAATTTTTTAGTATTTATTGATCATTCTTGGGTGTTTCTCGGAGAGGGGGATTTGGCAGGGTCATAGGACAATAGCGGAGGGAAGGTCAGCAGATAAACATGTGAACAAGGGTCTCTGGTTTTCCTAGGCAGAGGACCCTGTCGCCTTCCGCAGTGTTTGTGTCCCTGGGAACTTGCGATTAGGGAGTGGTGATGACTCTTAACCAGCATGCTACCTTCAAGCATCTGTTTAACAAAGCGCATCTTGCACCGGCCTTAATCCATTTAACCCTTCGTGGACACAGCACATGTTTCAGAGAGCACGAGGTTGGGGGTAAGGTTATAGATTAACAGCATCCCAAGGCAGTAGAATTTTTCTTAGTACAGAACAAAATGGAGTCTCCTATGTCTACTTCTTTCTACACAGACACAGTAACAATCTGATCTCTCTTTCTTTTCCCCACATTTCCCCCTTTTCTATTCGACAAAACCGCCATCGTCATCATGGCCCGTTCTCAATGAGCTGTTGGGTACACCTCCCAGACGGGGTGGCGGCTGGGCAGAGGGGCTCCTCACTTCCCAGAAGGGGCGGCCAGGCAGAGGCGCCCCCCATCTCCCGGATGGGGCGGCTGGCCGGGCGGGGGCTGCCCCCCACCTCCCGGACAGGTGGCTGCCGGGCGGAGACGCTCCTCACTTCCCAGACAGGGCGGCTGCCGGGCAGAGGGGCTCCTCACTTCTCAGACGGGGCGGCCGGTCAGAGACGCTCCTCACCTCCCAGACGGGGTGGCGGCGGGGCAGAGACACTCCTCAGTTCCCAGACGGGGTCGCGGCGGGGCAGAGGCGCTCTTCACATCTCAGACAGGGCGGCGGGGCAGAGGCGCTCCCCACATCCCAGACGATGGGCGGCCAGGCAGAGACGCTCCTCACTTCCTAGACGGGATGACGGCCGGGAAGAGGTGCTCCTCACTTCCCAGACTGGGCGGCCGGGCAGAGGGGCTCCTCACATCCCAGACTATGGGCGGCCAGGCAGAGACGCTCCTCACTTCCTAGAGGGGGTGGTTGCTGGGCAGAGGCTGCAATCTCGGCACTTTGGGAGGCCAAGGCAGGCGGCTGGGAGGTGGAGGTTGTAGCGAGCCGAGATCACGCCACTGCACTCCAGCCTGGGCAACACTGAGCACTGAGTGAGCGAGACTCCGTCTGCAATCCCGGCACCTCGGGAGGCCGAGGCTGGCAGATCACTCACGTCAGGAGCTGGAGACAAGCCCGGCCAACACAGCGAAACCCCGTCTCCACCAAAAAATACGAAAACCAGTCAGGAATGGCGGCGCGCGCCTGCAATCCCAGGCACTCGGCAGGCTGAGGTAGGAGAATCAGGCAGGGAGGTTGCAGTGAGTCGAGATGGCGGCAGTACAGTCCAGCCTCGGCTCGGCATCAGAGGGAGACCGTGCAGAGGGAGACGGAGACAAGAGGGAGGGGGAGGGGGAGGGAGAGGAGGAGGGAGAGCTTGCCATTACTTTTAATGGTAAAAATCGCAATTATGTTTGCACCAACCTAATAGATCAACCTAATAGATCAATAGTTCATCTTTACTATGTTGAGTCCTCCAATCCATAAACATGATGTCTCTTTACTGACTTAGGGCTCCTTTGATTTATTTCATCAGCATTTTATAAATTTCAGCCTAGAGATTCTGCATGTATTTTGTTAAATTCATACACATGTATTTCACTTTTGTTGTAAATGGTATTGTGCTTCTCATTTCGGTTTCTACATGTTAGCATATAGAAATGGGATTGGTTTTTGTGTTTTGATCTTGTATCCTGAAAACCAGCTGAACTCACTTCTTAGTTCTGGGAGTTTTTTTTTAATTACCTGAGATTTTACGTAGACAATCACGTCATTTGCAAATAGGAGTGGTTTTTATTTCTTTCCTTTCCCTATGAATGCATTGTACTGCATTTTCTTGCCTATTGCCTTACTGAAGCAGCTAGAGCTTCCAGTACCATACTGAATAAGAGTGGTGAGAACAGCTTACATGCCTTCTTCCCAATCTTGGGGGGAAAGCATTCAGTTTATCACCATTAAGTATGATGTTAGCTGTAGGGTTTTTGTAGATTATATTGATTGATTTCAAATGTCGAATCAGGCTTGCAACTCTGGATTAAATCCCACTTGGTGATGGTATATAATTCTTTTTATACTTTGTTGGAGTTAATTTTCTAAGATTTTTGCATCTAAGCTCATGAGAGATATTGGTCTATGGTCTTTGATATTGTTTGGCTCTGTGTCCCTACCCAAATCTCATGTTGAATTGTAATCCCCAGTGTTAAAAGAAGGGCCTGGTGGGAGGTGATTAAATCATAAGGGTGGTTTCTAATGGTTTAACACCATATCCCTAGTGCTGTCTCATGATAGAGTTCTCATGAGATCTGATTGTTTGAAAGTGTATAGCATTTCCCCCTTCACTTGCTCTCTCTTCTGCTGGCCATGTGAAGATAAGCCTTTTTCCACTTCACCTTCCACCATGATTATAAGTTTTCTAAGGCTTCCCCAGAAGTAGAAGCCTGTACAGCCCACAGAACTGTGAGCCAATTAAACATCTTTTCTTTATAATTTACAAAGTCTCAGGTTTGTCTTTATATCATGTGAAAGCGGATTAATACAATCTTCTTTCTTTGTATTGTCTTTGTCTAGCTTTGCCATCAGGTAATTCTGGCATGGTGGCTCATTTCTGTAATCCCAGAACTTTGGGAGGCCAAGGCTAAGGAATGCTTGAGGGCAGGAGTTTGAGATCAGCCTGGGCAACACAGTGAGGCTCCATCTCTACCAAATATATATATTCTCACTCTCTAACATATATATATATACACATGTATGTGTGTGTGTGTGTGTGTATATGTATATGTGTATGCATGTATATATATATAGAGAGAGAGAGAGAGTAAAATTTCTGTATTTGTGTTAATTATTTTTAAATGTTTGGTAAGATACTCCAATAAGACTGTTGGACCTAGAGATTTCTTTTCTGAGTGTTTTTGAATTACAAATTCAATTTATTTAATGGTTATAGTTCTATTCAGATTATCTATTCCATCATAGTGAGTGTGGTGTTTGTGAATTTCAAGGAATTAGTCTATCTTTTCTAAGTTGTTGAATTTGTGAACACGAAGTTGTTTATAATATTTCCTTATTACCATTTTAATGGGCCAAGTA
This sequence comes from Homo sapiens, assembly GCF_000001405.40. NCBI lineage: Eukaryota > Metazoa > Chordata > Mammalia > Primates > Hominidae > Homo > Homo sapiens. Next base: position 31,182,229 of record NC_000015.10, on the reverse strand, counting down.
TGTGTAGCAATATTTTCTTATTTATTTATTTAGCTGAAAAAAGTGTGCATGATATAGTGATATTTTCTATTTCATTCCTGTTATTGGTGATTTGTGTCTTCATTCTTTTTATATTTATTGGTTTTGCTAGAGGTTTATCAATTCTATGGATTTTTTAAGAACAGGTTTTTTGTTTTATTGATTTCATTTTTTGTTTTCAATTAATGGATTTCTGCACTTGTTAGTTTCTTTCTTCGGCTTGCTTTGGTTTTATCTTGCTATTTTCTCTGTACATTTTTGAAACAAGATCTCAGAGTATTATATTGAAAGTTTTTCTATTTTCTACTGTAAGCATTTAGTGGTTTAAATTTCCTTCTCAACATTGCTTTATCTGCAGTCCATAAATCTTATATGTTGTGTTTTTATTTTTATTAAGTTCCATGTATTTCTTCCTTTGAGACTTCCTTTGATTCATAGATTACTTAAATGTTTGTTGTTTAATTCCCAAGTGTTTAGAAATTTTCTTGTTATGTTACTGTAATTTTTAGTCTATTTCAATTATAGTCAGAGAACACACTTTGCATTATTTCAATTTTTAAAAATTTGTTGTTCTGATGCAGTGGTTCATGCCTGTCATTGCAGCACTTTGGGAGGCAGAGGTAGGAGGATTGCTCAAGGCCAGGAGTTCGAGATCAGTCTGGACGGTATAGCAAGACCTGTCTCTATATAACAATTTTAAAAATTAGCCAGACATGGTAGTACACACCTAAAGTCCTAACTATTCGGGAGGCTGAGGTGGGAAGAATGCTTGGGTCTGGGAGTTTGAGGTTACAGTTCAGCCTGGACAACAGAGGGACTCTGTCTCAAAAAAATTTTTTTTGTTGATATCTGTTTTGTGGCCCAGGATACAGTCACTCCTGTTGAATGTTTCATAGGTGCTTGAGAAAAAATTATATTGTACTGTTTTGGGGTAGAGTGTTCTATATTTGTTCATTAGATCCTGTTGGCAAATCATTTTGTTCAGATCTTCTGTATTCTTGCTTAGTTTCTGTACAGTAGTTCTTTTGGTTGCTGACAGGGAGGTGTTAAAGTCTCTAGCTACAACTATAGACTTGCCTATTTCTTTCTTTCTTTTTTTTTTTTTTTCAAGATGGAGTCTTGCTCTGTCACCCAGGCTGGAGTGCAGTGGCGTGATCTCAGCTCACTGCAACCTCTGCTTCCCAGGTTCAAGGAATTCTTCTGTCTCAGCCTCCCAAGTAGCTGGAATTACAGGTGCCAGCCACCACACCCAACTAAGTTTTGTATTTTTAGTAGAGACAGGGTTTCACCATGTTGGCCAGGCTAGTCTCTAACTCCTGACCTTGTGATTTGCCCACCTCAGCCTCCCAAAGTGCTGGGATTACAGGTGTGAGCCACCACTCTCAGCCTACTTGCCTATTTCTTTATTTTCTCTCTGTTAATCAGATTGGGTAAATTCTATTGATCTGTCCTAAAGTTCTGATTCTATCCTCTGTTGTGTCCACTTCACTATTTAGTCCATCCAGTGAATTTTTATTTCTTTTGTTGTATTTTTCAGTTCTATAATTAGTTCTTTTTTAATAACTTCTATTACTTTGCTTAGATTTTCCTTTTTTCATTTATTTCAAGAGAATTTGTAGTTAATCATTGAATCACTTTTATGATTGTTTTTAAAGTTTTGTCAAATTGACCAGGCGTGGTGGCTCATACCTGTAATCCCAGCACTTTGGGAGGCAGAGGCAGGCAGATCACTAGAAGTCAGGAGTTTGAGATCAGTCTGGCCAACATGGCGAAACCCCATCTCTACTAAAAATATGAAAAAATTTAGCCAGGCATGGTGGTTCATGCCTGTAATCCCAGCTACTGGGGAGGCTGAGGCAGAAGAATCATTTGAATCCAGGAAGTGGAGGTTGCAGTGAGCCAAGATTGTGCCACCGCACTCCAGCCTGGGTGACAGAGTGAGACTCTGTCTCAAAAGAACTAAAACAAAATAAGATAAAATAATTGTTTTATTAAATAATTCCAACATCTGATTCATCTCACTGTGGGTATCAGTTTGTCGCTTTTCTCATTTAAGTTGCAATTTTTCTGGTTGTTGATATGACAGATGACTTTCTATTGTGGCCTGGAATTTTGAGTCTTAGATTAGGAAATTCCAGGTCTTATTTAAACTTTTTATTTTAGTAGGCAACTACCCTGTTTAGGTTTAGCAATGCAGGTGTGACCTACTTTTGTGGGCTGTGGTTGCAATAACATCTAATTTTCAGAGACTTTGCTGTGCTTTTTTAGACTGCTTGATTTTTCTCATGAGCCTGGGGCTCCTACTGGTCCCTGCAGGTACTGATTGAGGGAGCAGAAGGAATTTCCTCAGACATGCTCCCTGGTGCTTCCTAGGTGAAGGAAGTGTGTCTCCAGCCACAGAGGGGAAGAGTGCTTCCTAGGCTAGGTACTTGTTGCAGTGAGGGCACTTCCTCCTTGATAATGCCACCCATTGCCTGGTATATTTATCTCAGCATCAGTCTCAAGGGAGGGAAGAGAGTCACAGTCTTGCAGAGACAAAGAAGTTTCCCAGGCTGGGTGCTTGTTACGGTGGGATCCTCTTTGCTGACCCCCGTGACCCACAGGCTGCATGGTTTCTGCGCTGAGGAATGGAATCTCAGACCTGACAGGGCAGGAGAGCGCGTCCTCTGGCAGCAGAGGGTCTGCTGGGCTTGTGATGGATCTCCCCGGCCAGTTCTGCTGGGCTCGCCTGGTGTTGTCAGTGGGACTCCAGCTCCCACTATGGGAGAAATGAGCCAACCCTGGCCACCTAATCCTGGTGGCAGGAAACACTAGGCCTGGGTCATTGTTTTATACCTGGGAAGGAGTTGTAAGGTGCCCACCTCTATGCTGTTTATCCAGTCCTGTGGCCCAACCAGTTTGCCTTCATCTTACAGCCTTTCCAAGTGCTCGTTTGGTTGTCTCTTGTGTTATTTCCAGGGTGTATCTAGTTGGGAGAAGCAAGAGGAAACAAGTTTAAACTATCTTATCTAGACAGGAAATCCAGCTCTGATTATTATTGTTTGAAGCCACTAAATTAGGGGGCAATTCGTTACACAGCCAGAGTAACTGGAACACTCTTTAATAAAAAATATCAAAATATCCTACTTTTGTAAATACATGAAACAAAACCGTGCAAGAATGTTGCTAGAGCCATTTCCAGGGTGGAAAGTTCCTGGGCAGGTGAAGGTCCCTGAGAGGAAACTCCGTCGGCTTCTTGATGGACCTGCACTGTCTGCGGCTTGTGTTTGAACAGCAGCAGTGAGCCATTCTGCCTGGGCCTTTGTGGGGACTCAGAGGTAAAATATAGAAAGCCCAGCACGTGGGTGGTGCTTGGCAAATTACTTCCTTCTCTTTTGCTCTATGCAGTTTTTAAGTTTCTCAGTTACATCTGTAATTAAGTATTTTTTATCCACAGAGTACATTTTTACTACTCTCAAGTAATTCCCTATTTTCATTAAGTCCCAAATTAAGCTGAGATCAATATCCCTGAGTGTGAAGGATCAGGGTCATTTGCAGTCCATGTGGCATGTTCCTAGTGCACATTATATCCTATGGGGGTGGCCTCTTGTGAAGTTTTTCTCATATTTGGTCAAGCAAACCCCCATGAGGATCATTTTTTGGAGCCTCGATTGACAGTATATAAGAAAAAAATTGCAGAATGGTGAGATAACAAGTGAGGTGCTTTTCTCAGTGCCTGGAAGCCTGGCGGTGAGCAGTCCAGGACACAGACAGGGGCTCTGTAACACCTCCAGGGCCAGGCTCCACAGCTCTGCACCTCACCCTGTCTGGAAAATGGTTTTCATTCTCCTGCTTGAAAATAGGCTCCTCCTGTGGCACTGGATTGAGTCTGAGCTCCAGGCAGGAAAGGAAGACGGAGAGGGAAGTAACAAGGAGGATGAAGGCCACCTCACCAGGAGTGTAGGAGAGTCCCCCAGCGGGACACATCCTCCCACACCTCCCTGAAAGGGAAATGGGCACATGTTTCTCCAAACAGAAGCTCCCAGGGCGGGGAGTGGGGGAGGAAGGCTGGGAAGGTCACTGTGCTTGTGCTACTGACTCTGACAGTATCCTGTAGGGCGTAACGACTCAGCCAGTCCTGAATCCTCCTGGCCAAGGTATCATCCAGCTTCTTGCTACTCAAAAGTGTGGTTTGAGGACCACAGCATAACATCCCCTAGGAGTTCACTAGAAACTGGGTGTTAACAAGATCCCCAGGAGACTCACATGCACATTACAGATAGGAGTGCACTGGCCTGCTGCGCCACTTTGTCTTCTAAAAGACGTGATGAGGTCATGCAGTGCCAGGCTCCACACAGATTGCAGATTGGAAGCACTCTGTTCTGGCTGCCTCAGTCTCCTGGAGTCTACACTGGTTCTGATTATGGCCACCTGAATCTGCCTTGTTGGAGCAGTAGGAGGCAGACGTTAGTTAGAGGATATTGATACAGACAGTAGGGTATAGATGGTGCAGTATAGGCAGTGGGATATAGATATGCAGGTAGTAGATGCAGACATTAGGATGCAGGTAGTAGCTGTGGACAGTAGAGTGTAGGTACTTGGATATAGGGGCCAGGCAACATGGCTCACGCCTGTAATCCCTGCACTTTGGGAAGCCTAGGCAGGCGGATCATGAGGTCAGGAGTTCAAGACCAGTGAACTCCGTGAAACCCCGTCTGTACTAAAAATACAAAAATTATCTGGGCATGGTTGTGCACGCCTGTAGTCCCAGCTACTCAGGAGGCTGAGGCAGGAGAATTGCTTGAACCCGGGAGGTGGGGGTTGCAATGAGCTGAGATCATGCCACTGCACTCCAGCCTGGGCAACAGAGCAAGACTCTGTCTCAAAAAAAAAAAAAAAAAGATGTTAGATATAGGTAGCAACCTAATAACACCATATCTACTATCCCTACTGTAGACAATAGGGTATAGACATTAGGACACAGGGAGTAGGTACAGGCAGTAGATTGTAGATATTAAGATACAGGTAGTAGATACAGATGGTAGAGTATAGACATTAGGATACAGGTATCCTAATTAGTATTAGTATACAGGTAGTATACTAACACTGTATCTACTAACACTATCCCTGCTATAGACAATAGGGTATAGACATTAGCACACAGGTAGTAGGTATAGACAGTAGAGTGTAGACATTAGCACACAGGTAGTAGGTATAGACAGTAGAGTGTAGACATTAGCACACAGGTAGTAGGTGTAGACGGTAGGGTGTAGACATTAGGATGCAAGCAGTTAGTATAGACGTAGAGCATAGACATTAGGACACAGGTAGTAGGCATAGAAAGTATACACATTAACGCAGGTCATAGGTGTAGACAGTAAGGTGTTTGTTGATGGTGGGCCATGGGCAGACAAAGTGTAGACAGTATAGTACAGAGAGTAGCTGTAGACAGTAGGGTGTCACTGTGGGGTGGTTATGAAGGCCCACAGGGATGGGGTGAATACGGAGAACACAGCATGCCAAATCTCTGCTATTTTACCCTCGTCACATTTTAAATTCAGGATTATAAATTAAATTATTAATAATTCAGTAACAAAACAAATGGTGCTTCTCTGCACACTGTTGTATGTATTTGCCTTCTTTCCCTTTTATGTAACCTGCTGAATAAGCTGGGTGTGTTGTATAGTGCGTTGCATAGCTGGTTCATTGTCCAGAGCTATATTGGCCAAGACCATAACCAAAGCCTGCTTTCTGGATTAGTATCAATGCCGGAGTGGAAGATCTGTGGGCCTTACTGATTAATATAAAGATTTCAGTGGCCGGGTGTGGTGGCTCACACCTGTAATCCTAGCACTTTGGGAGGTCAAGGCGGGTGGAACACCTGAGGTCAGGAGTTCGAGACCAGCCTGGCCAACACGGCGAAACCCGGTTTCTAGTAAAAATACAAAAATTAGCCAGGCGTGGTGTCACACGCCTGTAATCCCAGCTACTAGGGAGGCTGAGGCAGGAGAATCACTTGAGCCTGGGGGACGGAGATTGCAGTGCGCTGAGATCACACCACTGCACTCCAGCCTGGGCGAAAGGGCGAAATTCTGTCTCAAAAAAAAAGAAAAAGAGATTTTCAGAACCCAGATCTTCTTCCTCTTGCTCCTCAAAGTCACCCCCACTTAGGCCCTGATGCTTTGAGTGAGGGGCCCATTTCAGGAACTGGAACTCACAATCCTTGTGCTGGCTGCAACCCAGGGTCCTGTTGGAGCAAGAAGAGCCCAGGACAGGTGGGAGCCAACCCTGTCCAGTGTTGACATCATCCAGAGATGACATCATATGATACGGTATGGTATGGCATGGCATGATATGGCATGATACGGTATGATATGATATGACACAGTATGATGATATGACACAATACGACGATATGACAATGATTAAACCTTGGTGCCAAGACCTACAGCCTCCTCAGTGAGCTTTTCCAAGCCTCTCAGCAGAGAGGGCGGTACCCCACCAGCTCCTCCAGGCCTGGTGGTGCCAGTCAGGCATGGGAGGCAGGGCTCGCTGGCTGGGGGCCAGGATGGACCTTGCCTCCAATCCCAGGGTGACTCCCGGTTGCTGTGGAGGGGAGATTAAGAGGTCACTTTGGTGGCCCACCAGAAAATGACCACACTTCGGTCACTCCTTGGGACACCCAAGTGGCAGCTCTGCTCTTAGCCACCTACGGTGGGGTTTCTTTTCACTCTTCCTCTCTCGGTTTTATGCTTTCAAAAATTTGATGACATTTCTGGAGTTCTGAGTTTTGGAGTTTCATGGGATTTACAGCCATGCATGAGTTCTTGGATGCATTAAACAAAATGAGTCTGTTGGGGTCGTTTCTTCTCTAAAATGCTCATCTCAAGAAATCTTCCAGGATTTTATTTTCACATCTAATGAAGAACAATGGGCAATGTTTCAACAATCAGATTTTCAAAAGAGTTCACTCAAATTATGCTGCGTCTTTCAAATGAGCTCTTCCACTCTCTTCTTTTGGGGAGAACACAATTACTAGATTCTGTCAGAGTTAAAAGTGGGTATTTTGTGGTTTCCATACAACGAGTGTGGTTTTATTATTATTTTTAACTATGCAAGCCTCAAGAAAAATCAGAAGCAGGGAGAGATGACTGAGCCACGACTGGTCACTGCAAGCGTCACGAGGCAGCAAGAAGACCCTATGCTTCCTGACTCCGTGGGGCCTTTAGCTTCCACTTCCTTCACTGGCTCTAGAGAGACCCCTCAGAGACAAGGACCACCTTTCAGACCCCTCTGTCCATTTTACAGCACTAACGGTGTGCAGGCCTATGACAGGGGCCCATGGTGGTGGAGTATGAGGCTTGGTTACCATTTGTCAAAACAATATCGAGTGCATGTATGCACGGCATCAAATTCACCCTGTCCTGGCGACCACCACAGCCCCCAGCCCCTATGAGTACACACAGGTAGCTTCTCCCTGAAGCAAGTGAAGCTCAAACTTGATGTGCAACCCCAGCCCTGCCAAGGCTTTGCACCTAATTACGCATTTGTAAGTTTGTGTTCATTTTCTTCAAGAGGGTCACCCAATTGCACAGGATTCATGCCTGGCTAAACCTGGATCTGCTTTTAGTGTGCACCCAGAAGGCCCAGAAGCACAGGGAAAGAGGTGGCGATAAGCAGCAGTCCCTGCCAGGAGCCAATCAGTTACAGACCTGGATGGCACTGAAACTGACCCTGGGACCCCATGTGCCCTGGCTCTCAGCCTCAGTGTGGGCAGGAGAAAGGGGATGAGCCCACTGATCAAGCACTGTGACAAATGATCCTTGCAGCACTCCCAGACATGGGTGAGAAAGTGAGAGAAGAGTGGGAGGGGGTGGCCTAGAATGGCTCAGCAACAGCAAACCAGACCCTAAAATCCTGCCCGGGACTTTCCCACTGCACCAGGTGTCCACCTAAGTGGCAGCCCAGGGTCCTGGCAGGAGGCCTGGGAGGAAGACCTGGCATGGCAGCTGTCCTTATTTCCTTGTTCCCTGCAAGAGAAGGAGGAGTGCACTGCATTCACAGTCCTTCCCACACACCATGGTGTTGGAGAGCAAAGGACACAGCAGCCTCAGATGAGGGCCACTATTAGCATGAAAATTTATATGACATGGTATGACATGACGTGATGAGATGAGAGATGAGATCATATGATACAGTATGGTATGACATGGTATGGCATGGCATGATGTGGCATGATATGGTCTGATATGATATGACAGTATGATGATATGATACAATATGATGATATGACATGATATATGACATAATATGATGTGACATGATGTGATATGACATGATATGATATGACATGGTGATATGACATGATATATAATATGGTATGATATGTTCTGACATGATATGATATGACACAATATGATATGATGTGATATGACATGATATGATGATATGATACTCTTGAACATAGAGTGTTTGGATGATCGCAAAGTCAGGCCCACGAGGCCCCTTCTCGAGGGATTCACCTCAGGTGTTAATTGGCCCCACAAACAGATCTGGAATTGAGTGGGAGAAGAGGGGTGTGCTTGCCCTCCCGCCTAGCACTGGCTCTTCTGTTGGATGTTGTTATGGGCTGAATGGCATCCCCTCCTGAAGTTCTTTGTTGAAATCCTAACTCCCATACCTCAGAACGTGACCTTATTTGGACATTGGGTCTTCACAGAGGCCCTCAAATTAAGACGAGGTCACTGGGGTAGGCCCTCATCCAGCATGACAGATGTCCACTTAAGAAGAGGAAATTTGGACGAAACACACTGGGAGAACACCTCGTGCAGATGAAGCCAAGGAATACCAAAGATCGCCAGCGAAACACCAGCAGCGGGGGAGAGGCCTGGGGCAGATTCTCCCTCACGGCCCAAGAGGCACCAACCCTGCTGACACTGCCTCATACCTCCCACCTCTGGAACTGAGACAGAGGAAATGTCTGTCCTTTAAGTCCCCCAGTCTGTGGTCCTTTGTTAAGGCATTCCCAGGAGACCACCTCAAATGGGACTAAAGTGTGCCTGGGCAGGGACTCACCACTGGGGCTAGGCCTGCATGGCCTCAGGCTTGCTGAATCCAGCCTCACCTGCCCACACCAGCATCTTCCCAGGGGCGGGCTCTAGGGTACCGGACCAGATCACCTTAGGGTGCCTCCTTTCTTCATAGGGTGCCTCCTTTCTCCTGATATGTGTTGAACACCTCCACTGGTCCCAGCCCTGTGCTGGGAATTGCAGGTGCGAGGCCCATCCCTTCTCGGGGTCAGGGAGAGAGGGCTTTGTTTGGGCATGGGTGCTGGGCATGGCCTGGAGGAGAAGGGAGGACAGGCGCAGCTGTGACCAGAGGCTGACTGGAACCCCAGCAGCCCTAAGGGGGCCCAAGGCCGCTGAGCCCTGGCTTTCCCACCCACAGGGTGGAGGCAAGCCCTAGCGGGCACAGATTTTGTGCTTGGTGTCAGGAACAGGCCTGCAGGGGTGGACAAGAGACAAGTCCCTGAAAACACTTGGCCTGCTAGAGACCCCCAGGCGCAGTGCCCCCCATCCAGGGCATGTTCTTTCATCCTTTTGCTCTCCTTTTCAGAAGAAGTACTTACCATCAGTGCTAAGCTAAGCGTCTGCTGCTTTCAGAGCCCAGTGGGGTGGCTTGGTTCCCAGGCATGTTTTCCATATAAAACTGAAATTTCTTATCCATTTTCCCCCGAGCCTTTTAAAAGCTCAGCTACAACATCAAATGGCACACGTATAATTATTTCGTACACAAAAGAGGTCCTACCAAAGCTGGGGTGACCCGCAGCCCGGCCTCCACTCCCTGGGCCAGTGCTTAACCAGCACTTGAGGTGATCCCTGGGTAGGGGCCGGGCCAGTCCAGGTGCAGAGCCAGAGGAGGGTGGTGAGGCCTGCAGGGGACATGCTTCCCTCAGCTCCCCTCTCTTCTGAGAGATGGGAAAGTGGGTTGGGGGAGGCTGGGGTCCAGGGAGGCAAGGCCCACACCATGGAGGGGCCATTGGAGGCAGCTAGGCCAGGCCAGGGTGCCCCTCACCCACCCACCCAGCTTGCGCTTCCAGGAAAACGTGGTTCAGAGCACCATCTTTCCACCCTTGGGTTCACTTGCCTGCTTACTGTTGGGCCAGCAACAGGTTCTGAGCACCTCTTGTGCCATGGGCTGGGCCAAAGTCACCCAGAGCTGATACCTCCCGCATGGCGCCACTGTGAGTGCCTCCAAGAACTCAGGCTGGCAGAGTGGGAAGCAGGCAGCTTGAGGAGCCGGAGGTGTAGGGGAAATGACTCTCGGGAGACTGCAGAGCTAGAGGGACACACGCCATACAGCTAAGGGGCCAGGGAACCTCCTCCAGGGTGTATGGGATGAATCATGTACCCCAGCATTTATATGCCGAAACCCTAACCCTGAGGGCGTCAGAAGGAAACTGTATTTGACAACAGTCTTTAAAGAAATAACTAAGTTTATGAGGTCTTTGGCATGGACCCTAATCTAATCTGACTGGTGTCTTTATAAGAAGAGGAAATTTAGTTTAGCCGGGCATGATGGCTCACACCTGTGGTCCCAGTGTCTCAGGAGGCTGAGGCAGGAGGATCACTTGAGCCCAGAAGCTGGAGTCTGCAGTGAGCCATGATTGGGCCACTGCACTCCAGCCTGGGTGACGAGACCCTGTCTCTAAAAGAAAAAAGAAAAAAAGAGGAAATTTGGACACAGATGTGCACAGAGAGACAGCCATGTGAGGACATAGGGAGAGGATGGCCAATTCTAAGCCAAGGAGAGAGGCCTCAGGAGAAACCAGCCCTGCCCACACCTCAGTCTCAGACCTCCAGTCTCCAGGACTGTGAGGCAATGACTTCCAATGTTGAAGACCCCCAGCCTGTGGTCCTTAGTCACAGCAGCCCAAGCTGATGACACGGACATCGGGAAGGTTGTCATATGCCTGGCGGAGGCCAGGGAAGGGACTGGCAGAAGCAGAGGAGTGAGTGTTAGCCTTACCCCCTCCCACCTCTGCAGGTACCCTTCATCTGCTGGGCAGACACAGGCAGGTTGCGGGAGGCTGGGGTCCATGGAGCCAAAGTCCACACCATGGAGGTGTGGCACCTCTTGATGCCAAATGAACCAATAATCCCCTAAGTAGTGATACCCTCTCCTCACTCTGGGCATGGTAACTATGCCTTTGAGCCCTTAGGAGCCAGCGACATGAATCAGGACCACCCTGGTCACTCTACCCTTGACAATTCATGGAGATCTCTAGGGAAAATGCATTTTTAATATTTGCAGATGTTTGTTTGTAGTATGTGGTTACAATTACCAAGTTGGATGCCTTCATCTAAACATGAGCCCCCAGAACCTCACACTGAAACGCAGTTTGCCTCCAATTTTTGCTCTGGGAGAGACATGCTCCTCTCGGGACAGGTCTGCATGCTCTTGAGAATGAACCCTGGCAGCTTCATGGTACACTAAGCTGCACTCCGGGGCTTGGGCAGAGCTTGGTGGTCCTCAGGCAGCCCCCTGGGAGGTGTGTTGGTGGGAGCCCCTCCCATGCACACACCTTCTTTGGTTCTGGGGTGCAGTAGCAAGATCAGGGGTCTAGTCTCACAGAAGAGAAATAATATGCACGTGACACACTGTCCACTGAGGCTTGGCAAGAGTGGTCCCTAGTCTCTGGGCCTACCCTGGCCCTGGAAGTAGGGAGGGTAGAAAGCAGTGACCCAGGGTGAGAGACACCAGATGTGACCTAGAGTAGCCGGGGTCTGGAGGAAGATAGAGGGCAAAGGGAAGGGACTGTGAGCTGTATTGCAGGAGGACAGGTCTCTGGCTGGCCTTGGCCAACCTAGCTCTTCCCCATCTGCTCATGGATCTTAAAATCACTGTGGAGTGTACTGAGGTTGCAACTGCCTGAGATAAGGAGGAGCTGCCCAGAACCGCCTGGGCAATGTTCTCGTCCCTCCTAGAACAGGATGTCCCAAATTGCTTGTGCTTAGTGATCCTAGTCACCCGTAGGGCATAAAACCCATTTGGGGTCTCTCAACTGTGGTGCGACTTGGGGCACACAATGATGAGACTCCATCTGCCCTGTGCAGCCTTCCTGAGCCTTAGAGGACTGGCTCACCATGAATTCTAGCAATAAATTCCATCTTTTCCAAATATCAGACACTCAACTAATAAATGTGAAAAATGTTAGAATGAAGCAGACTGTGTCTGTGGATGACTGTGCCCAAATTTGTCAAAATCAAGGCAGCCAGTCTGCTAGCCTCAAACCTTGATCATTGCAGCAATACCCTAAGCCTTAAATTAGGAAGCATTCTGCGGTTTACAAGGGACTCCCCCACATATTAGGACCTCTGACCAAAACAGTGGGCCATGTGGGGCTTTTGCAGCTATGGGGAAGGGAAGTCAACATGCCCAAAGCCCCACAGCTCTGCATAGCTGAGCCCAGGTCCCCTCCCAGCACAGAGCAGACTCTCAGAGAAGGTCCACCTGTCTCACGTCCTGTGACACAGTGGCAGGTGGGCAGCCAGATGGGCCACAGAGATGAGAAGTCATCCCCAACTCCGACACCGCAGGGCAGCCTCGGCCGCTCTCCCCGTACAGGTGCTCCCCCACTCTGTTCAGGGGCTCAGCTCTGGCCTGGCCCTGCATGCTCACTTTTTTTTTTTTTTTTTTTTTTGAGACGGAGTCTCGCTCTGTCGCCCAGGCCGGACTGTGGACTGCAGTGGCGCAATCTCGGCTCACTGCAAGCTCCGCCTCCCGGGTTCACGCCATTCTCCTGCCTCAGCCTCCCGAGTAGCTGGGACTACAGGCGCCCGCCACCGCGCCCGGCTAATTTTTTGTATTTTTAGTAGAGACGGGGTTTCACCTTGTTAGCCAGAATGGTCTCGATCTCCTGACCTCATGATCCACCCGCCTCGGCCTCCCAAAGTGCTGGGATTACAGGCGTGAGCCACCGCGCCCGGCCGCATGCTCACTTTTAATCCTGATTTGGGATGCTCCAAAATGCAGACCGCTAAGCCTGGGGGATGGAGCGAGAATAATCACGTTTGGGCTTAATGTGAAGTGAATTCTTTCCACTCTTTGGGGTCTGGAGATTTCTAATGGCACATTTAATGACATGAGCTCCCTCAGTCTGTTTTTGCAGAAAGTTTCGAGGCCATCCACTTTTAGAAGCATCCTGACCCCGACCCAGAGAAGAGCCCTCCTGCCGAGCTCTCCAGCCTGGGCTTTCTCTGGGTGCTGCTACCATGAGACTCTTCTCTTCCTTGGCCTCAAACCATCGAAGACATTTTGTTCCCTGACAAACCAATTTACACGTTTTTAAGGGGAAAACTACAGGGCAACATGAAGAGGGAGATGGCAGGAGAGACAGACACAGACAGGCAGAGAAAGAAAACAATAGATAGAGAAATATAGATAAATAGATATAGATAAATAAAAATAAATAAAAAACAATAGATAAAGAAAACAAGATAGAGAGAAAGATACAGATGGGAAGAGATTGAAGCACAGGTATCTGTTGGCAAAAATGATGCCCTTAGTGAAAATCAGTGGCTCCTGCTACTAGCCAGACATGCTGAATATGACCACTACACAGCCCGAGCCACCTCATCTGACCCATGGCAGTCGGAGCTGGTCCATTAGAGTTCTTTATCTGCGGTCCCCAGGTGGCCTCAATGTCTTTCCAACACAGAGCGGCAGGCAACCACGACTGTGTATTTGACAGGTAGCTCTCTCAGAGCAGTCATTTTATTCTTCCTGGTAAGTGTTCACATGCATGTCCTCCTGGCAGAAGGTGAGCTCCTTGCTGGCCGGAATTGTGTCTTTCTTTTCTTTCTTTCTTTCTTTCTCTCTTTTTCTTTTCTTTCTTTCTTTTTCTTTCTCTCTCTCTCTTTCTTCTTTGTTTGTTTCTTTCTTTCTCTCTCTCTCTCTTTCTCTCTCTCTCTGTCTCTCTCCTTCCTTCCTTCCTTCTTTCTTTCTTTCTTTCACGGAGTCTCGCTCTGTCACCCAGGCTGGAGTGCAGTGGCATGATCTCGACTCACTGCAAGCTCCACCTCCCGGGTTCATGCCATTCTCCTGCCTCAGCCTCCCGCGTAGCTGGGACTACAGGCGCCCGCCACCACGCCCGGCTAATTTTTTGTATTTTTAGTAGAGACGGGGTTTCACCTTGTTAGCCAGGACGGTCTCGATCTCCTGACCTCATGATCCACCCGCCTCGGCCTCCCAAAGTGCTGGGATTACAGGCGTGAGCCACCGCGCCTGGCCCGGAATCAGGTCTTTCAAACTGAAACTGAGCTGGTAATTTCTGGAGCAGATGACATCGGTCATTAGGGCTTATTGTTTCTGAATCAACCCCTCCTGCCTCCACCCCAAGTTCAGCGCCTCTACCCACAGTTTCCTGGGGCTGAGAGGTGAAAAGTTCCCCAGGAAACCCTGCCTTTCTTTGTCAGTAATTCAGGGAAACAGAGGGCAGGGAGAAAGCTTCCAGGTGAGTTGGTGAAAAGGCCCCAGTGACCCCAGGGAGACTGGGATGGGGTTGGGGGAAGAGTCAGGTCGGGGAAGGGAGGGAAACTCCCAGCTCCATCCCAAGCTAGAGTGATATGGTTGGAGCCAACCTAGAGAGCAGCCAGATAGAAGCAGGTTGGTTCCAAGAAGAAAATGGAATGCATGTGTCACCAATTTGACAATATTCAGAGTTATGTTACAGGTCTGGAATAGAGTTTAGAGATAAGTTAATAATAAAAACAAAACTAATTAAATGAAGGAAAACTCAGCAAGTATCAACTTCAGGCAAAATTAAAAGGTGAAGGGAAACTATACAAACGCTATATGAACTATAAGTAAATTATTCCATAGTAAAGAGAACACCAAATATTAATTTACTCCAGAACTATGACATCACCCCATGAAGACTGCAGGAAAGGAAGTGTGGTTGGTGGGAGTGGTGAGGGCTACAATATCTATATATTTACCTTCCTTAATAAAAAGTCAATTATAAAGTCTACAATTGAAAAACTAAGAAATAATATTAAATGTATGTTATTTAGAATCTGGAGGTAAATACCAAAAAAACAGATAAGTGAATTGAAAATGATTATCTCAATGAACAGGAGATGAAGGGGGAAAAGGTAAGGCAGAGGTTAAGTTTTATTGTGGGTCGTATAACTGTTCAGCACATGTGTATCATTTTGCTAAACGTTAAAACTAGAATTGGCCGAGTGAGGTGGCTCGTACTGCAATCCCAGCACTTTGGGCAGCCAAGGCAGGAGGATCACTTGAGCCCAGGAGTTCGAGACTGGGCTGGGCAAAATAGAGAGAGCATGTCTTTAATTTTTAATTTGTATTTTTTCTAAAAATAAAATATACATAAAATAAACATTTTTAAAACTGGAATTAAAACATAGATTTACTATATATCCATCTATACTTTTCTCAACGTTCAAATAAACACACCATAGGTTAGAAGATAAATTGATTGACTGATAGATGTAATCTTTTTGTAAACATGTGTAATACGTTTTTATTATACATGTTCATGGGTGCAGTGGTTCACGCCTGTAATCCCAGCACTTTGGGAGGCTGAGGCGGGTGGATCACCTGAGGTCAGGAGTTCGAGACCAGCATGGTGAAACCCCGTCTCTACTAAAAATAGAAAAACCAGCCAGGTGTGGTGGCACACACCTGTAGTCCCATCTAGTCGGGAGGCTGAGGCAGGAGAATCACTTGAACCGGGAGGCGGAGGCTGTAGCGAGCTGAGATTGAGCCACTGCACTCCACCCTGGGCAACAGAGCGAGACTCCATCTCAAAAAAGAAAAAAGATATCAATACAGATAGATGTAACATCTATATATATATATATATGTTTTGTTTTACAAAAATATTACATCATACTATATACACTTTCTATACCTATCTGCATCTTGCTTCTCGGTTTCCATAAAAATATATTATGGAAATCCTTCCACGTCAACTGGCATAGAACCAACTGTTTTAAATGGTTATATATTATTCCATGGTGTGCATGCACCACAATTTATTCTACTATTTTTCCTTTGAAGGGCACTGACTTTGTTTCCAGTTTTGTGGGGATTTTTTTGCCACTATAAACAATCATTGAAAATACTGAGAGTAATGTTGTCAGTATGGCATACAGTTTACAGATAAGTTAACATCCTTGAAAGTATATTTTTACATATCACAGTTTTAATTTTTAAGGAATGAATTCCCAGGATAGGAATTGCTAGTAAGAGTATGTATACTTTAATAGCTCTTGTGAGATTGATTTCTTAAAAATATTCCAGCAATGAATGAAAATATATATTTTGTCGGCCAGGCGTGGTGGCTTACGCCTGTAACCCCAGCATTTTGGGAGGCCGAGGCGGGCGGATCACAAGGCCAAGAGATCGAGACCATCCTGCCAACATGGTGAAACCCCGTCTCTACTAAAAATACAAAAATTAGCTGGGGTGGTGGTGCGTGGCTGTAGTCCCAGCTACTCGGGAGGCTGAGGCAGGAGAATCACTTGAACCTGGGAGGCAGAGGTTGCAGTGAGCCGAGATCGTGCCACTGTAACTCCAGCCTGGGCAACAGAGTGAGACTCCATCTCAAAAAAAAAAAAAAAAAAAGAAGAAGAAAAGAAAGAAAAGAAAAGAAAATATATTTTTTGTCAAGATCTCCTTTTATGTTCTTCAGTAAAATTTTATTGTTTTCTTCCTATAGACTTTACACACTTCTTTCTAGGCTTGTTACTAAGTGTTTTACTGTTTCTTTTGCAATATGATGGGAACTATTTTCTAATTGACTATGCTTGAGGACAGAAAACCTGTTATTTTATTCCTGTCGACCTAGTATCTGGCAATCTTACTGAATCCTCTTCTTAATTTGAATAGTTTGCTTGCTAGTTTTCCTGGCTTTTTATGGGCAGATATATATTTTTTTCTATTCCTTCTCAATGTTCATACTACTTCTCTCTTTTTCTTTCTTTCTTTCTTTCTTTTTTTTTTTTTTTTTTTTTTTTTTGAGATGGAGTTTCACTCTTGTTGCCGCCCAGGCTGGAGTGCAATGGCACAATCTTGACTCACCACAACCTCCGCCTCCCAGGTTCAAGCAATTCTCCTGCCTCAGCCTCCCGAGTAGCTGGGATTACAGGTATGTGCCACCACGCCCGGCTAATTTTGTATTTTTTAGTAGAGACGGGGTTTCTCCATGTTGGTTAGGCTGGTCTCAAACTCCTGACCTCAGGTGATCCGCCCACCTCAGCCTCCCAAAGTGCTGGGATTACAGGCGTAAGCCACTGCGCCTGGCCTCTTTTTCTTGTCTTACTATATTTCTGCATTGGTTAGAACCTCCAGGAAAATGTTGAATAAAACTATGGAGACAGCAGGCTTTATTCTGTCCTTGATCTTTATGAAACTGTTTCTAATATTTCACCAATTATCATGGATGCCTGCAGGATGCCTCTAGGAGGTATCTGCCATCAAGTTACAGAAGTTTCCTTGTATTCTTAGGTTGCTGAGAGTTTTTGTTTGTTTCTATTTTAATAAGGAATTGTTTCTAAATGTCAAATATTTTGGGGTTTTGTTTGTTTTTGGTTTAGACTTCTTTTTCTTGTGTGGTTTTTTTTTTTTTTTTTTTTTTTTTGGCTCTACTGAGATGGACCATATGGTTTTGGCAGCTATTGAGATGATCACAGGGCATTTCTTCATTAATCTGTTAATATGCTTAATTACATGAATGGATTTTCCAGTGTTGAGTCATCCTTGCGTTCCTGAGAATAAGGTATGCCTGTTGCCTGTGCTGGTCATGTGGTCTTGTTCTTTTAGAACTGCACTAGATTCAACTTGTTCCCATATTCTTTTTTTTTTTTTCTTTTTCAGATGGAGTCTCACTTTGTCACCCAGGTTGGAGGGCAGTTGCATGATCTCTGCTCACTGCAACCTCTGCCTCCCAAGTTTAAGCAATTCTCCTGCCTCAGCCTCTGGAGCAGCTGGGATTACAGGCTGGTCTCGAGCTCCTGACCTCAAGTGATCCCCCTGCCTTGGCCTCCCAAAGTGCTGGGATTTCAGGGGTGAGCCACTGTGCCCAGCCGTTACTGTATTCTTTCTAAGTTTTGTGTCTGTTTTCACCAGTGAACTGGTCTAAGGTGACCTCTCCTGATCTGGCTTTGGTGTTAGGATTGTACTAGCTTCATAAGACAAGTTTGGAGCATTTCCATACTTTTGCAATGCTCTGAAACTCAAAGAAATGATAGAACTGGTGAGCCCAACAGATCCAGGACAGGTGCCAGGAGGCCCAGAGATAGGAGGCACAGGTTAGCCAAGTAACGTTACACACACATGCCATGGCCAGCATCTCAGTACTGCTGAGGACAAGAGAACGCTGTGCTGCCCAAGGAGCATGGCAGGGGAGAAGGGCAAAGGATGCCACGGCAGGGAGGCGGGCAAAGGCAGCATCTTAGAGGCAGGTGAGGATCTGAGTCAGTCCTGAGCTCTGAGGGGCTTTGAGCAGGAACATTACCTGACCAGATCTGCATTTTTTAAAGTTACCCTTTTTTGCATAGGTGTAGACAGCTGTCTGGGAGACCACAGTACAGAGGTGGCTAGGACATGGAGTCCCAGAGCATGAAGGCTTCCTGTCTTGCTGATGGGGTAGCCATCACTGAGACAGGAAACCTAGAGGAAGACCAGGGCAAGAAGTGGACCAGAGAGTGGTGGGGAAGTGCTGCATTTGAGGCGGGTTCTTCGATGGGGAGCCAGCTTGGAAGCCCAGTACGAGGTGCAGAGAGCCCCGGATGGGTGGTCAGGGCAGGAGGGTGCCCATGGTAACGGAGCTGACAGGGAGGGGGAGGTCACCCAGGGTCCAGTGAGAGGAAAGGAGGGCTTGCACAGAGCCTCAAGGAATGTAACAATTCCAGTTAGACGCAAGATGTCAGACCACGCAGGGTGCTGAGGATTTGCCTGAGGACAAGGAGGCAAACTGGGACGGCCTGAGGATGAGGCATCGGCTGCATCCAATCCTCTGCGAGGCCTCAGAAAATTAGGACTGGAAAAAGCCATTATGTTTAGCAACACAGAAGGCGTGGCCCCTCCCCCAAGCCCACCCCATCCACAGCCTTCTCCATGTCACCTCAGGTGACCCCATCTTTCGGGCAGTCCCGGCCCAAAGCCTTGCAGCTTCCTGATGTCTGTCCTCCTCACACATCCCACATCTGACCCTCCTGCACATCCTCTTGACTCCACCCTCCAACACTCTCAAGAGTCAGACCTCCACCCATCACTCCTCTGGCCCCACCCTGTTCCAGGTTGTCAAGGTTCCCACTGCAGCCCTGGACCCGCTGGCTAGTGCACCTTAAGAACCACGGTGGTCCCTTCAAACTGCACATCAGATCATAATCAGAAACGAACCCCAAGGTGCTTAGAATGGCTCCCAGGTCCTGCACTATTGCCTCTGCAGCTGCCCTCATCCCTGCATCCCCTCTCCCAGCCGCCTGTGCCTTCTTGGTCTTCCTTGAATATGTCAGCCAGGCTCCAGAGTCAAGGCCTTTGGCTGCTGCCTCTGCCTGGAAATCCTCCTCCCACATCCCTGCCCAGTGGGCTCCTTCACCAGCCACCTGCTCCCAGTCTCTGTTCAAAAGCCATCTTCTCAGAGACCTTTCCTTTTTCTTTTTTTTTTTTTTTGAGACGGAGTCTCACTCTGTCACCCAGGCTGGAGTGCAGTGGCACGATCTCGGCTCACTGCAAGCTCCGCCTCCCGGGTTTACGCCATTCTCCTGCCTCAGCTTCCCGAGTAGCTGGGACTACAGGTGCCCGCCACCACGCCTGGCTAATTTTTTGTTTTTTAGTACAGACGGGGTTTCACCGTGTTAGCCAGGATGGTCCTCAGAGACCTTTCCTATTTAAAATTGCCACCGCCCCCAGCCCGGCCTTTCTCTCTGCTTTCTTTCCCTGCCTGGCTCTTACACCCTCTGGCATGCTATATAGTTTATTGCTCGAGGCATCTGCCTCCCCATGATAAGGTCAGTTCCAGGAAGGCAGGGACTCTCCCCTGCTGTTCCCAGATGTATCCCTAGCACTTGATGTATACAATATGTGGCCCATAGTACCAGCTCAAAATATATCAGTTGAATTCACTTCAGGGGTGTGAGAGATAGAGGGGAACAGAGGGCCGGCCCCGCACCATAAGAGATGTGTTGGTTGTAAGCCAGACCCCAAGAGGTGGAGGTCATGCCTCCACCCTCCAAACTTCCACAGCCGACAGGCCTCCCAGAGGAGGTGGTGGGTCCTGGCCTCACAGCTATGAGGGCTCCACAGCCTTCTATTATTTTATTTTCAGCTTGCTGGTCCTTAGATAAAAATCTATCTAAGACGATGGGAATACATGGCCTGTTCTCTCTGAGCTCCAGTCTGTTCCCTTGCATGTGGGAGGTGACATGCATGTGCCTGTAAGAGACAGAGGAGGGTCGGCAGCAAGGGTGGTACACTTCAGGCCAGGCTTGTGCTGCAAAGACCCATGACCCCATCTGCCTTTAAGAGGGGCAAGACAGGCACCCCTGAAATCAGAAATGACACAGAGAGCCCCACACACAGAGCAGCACAGAACAGACGGGCCACCGGCCACAGGATCTTCAGAAGAAGGCTTGCTGTGTCGCTGCCAGATTAACGGGGCGAAAATGCGCACTGGCAGCTCCAAGGAGAGAGCTGAGACCCACAGCCTGGGCCTGGATGCAAATTCTTCTCTGAGACTCAGGCGGTTGGCCAGGTGGGCACCGGGCCTCTGGGATCTGGATGCCACCCTCCAAGGGGCCTCAGATGCCAGCAGCAAGGGGCTGTCTGCCCTCGCAATGCGCCTTTCCAGACGCCCAAATCCTTCCCATTTGACCACCCTTTGCAGCCACCACTTTCTCAAAGTAGATTTACTTTCAATCTCCATTTGCTAAATCTCTTCCCTCTAAACCTTTTGGGGATGGAGGGATTAAGCCTGATTACAGATGTTGGGGGTGGTAGCAGGAGTCGGGCAGGAGGGGCCACCAAAAGCCAGCACATGCTCCTCCTAGGCTGAACCAGCCTCCGGCCGGCCTCGCCCCAGGATCTCGGCCCCCTCGCCCAGTGCGTGGGGCTGCCGCCGAGTGTGGGGCTGCCGCCGAGTGTGTGGCTCCGCTCCTGCCCACCCAGGGAGGGCAGCCCCTGTGCCACTGGCCTGGCCACCCGAGGGAGTCAGCAGGGTGGCTCACAGGCTCACTGAGAGAGATGAGCTCCTTCAAGCGGGGCTCGCTCAAGAGCTCCACATCAGGGTCGCAGAAGGTGAGTGAGCTTTGCCAGTGGCCTGCGGGCAGCTGGGCGGAAGGGCAGAGGGACACTGGTCTCCAGCTCTGTCATCTCAGAGTGCTGGCCCAGCGGGTCCTGTCCTCCCAAACTGTGCTGGGTGGGCATGGGGCATGGGGTGTTCAGAGCTCTCACGTCAGGGTCCCTTCTCAGAAGGTGCCCTATGTTTCCTGCCACGGTGTCCAACGCCTGTGGTCTCAGTTGCTCCCACCTTCGAGTGGCTGTGGCAAACCCGGGAGGCGTCTGAGTGGCACAAATCCTTTCACCATTCCAGAGTCAGCAGTTGCGGAGTTTTGCATCTCTTGCTTTCCCCACGAGGGTGGTGCCCCTTAGTTCTCTCTGCTGGACTCAAGCTCACCCTCTGTTCTGCATCAGATGTTTGTGTGGGCCATGGGGACCCAGGGATGACTCAGGCTTGGGCCTCGCCCTTAGGGGATGGGGTCTGGCAGAGGAAAGCAGGCAGCAGCATCTAACAGGAGGGAGGGCCAGAGGGGCCCTAAGTGAGAACCTGGGAGGGCAAGAGGCTCCCAGGACTAGGCACCAGCTGTGGGGAACGGCCTCTCCCAGGAACCCCAGACAGGACCTCCCACAGCACATGCTGATTTGAATCTTAGGTGTGCTTTTCCTAGGTGACTCTGAGCCAGCCTGGGAACTGAGCACCCAGGGCTGCCTTAAAGGACCACTTGAGCCCAAGGAGACTGGGCAGGCCACCACCTCACCCTAACTCCCTGACTGCCCCTCGCATGCAGTGGGAGGCAAGCCCAGACCACACCGGAAGCCTCTGGACACCACTTGCATGCCCTGAGGGCTCAGTGGGGATCTCTGCTTCTTCCAGGGGGCTGCCCATTGTGCACAGAAGGGTGGGGGGAGGCAGCAAGGGAGCTGGCAGAGCGGCAGTAGGTGCAGCCCTTGTGTGGGCTGGGGAGGATACAGCCCCCCAGCTGGCACTTACTGAGCACCCACGACATGCCCACCAGTACCCCAGAGCTGGGAACGGAGCCGCTGAAGCAGTGTGAGCCAGGTGACCACACTCAGAGAGGTTATTTATCTGGGCTAAAAACAGAGCCCTAGGCGGGAACTGCTTCCCATCCATACCCAGCTCACCAGGCTGCAGTCTCCCCGTCCATAAAATGGGGCAGAAGCAGATGTTGAACCAGGTGTTTGCAAGTCTCTGACATCTCATGAACCTGAAAATGCAAATAGAAAAAATAAAAGGCTCTTTAAAAAATAATAACAATAAAGAGTTAAAGCTCGCCTCCATTCCAAAATGGGAAAGATCCATCCTTGGGGCTCAGTGGGGGACAGGCGCATATATCTGCTTTTGTGCGCATGTGTGAGAGTCAGCATTATTTTTAGAGACAGCACATACCCATGTTCTTGTGTAAGTTCACATTCGCAAATGCACTGCTGCATTTGGCAGAAACAAGAGACATGCCACTGGCCGTGCAGCCCGGGCCAGGTGGCTCCACGTGACCTCCTCCTCCCCAGCACAAAGCTGGCCCACACTGTTCTTGCTGATAAGCTCTGAAAAGGAACAGGCTTTTGTTGTTCTTGAATTTGATGTCACCTGTTCACCTGTGCCCAGTGTACTGCTGTATGTTTGGTGCCTTGAAATTGCAATGGGTAGGGTCTGGGAGCAGGGAATTCAGCAAAAGGGGAGGAGGGGAGAATCACTTCGATTTTGGTCCAGACTGAAAAACAGCACCTCCTTTATACCCGCACACGCACAGCCATTCCTACAGGACCTCACACTGCATTACTTCAAGCCCAAGGACGAAGGTGACCTCCTCCCCCTATCTGAGGTGATCCCATGCTGTGGTGGGGTCAAAGGTGTTTGAACCAGAGCGACTCCATTTGAGTGAGGGCTGGGGAAATGGGGCTGGGACTTGCTGGGCTGCATTCTCAGAAAGTTAGGCATTCCTCGTCTCTAGATGTTTACAGTTATGGCAACAAATTAATAATGTTTACTAAACAGACCCAGACTTGGGAGTGTCCAGATATCTGGATATCTGGAGAACAAAGGGATTCCTAATTTTGCTTTAAAGATGATAATATTGATTCCTGCAAAATATAATAATTAAGAAAATAAATCCTTTATCACAAACCCTTGTAGCAGAACACATCTCTCCGTATATATGAGTATCACACCTAGGGTGGACGTGTTCCTCCTTTTACTTTTGGGAACGTCCTACTCTGTCTATGGAGTAGCTGTTCTGCTGTTCTTTCACTACTTTACTCTTTTTTTTTTTTTTTTTTTTGAGATGGAGTCTCACTCTGTCGCCCAGGCTGGAGTGCAGTGGCGCGATCTCAGTTCACTGCAACCTCCACCTCCCGGGTTCAAGCGATTCTCCTGCCTCAGCCTCCCAAGTAGTTGGGACTACAGGCACCTGCCACCACACCCGGATAATTTTTTGTATTTTTAGTAGAGACAGCATTTCACTGTGTTAGCCAGGATGGTCTCAATCTCCTGACCTCGTGATCTGCCCGCTCCGGCCTCCTAAAGTGCTGGGATTACAGGCGTGAGCCACCGAGCCCAGCCTACTTTACTCTCTTAATAAACTTGCTTTTACTTTGCACTGTGGACTCACCCTGAAATCTTTCTTGCACGAGATCCAAGCACCCTTTCTTGGGGTCTGGATCTGGACCCCTGTCCTGTAACAGTGGTGCATGCCAAACTCCTACAAAAACTTGTAGGAGTTAAGAACCTTGATGGCACAGTTTGCCCTAAGGCCTATTTATAAAAGCCCTCACTTAAGAAGTAAAATTATTGGTGGAAGAATGAAAGACAATACCTCTGGCTTTAAGGAAGCCATTCTTAAAGAAGTACTAGGAAACAGCCGTGAAATCACATGAGCATACAGTGGGCTGTTTTCATTCTATCTCGTTGCACACTAGGCCCTTCATTGACGCAGCAGCTCAGTGTCGGTTCCCGGTTTCCTAATCGAAAGCAGCACCCCTCTGCACCGTGTTTGTTGAAACACACCAGCTGCCCTGTGGGAAAAACAAACACAAACTGCACTATGTACGAGTCTTCCAGGGTCATCTCGCCTGGCCCTCTATTTGTACAAGGCAGATCTGACCCTTTGTCCTTGGCTGGCCAGCTCTTCCCAGCTCTGAAGCTCTTCCCTTGGTCTTAGACCAACTGGGGTGCACAGCGTGGAATCCTGAGGCAGTGAGCAAATCCCTGGGGACACTGGGGACCCTTGAGCTCCATC
The DNA here is from genome assembly GCF_000001405.40 of Homo sapiens. NCBI lineage: Eukaryota > Metazoa > Chordata > Mammalia > Primates > Hominidae > Homo > Homo sapiens. Next base: position 31,157,669 of record NC_000015.10, on the reverse strand, counting down.
CCTCAGCAGCCTGCTGCTTGGAGGCCCCACTGGCCAAAACAGTCCCTCTTCCAGGAAAGACCTCCAAGTACTCATGCAGGAGAAGAAAAATGAGATTCTGCCTTGCACTTTTATCCCTGTCTACATTTTTTTTGTTGTTGCTAAAAGACACATAAAGTCAAGAGTCAAAGTTCAAGATCCTAAATACGATTAATAATAGGATAGCCCAGCAATTGTACCCATCTGCCTTAGACAAATTCTAGCACATGTGTACAAGGAAATGTGCAAAAATGCTCACATTCACATTCATGCTGTAGAAGACCAGAAACAACAAACAGTTCATTCAAAACAGTATAGGTAAGCTTTTGTTTATTCACATAATGAAATACTACACAGCACTTAAAACAAATGAACCAAGCCACCTGTATCAACATGGATAAACCTCAGAACATACTGCTGGATTAAAAAATAAGCCACTAGCCAGGCGTGGTGGCTCACACTTGTAATCCCAGCACTTTGGGAGGCCAAAGCGGGCAGATTGCTTGAGTCCAGGAGTTTGAGACGAGTCTGGGCAACATGGTGAAGCCCCATCTCTATGAAAAATACAAAAAATTAACCAGGTGTGGTGGAGTGCACCTGTAGTCCCAGGTATTAGGAGGCTGAGGTGGGAGGACTACTTGAGCCCAAGGAGGTCAAGGATGCAGCGAGCTGCACTCTAGCCTGGGCAACAGAGTGAGACCCTATCTCAAAAAAAAAAAAATAAATGTAAGTACACTATTTATAGAAAAATCTAAAACAAGGGAAATCCAAAATAAATACATACATCTCTTCAAAGTGGAGATGGTTAGCTGTATCTATAATGTTGACAAAAATAGTCAAACTCTGTGAAACATTTAAAGACATTTATTCTGAGCCAAATATGAATGATCATGGCCCAAGGCACAGTCTCAAGAGGTCCCGAGAACATGCGCCCAGGCACTGGGTTAGAGCTTGGCTTTATACATTATAGGGAGACGTAAAAGATCAGTCAATACATGTGAGGTATACACTGGTTCGGCCTGGAAATGGGGACATATTGTGGGGAGGGTGGCCCACAGGTCACATAGGTGGATACAAAGGTTTTCTGGTTGGCAATTGGTTGAAAGAGTTATTATCAAAAACCTGGAATCAATAGAAAGAAGTGTCTGGGTTAAGATAAGGAGTTGTGAAGTTCAAAGTTCTTATTATGTAGATGATGTCTCTTAGGTGGCCACCCTTAGAGACAATAGATGGCAAATGTTTCCTGTTCAGGTCTTTAAAAGGTGCTAGACTCTCAGCTAATCTCTTCAGCAGTGGGAGGGCCTAGAAGGGGAAAGCTCTATTATGTTAATAGAACTCTTTACAGCTGCAAATTTTCCCCCACAAAAGATGGCGGGCCATTTCAAAATATGGCAAAGAAACATATTCTGGGGTAAAATATTTTGATTTCCTTTTTTTTTTTTTTTTTTTTTTTTTTGACAGAGGTCTCGCTCTGTCACCCAGCCTGGAGTGCAGTGGTACAATCTCGACTCACTACAACCTCCGCCTCCCAGGTTCAACTGATTCTTGTGCCTCAGCCTCCAGAGTAGCTGGGATTACAGGTGCCCACCACCATGCCTGGCTAATTTTTGTATTTTTAGTAGAGACGGGGTTTCACCATGTTGGCCAGGCTGGTCTTCAACTCCTGATCTCAAGTGATCCACCTGCCTTGGCCTCCCAAAGCGCTGGGATTACAGGTGTGAGCCACTGCACCTGGCCGATTTCCTTCTTTATCTGTCATGTGATGTTATGCCATAGTCAGGTTGGAAAGTAAGTCACATTATATACAGTTAAATGAAACCCAACTGATGAGATTTTATGGTCTGTAAGGCATGACTCCCCAGTCCCTTAGATAGGAATTTGGGCAAGAGAGAAAAAAGGTCAGAGTTTAGTCCTCAGTAATGTTCATTCTCTCTCTCTCTCCCCCTCCCTTTCTCCCTTCTTCCTTCCCTCCTTTTAAGAGAGAAAAATA